>NC_000004.12:10000-364839 GCF_000001405.40 Homo sapiens
ACCCTAACCCTAACCCTAACCCTAACCCTAACCCTACCCTAACCCTAACCCTTAACCCTTAACCCTAACCCTAACCCTAACCCTAACCCTAACCCTAACCCTAACCCTAACCCTACCCTAACCCTAACCCTAACCCTAACCCTAACCCTAACCCTAACCCTAACGCTAACCCTAACCCTAACCCTAACCCTAACCCTCATTATTCTCGGCTGCAAAGAGGAAGGATCTTTACCGTGGATGTGGCCCCCAGTTGTCCCAAAATGAAGCAGTGCCCCCAACGTCTGTGGAGAGGCATGCGCTGCTCCACCTTCGGGATGTCCCCCGCGTCTGTGCTGAGCAGAATGCAGCTCCGTTATCGCGTTCCCCCCGAAGTCTCTGCAGAGGAAAACGGAGCTCCTCCTTCGCGATGCTCTCCAGGTCTGCGCTGAGGAGAACGCAGCTCCGCCCTCGCAAAGGCATAGCGCCATCGCAGGCGCAGAAAAAAACGTCGGTGCAGCGCAGGCGCAGAGAAAAACGACGGCGCGTCCCTGGGGGGCGCGGCGCAGGCCCAGAGAGGCATGCCACCGTTGCGCCGGGGCGTGGGCGCGGCGCAGACGCAGAGACGCACGCCGGCGCAGCGCCGGGATGGGAGCGCGGCCCAGGCGCAGACACGGACGGCAGCGTGGCGCCTGGCCGGAGGCGCGACGCAGGCCCAGACACACACGGCGGCGCGGCGCCATGATGGGACCCCGCGCAGGCGCACAGACGGATGGTGGCGCGGCGCAGGCGCAGTAGAAAAACGCCAGCGCGGTGCGGGGGGCGCGGCGCAGGCACAGGCGCAGAGACGGACGCCGACGGGGCGCAGGCGCAGAGACGGACGCCGCCGGGGCGCAGGCGCAGAGACGGACGCCGCCGCGGCGCAGGCGCAGAGACGGACGCCGCCGCGGCGCAGGCGCAGAGACGGACGCCGCCGCGGCGCAGGCGCAGAGACGGACGCCGCCGCGGCGCAGGCGCAGAGACGGACGCCGCCGCGGCGCCGTGGCGGTGGCAAGAGTCACGCGGAGAGATGCACGGCTGCGTGGCGCAGGCGCAGAGAAAAACGCCGGCGCGTCCCCTATGGGCGCGGCGGAGGCCCAGAGACGCACGCCGGCGCGGCGCCGGGGCGGGGGTCGGGGCGCAGGCGCAGAGAAAAACGCCGGCGCGGCGCCGGGGCGGGGGTCGCGGCGCAGGCGCAGAGACCCACGCCGGGGCGGGGGCGCGGCGCAGGCGCAGACACGCACGCCGGGGCAGGGGCGCGGCGCAGGCCCAGAGACGCACGCCGGCGCGGCGCCGGGGCGGGAGCTCCGCGCAGGGGCAGAAAAGGACGCTGGCGCGGCGCAGGCGCAGAAAAAAAATGGCGGCGCAGCGCAGGCGCCGAGAAAAGCGCCAGCGCCGGGGGTCGCGGCGCAGGCGCAGAGAAAAACGCCAGCGCGGCGCCGGCGCAAAGACGGGCGCAGGCGCAGAGTCGGGCGCTGGCGCGTCGCCGAGGTGGGGGCGCGATGCACGCGCAGAGACGCACGGCTGCGTGGCGCAGACGCAGAGAAGAACGCGAGCGCGGCGCCGAGGACAAGGCGCAGGCGCGGAGACGCACGCCAGCGCGGGGGCGAGGCGCAGGCGCGGAGATGCACTCCGCCAGGCGCGGGGAGGGGGGCGCGGCGCAGGCGCAGTGACGCACGCCGCCTGGGGCGCAGCGCAGAGACAGGCGGAACCTCAGTAATCTGAAAAGCCAGGTTGCCCCCTCCTTGCGGCCGGGCACTAAAGGGCCCACTTGCTGAAGGCGCTGTGCCAGCGTGCCCCCTGCTGGTGACTGGGGCAACTGCAGGGTTCTCTTGCTTCCATTAGTGGCCAGCGGCCCCTGCTGGCGGCGGGGCACCGCAGGGTCCTCTTGCACACAGTATAGTGGCGGCATGCCGCCTGCTGGCAGCTGGAGACATTGCAGGGCTCTCTTGCTCATAGTATAGTGACAGGACGCCCGCCTGCTGGCAGCTGGGGACACTGCCGGCCACTCTTGCTCCAAGTGTAGTGGCTGTTGGCTCCCCTGCTGGCAGCTGGGGACACTGCCGGGCCCTCTTGCTTGCAGTTTACTGGGGGCACGCCCCCTTCTGGCCGCTTGGGGCACTACAGGATGCTCTTGCTCACAGTGTAGTGGCAGCTCGCCGCCTGCTGGCAACCAGGGTACTGCAGGGTTCTCTTGCTCATGGTGTGGTGCCCGTCCACCACCTGCTGGCAGCTAAGGACACTGCAGGGCCCTCTTGCTCAGAGTGTAGTCGTCGTACACCCCCTGCTGGCAGCTGGGGACGCTGCCGGGACTTTTCCTGGCACTGTCGTGGCAGCACACTACCTGCAGGCAGATGGGGACTATGCAGGGACCTCTTGTTCAGGGTGTGAGGGCTGGCACGCCCTACTGGCCGCCTCCTGCACCACTTAAAGTCGGAGCGCCAGTTAAGCACCATCAGTTCTGGAAATTGAAACTGAAATGGAGCTATTACTGAGGAGAGTTGATGTCCCAGTTCTTGTCTAACTTGGAAGAAAGATTTTTCACCAAGAGGCAGTAAAAACATGGCAGATAACTTCATTGAAAACAAATACAGTGTAAAGAGCTTATTGTAGAATAATAGGGAGGAGTGGGCTGATTGTGCAGGAAAACAGCCTGAGAGTCCTGTGCAGGGAATTTTATTTTGGACTTCTTCACATTTCTGCCTCTGTCTCAAGTCTCCACCTGTTTTCTTTGTCTGGTTTTCCTGCTACTGCCTTAGGTCCCTGAGTTGCCCCACTTAGGCTTATGGGACCTCCTCACTGTTGGTTGAGGCACATGTGTGCTGATCAATCCGAATCCACTCTGGTACCAGGCTCCTTCCCCCCATCCCAGGCAGGCTGACAGCGGTCATGTTTCTGCCTACAGCGCCTGCCTATCTCTTTTGAATGTCCTTCTCTACACTACTCTGTACTTATGGTGCCAGGTTTCTCTTAAGAATGTCCCCTTTGTCCTTCTTATCAGCATGTAGCCAGCAATATTGTGACATTTTTACTGCAGAGTGAATGATGACTGGGGCATCTTAAATGGAGTTCTGGGGTGTTTCTTTCTGCATAGGTACCTCTGCAGTAGTAGTTTCCAAAATACTTTTGGTAATTTTTAACCTTAAAGTTAACCTTAAAGTTAAGCTAAGTAAAAGATTTGCATTAAATATCTAGACCATTTATAAATAAGATACAATACTAAAACATTACTGAAGATAAATAATTCTAGTTTACATACTTTTGGCTACTTATTTTTACAGAGAAACTAAAGATATTTTAGCCCATTAATAAACATGTTTTTGTCTACCACACTGAGAAATTGTACTATGAGGAAACACATCCCTCTAGATGTTGGGAGATGGTATACTCATACATTTTCTAACCTACTATAGAATGCTAACATATGACAGTTTATAACTGTCTACTTCCTAGTTTTCTCTGGAAAATAAAAGATTACTAAGTATTAAAATTATAATCAATATGTGTAAATAAAACTACTGGAAATAATAGAATAACTAGAAACAACTCTATGCAAAGCATGCAAGAAAAGTAGTGCATGTTTTGCAAGTAAAGTAGGACGTATTTTTTATAAGGAAAACCATACAAAAGATACAAATAAAAAGAGATACCTAGCCTTCCCTGTGTTATATTTGTATGGGTAAAATGTCATGTTTTCAGAAATTATATAAAATTCCTGGAAATTTGTCAATGTTCTCCTTATCCATGCTATGTGCCAGTATAGAGTTATGAGTCATAATTCCAATTATTATTTTAAATGTTGTGCTGGGTGCAGTGGCTCACGTCTGTAATCCCACCACTTTGGGAGGCCTAGGCAGGTGGATCACAAGGTCAGGAGATCGAGAACATCCTGGCTGACATGGTGAAACCCCATCTCTACTAAAAATACAAAAAATTAGCCAGGCGTGGTGGTGGGCACCTGTACTCCCAGCTACTCAGGAGGCTGAGGCAGGAGAATGGCATGAACCAGGGAGGCAGAGCTTGCAGTGAGCCAAGATAGCGCCACTGCACTCCAGCATGGGCAACAGAGCGAGACTCTGTCTCTAAATAAATAAATAAATAAATAAATAAATGTTTTATCCCACAGAAAAAATCGAATATCCTTGTCAGTTGTGGTATAATGAACTCTCATCAGATCTTTCATCACAGCCATTTCATATTCTTTATCATTTAGATATTATTTCCCCCTGATGCTTTCCTGAAAGCTCCTGCAATCAGCTACAGGTCAGAATGTTCATCTCCATCACGGGACTCCCTCTGAGACACACAGAAAAGAGTATGCAAGATAGTCTGGTTATAGGCTTCTGATGATATTGCTTAAATAACTTTAAGACCATACACTTCGCTCAGTGAAGATCTCCAGAAGTCTGCTTCAGAAATTGATGGGTTCATGACACTGCTAACCCAAGATGCAACAAGACTGGAATTGATTACATGGTACTGAATGAACTGATGAAAATTGATTATAATTTTATAGCTTTTTGGAGCATTGCTGGTTCTTTAATGTTCTAGTTTCTGGACTTAAGAAATCTCTTTCTCTTAACCTAACTGTAACATACAATTTAGTAGATTATACTTTTGAAAACAGAAGTGAAGCATTTATCTTTTTTCCCCTGCCTGATTTTTCCAGAATTTTGAAATCCTTACTGAACACTCTTATTTTCACGATGATATAGTTGTTAGCAAAAGTCCAATAAGAATCTGTTCACCTTGAACAGAGACCTCAGAAATAATGCCGCATATCTACAACCATCTGATCTTTGACAAACCTGACAAAAACAAGCAATGGGGAAAGGATTCCCTATTTAATAAATGGTGCTGGGAAAACTGGCTAGCCATATGTAGAAAGCTGAAACTGGATCCCTTCCTTACACATTATACAAAAATTAATTCAAGATGGATTAAAGACTTACATGTTAGACCTAAAACCATAAAAACCCTAGAAGAAAACCTAGGCAATACCATTCAGGACATAGGCATGGGCAGGGACTTCATGTTTAAAACACCAAAAACAATGGCAACAAAAGCCAAAATGGACAAATGGGATCTAATTAAACTAAAGAGCTTCTGCACAGCAAAAAAAAACCTACTGTCAGAGTGAACAGGCAACCTACAAAATGGGAGAAAATTTTCACAACCTACTCATCTGACAAAGGGCTAATATCCAGAATCTACAATGAACACAAAGAAATTTACAAGAAAAAAACAAACAACCCCATCAAAAAGTGGGCGAAGGATGTGAACAGACACTTCTCAAAAGAAGACATTTATGCAGCCAAAAGACATGTGAAGGAATGCTCATCATCATTGGCCATCAGAGAAATGCAAATCAAAATCACAATGAGACACCATCTCACACCAGTTAGAATGGCGATCATTAAAAAGTCAGGAAACAACAGGTGCTGGAGAGGATGTGGAGAAATAGGAACACTTTTACACTGTTGGTGGGACTGTAAACTAGTTCAACCATTGTAGAAGATGGTGTGGCGATTCCTCAGGGATCTAGAACTAGAAATACCATTTGACCCAGCCATCCCATTACTTGGTATATACCCAAAGGAGTATAAATCATGCTGCTATAAAGACACATGCACACGTATGTTTATTGCGGCACTATTCACAATAGCAAAGACTTGGAACCAACCCAAATATCCAACAATGATAGACTGGATTAAGAAAATGTGGCACATATACACCATGGAATACTATGCAGCCATAAAAAATGAAGAGTTCATGTCCTTTGTAGGGACATGGATGAAACTGGAAACCATCATTCTCAGCAAACTATCACAAGGACAAAAAAACCAAACACTGCATGTTCTCACTCATAGGTGGGAATTGAACAATGAGAATACATGGACATGGGAAGGGGAACATCACACTCCAGGGACTGTTGTGGGGTGGGGGGGAGGGGGGAGGGATAGCATTAGGAGATATACCTAATGCTAAATGACGAGTTAATGGGTGCAGCACACCAACATGGCACATGTGCACATGTATACATATGTAACAAACCTGCACATTGTGCACATGTACCCTAAAACTTAAACTATAATAATAATAAAATAAAATAAATTTACCAAAATAATAATACCAATACCAATGTGCTCTAGTTTTGTCAGATCATGAATGCATCATGCATCCCAATAAAAGATTATTGAACATAAAAAAATCTGTTTACCTTATAACAGGACATAATTGGAAATTTTTGTTATATTATCAAGGTTTTTACTGGAATATCATATTTAGGAAATGTACCTAAGATCACTTATGACCAGCAATTTTAAGGAAGTAAGGTTGACTTTTATGCAGACAGTGCTTACAAAGCACTCTGAGAAACGAGAAAATTCTTCTTCAAAAATTATAAAAAGTCACAATTTCTTACTATGAGATTGCTATCCACTATTTATATGTGTGTGTGTGTGTGTGTGTGTGTCTTCCAAGTCAGTTGTCCTAGCTTGCTCCAGCATGCCTGGACAGAACTAGACAAGCCCCAGCCCATAGTGCATGCCATTCCTTATTTGGAGATGCTTCCTTAACTATCCCTGGGCAACTTCCTGTTCTTTCTTTGTTCTATTCCCCTTACCTAATTAATAAAGTTTTAAACTAATAGCCAACTGGGTAAAGTGTAAAATGTGAGGTCTTATTCCAGCCAATGGAAACTGGACACAGCAGTAGGGTAGACACATAAGGTTATAAGTAACTCTGTCTCCTTTGTTCGGTGTGTTCTTCTGGCTGGACAGCTATTGAGTAGCACCCTTTCTGCAGAAAGTAAAGCTCACCTTGCTAAGAGATCATTTGTTCCCACGTTAATTCTTTTTTTTTTCCTTTTTTGGAACATCAAAAACTTCATTCCCAACAGCACTCTGAGAAAAGCCAGCCTGATACCTAGATTACAGGGTTCACAGCCTTACAGGTTAGTAAGGAAGGTCATTTCCTGGTAGGCCCAGGAATTTAGGGATATTTTGGGGGCCTCAAGAAGAGAGGAATTCACACAAAGCTATAAGGACTGCAGCTGAAATTTGATAGTATGTTCTTAGCTTGGCTTTTAGCTGAATAAGGCCTTTAAAAGTCAAATCTGAGATTCTATATGAAAACTTCCAGCAAAGAAACTTGAAAGCACCTATGTGGTCATCGCCTGTTCTTGCTGCAGTTACATAAATAATCAAGCAAAATCTAATAAAACAAGACTTATTTTTAAAACAAGAATAGTCTTACTTTGATTATGATAAAAAATGATGGTTACTACCAAGAGAAATTTTATATTTCAAAGGAAAACTATAACATGGCCGGCATGGTGCACATGCCTATAATTCCAGCACTTTGGGAGGCCAGGAGTTCAAGACCAGCCTGGGCAACATGGTAAAACCCTGTTTCTACCAAAAATACAAAAATTAGTTGGGTATCATGGCATGTGCCTGTAGTCCCAGCTAATCAGGAAGCTGAGGAGGGAAGATCGTTTGCACCCAGGAGGTAGAGGTTGCAGTGAGCTGAGATTGCACCTTTGCACTCCAGCCTGGGTGACAGAGCCAGACCCTGTCTCAAAAAAAATGTTTTTAAAGGAAAACTACAGCCTTTGTGGGTTATCAGATTCTAGTCTTGTTTCTTGTTTCTGGGCTGTTTTTACCTCTTTGTAAACTAGATCCTGCCATCTGATGAATTCTGTCCCACAATGATACTTGGGGAGCAAGAAGCCAATTATTGTCTCTCCTACTAATGTATCTATTGTCAGTTAATTTGATGGTCACCAACCCTGGAACAAAGTTAGAAGAGGAAGGTTTTGCTCCCCAAAATGCATAACCAAATTGTGGTACATTCATGCAATGGAATGCTACTTAGCCATAGAAAGGAACAAGCTATCAACTCACACAAAGACATGAGCGACTCTTGCATGCACATTGCTAAGTGGAAGAAGACAGTGTGAGGAGCATACACACAGTGTGACCTCATTTAATGAGACACTGGAGAAGGCAAACTACACAGATGGGAAGCCATTGGCTCCAGGGGTGGGGGTTAGAAGCATTCCATATTATACTTTAATAGTGGGATACCTGCCACAATGCATTTGTCAAAATATGCAGAATTTTACAGCCAAATGGTTAAAGAAAACTCTATTCAAATTAAATAAAATTACTCAGGATGTGGAGTATCTCAGGACAGAATACATCATGTGAAAAAGAATTTAACTATGCTACAAATTACTATCTTTTGGATGTGGCTTGTCCCCGCAAAAACTCATATTGAAATTTGACCCCCACTGTGTCAGTGTGGGGCGATGGGGCCTAGTGGAAGATGTTTGGGTCATGGTGATGGATCTCTCATGAATAGATTAATGTACTCCGATGGGGGTGAATGAGTTCTGCTCTCACAGGAATGGATTAATTCCTGCAGGAGTAGGTAGTTAAAAAGAGTCTGGCTTCCTTGGCTTCCCTCTTGCTTTCACTTTTGCTATGTGATCTCTGGTGCACCCCTTGCTCCCCTTCCACTTTCCACCATGAGGTGAAAAAGACTGAAGCCCCCCAGATGCAAGTGCCCAATCTCAGACATTCCAGCCACAAATATTGTGAGCCAAATGAACCTTTTTTACTTATAAGTTACCCAGCCTCAGGTATTCTGTTACAGAAGCACGAAATGGACTAAGACACAAATGTAGGTAAAAACTCACTGAAGGTGTAGGGAAAATGATGTTGACCTAAGTCACTTTGAAAATGAATAGAATCTGTAGGCTGAAGGCAAATGAACTATACTTCATCATTGGATTCCATTTTATAAAGTTCTTTCCAACAGAAGCAATTGTTAACAGTTGTAAAACCACAGTATCTGTATCTGGAATAAAACAATGACTTACATAAGTTGCAGATGGTAGGAACCAGATCTCTCACTGGTGAAGTGGGAGGTTACAAATTAGCAAGGTGAGAAGGCTAGAATGATTCATGTGATAGTAGATCAGAGGTGGAGACATCAACGTTATAGGAAAAGAAAGAGAGATCAGACTGTTACTGTGTCCATGTAGAAAGGGAAGACATAAGAAATTCCATTTTGATCTGTACCTTGAAAAATTTCTTTGCTGAGATGCTGTTAATTTGTAACTTTGCCCCAGCCACTTTGCCCCAACTTTGAGCTCACAAAAACATGTGTTATATGGAATCAAGGTTTAAGGGATCTAGGGCTGTGCAGGATGTGCCTTGTTAACAAAATATTTACAAGCAGTATGCTTGGTAAAACTCATTGCCATTCTCTAGTCTCAATAAACCAGGGGCACAATGCACTGCAAAAAGCCACAGGGACCTCTGCCCTGGAAAGCCGGGTATTGTCCAAGGTTTGTCCCCATGTGATAGTCTGAAATGTGGCCTCATGGGATAAGAAAGACTTGACCATCCCCCAGCCTGACACCCATAAAGAGTCTGTGCTGAGGTGGATTAGTAAAAGAGGAGATCCTCTTGCAGTTGAGATAGAGGAAGGCCACCATTTCCTGCCTGCCCCTGGGAACTTGATGTCTCGGTATAAAACCCGATTGTACACCTGTTCAATTCTGAGATAGGAGGAAAACCACCCTATGGTGGGAGGTGAGACATGTTGGCAGCAATGCTGTCTAGTTATTCTTTACTCCACTGAAATGTTTGGGTGGACAGTAACATAAATCTGGCCTATGTGCACATCCAGGCATAGTACCTACCCTTGAACTTAATTATGACATAGATTCTTTTGCTCACATGTTTTTTTGCTGACCTCCTCCTTATTATCACCCTGCTCTCCTACTGCATTCCTCTTGCTGAGATAATGAAAATAATAATAAAAACTGAGGGAACTCAGAGACCGGTGCTGGTGCATGTCCTTGGTATGCTGAGAGCCAGTCCCCTGGGCCCACTTTTCTTTCTCTATAGTTTGTCTCTGAGTCTTATTTTTTTTCTCAGTCTCTCATCCCATCTGATGAGATATACCCACAGGTGTGGAGGGCCAGGCCACCCCTTCAAACATAAACTTATGTTTAGTTTAATATAGATACACACAGTTCTACATAGAAAACTTTATAATCAGGTGTGTATAGGTAGGTTAGACACACACATATACTTCCTAGCATTGCTAATGAGGGACAAGATACAATGTGCTAATTCAACAGCCAGATGTAAGTTTTCCTACCATTCTGAAAGGAATCAGGCTCTTTGAAGAAATGTCTGATACTAGAACTGGGACAGTAAATATAGGAGCCAGGATAATCTTGAAGTATCAGAAAGTAAGTACTAAAAAAAATTAAAATATATCAAAGAAAAATAAGAGCCAATAATAACAGCTACCGAAGGCCAACACAGGAATGAATTGTGCAACACAATGCTGCAGTGTTGAATAATAACTGAAGCTTAAAGTAATTATCTAGGTGTCTGTATTTGTATACATAGGTGAATAAGCTAATGGAGTTGCATAGAAATCTCCTTTGCAAAAGAATTCCAAATAATTGATGTAGACACTCAGCCATCAGGAAGGTGGAGCCAACTCCTCACTCCATGAGTGTGGGCTCTGCATAGTGACTTGCTCCAAAAGAACACATGCAGTATGGACAAGGAGGAAAAATAACTTCACAGTGGAGAAACCTGACAAACAGTAGCTCTGCCAAATGATCCAAGTGAACATCAAAAATGACAGTTTACCTTGAGAACATGAAGTGAAAATGGGAGACATTCTACAAAATTACTGACCAATCCTCCTCAGTACTGTCAAGGTCATCATGAGATGGAAAGCCTGACACACTGTCACAGCCAGGAAGAGCCTATGTGATGACTACATGTCGTGCGGGATCCTGGATGGGATCCTGGGTCAGAGTAAGACAGAACTAAGGGAGTCCAAATGAAATGTGAACTTTAGTTAATAATAGTCTATCAGTATTGGTTCATTAACTGTGACAAATTATGTAAGATATTAATAAGCCATGTGAGACACACTGATAGAAGATGTTAATGAGAGGAAACTAGGTTGTGGCTACATGGGAAATCTCTGCTTTTTTTTTTTTTTTTTTTTTGGTAATTTCTGTGTAAGTAAAAAAAAAAGATGTAAAATAAAACTTTATTTAAAACCTTTTTATATTTTTTAATGCTTCCTTGCTTAATTATTTATACCGTGAATTACTAGTAATTGACACTGTTAACTAGTCCTGTTTTTTTAAATAAGAGCATTTATGACACAAAAAATTAAACAGTGCAGACTGATATATAAATCAAAACAAATGCTCTGTACATGTTTTCTGTTACAGTAGTAACACATATGTGTAAACTTAATTATCGTATTTTTGTCTTGTGCTATGGTTGTGTCCTGGTTCATTCTCTAAAATGCTGATCACCTTAGACCAGGAAAAAAAATAAACTTACAGGATCTGTTTCAATTCATGGCTAAATATTTTCAAAAGAGTGACTGTAAAAATATGTTCCAATGGCAAATTGATTCATTGTGATGGGATCACTTATTCTAAAGACTTCTTGTCTTTACTTTGTTCCCATGCCTACCTTTTAGCCATAATACAACAGAATCAAATATTGGCCATTGGGAAAAAATATTCAAAGAAAGAAAGAATGTGAACAGAACTTACAACCATGATGATTCAATGTTTTACCACAATGCTTTCTAAAAATAAGAGTGTAAAAGGATATTCAAAGTCAATTTCCTCAGCGAGGCTTTGCAGAAAATGAGGAAACTAAAGAAACAAAAATGGCAGGACGTTCTACGGGTGATTTTAGATGTTGCTATGTTTTATGGGAAAAAAATACTTTACCTTTTAAAGAATCACTAAGAATTATTGGAAACCCAAACTCTGGAATGTTTGCAAATTTAGTTGAGCTTCTGTGTAATTATGTCTATGTAGCTAGGCATGAAGTTGATGATTTTTTAAAAATCTTTGCCTTATTTGTGTAATAAAATACACAATAAATAATTAATGCTCATAGGAAAACATGTTAGACCTTGTGAAGGGAAAATAAATCTTGGGGACCCAAAATCGCTAAGCTAAAGGGAAAAGTCAAGCTGGGAACTGCTTAGGGCAAATCTGCCTCCCATTCTATCCAAAGTCACCCATCTGCTCACCGAGACAAATGCATATCTGATTGCCTCATTTGGAGAGGGTAATCAGCAAAGCAAAAGAATGAAACCATTTGTCTCTTACCTACTTATGACCTGGAAGCCCCCTGTCTGGCCTTCTCACCTTTCTGGACTGAACCAATGTACATCTTGCACATATTGATTGATGTCTCATGTCTCCCTAAAGTGTATAAAACCAAGCTGTGCCTCGACCACCTTGGGCCCATGTTGTCAGGACTTCCTGAGGAGGCATCATGGGGGCGCATCCTCAAACTTGGCAAGTAAACTTTCTAAAAAATCCGAGAGCTGTTTCAGATTTTCAGGGTTCATACATGTAATATAGTATGTCAATGTTTATAAAACAGACATTATTCTGTCTACTATTACAACTATGCTGCCAATTAACCTTAGACTTTCTCAACAAAATAAAAAATGATGAGGTACCAACAATATATTTAAACTTAAATAATGTTGCAAGTTTTAATATGCCTACTTTTCAATTTTTCAATACTATTTTTACTACTTTAACACTGTAAGAAAAATGAGCAACTAAAACATGAATAAAAGTGTTTACAGGGGGTGCACATGTTTCCTCCAGCCTCTGCCCATCCCCAGCTTTCATCCCAACTCTTCTGATGGTGGCTCTAAGCATTTCCCCTGTCTCTATACCAAGATCTCTCCCCAGAAACAAGCCCAAATCTTACCATATGTTATGGCACGCTATGGTGATGAGAAGCGATGAGCAGCCGAAGCCTCAAGGAAAGGATGCTTTTGTAAAACAAGACTTGTAGAATAAAACATGTGAAAGTAAAGCCCATGGCAGAGCTCCCTCCTCAGCACATGGGGAGCAGACAGGAAGCTTTTGCCTCACCTTCCTCAATGGCCAGCAGCCACGTCTGCCCAGGTCAGTCTTAAGGACAATGAAACTCTGGTCTTCACTGTAGACATGCTACCAGGTGCTCCAAAGCCATGGTGACCCACCCTCGGGTGGGTCCTGAGGAGAACAAAGCTCTGGTTCTAATCCTAACCCTAACCCTGTCCCAAGACTTTGACCCTGAACCTAAACACTGATCCCTACCCTGGGCCCCAATTCTCACCCTTACTTTGACCCTGATTTTGATCTTGACCCTGACCTTGACCCCACCTCTAACCATATTTCTGGCCCTGACTCTGACCCAGATCCTAATCCTAACCCTAACCCTAACCCTATTATTATCTTTACGATCTATCTCTAATCTTACCCTCTAGTGCTAAATAGCTGTATCCAACAGCACTTTTAAACTGTTTAACTTCTTTTCCTTGAATTCTCTAAGGATATCCTAAAGGAGATGTCATTATGTATTTTGCATTCCCTCTGAGTGGTATGGCTTCAGATATGCAGTTCTAATACTTTGCAAGACATAAAAAGTTTGGAGGGAAATAGCACCGGGTTGTTAGGGATGCATGTTTGCATTCATGATAGTCATTGGTGCTGTTCTCCAAATATTTTCAGTTCATTTGTTTGTGAATGCATTCTGACTGTTCCATCCCACCTACTTAAATTTTCCCATGGCCACATGACTTTTTTGTTTGTTTGTTTGTTTTTTGCCAACGGAGGTGAGAAGAAATAACATGTGACTTTTTCAGAAGAAATCTCCAAGAAACAGAGTTCTATTCCGCATGCTTTTTTCTTTTTTCTATAGCAATGGGGATCTTATTGATGGTCCCTCCTTCCGTCTGGATTCCTGTGTTAGGATGACACAGCACAGAGCTACCTCACATCTGACCCATGATGAGATGTAAATAAATGAGGAAAAAGATTTTTGAACCACTGAAATTTGGAGGTTGTTTGTCACCACAGTTTAACCTAGCCCCCATTGACTGATGCAGGGCTGAAGAATGAGTCTGAACTGGATCTGGACAAGACATGTGAAGAGCACTGCAGGCTGAGTAAAACTCAAGTGTTGTCTCAAAGATAACAGTGAGCACAATATGTTATTAGGGTGAGTGTGGGATAAATAAGGTATATCAGGTGAGAATAATGAGAAACTCAACTTCAAAAGATGGTGCTGATTTGGACTGTGGAGAGATTCAAATGCCCTGCTTAGCATTTGAGATTGTGATGGTTGAACAAACTAATTAAGAGCCCAAAATGAAGGCTTGGGATAAATATCTGAGGGTGTCTAATATCCCAATTTTTCATCCTAGAGTGGGCAGAGTCCTTGATCCCATTCTAGGGAGACTTCCAAAAGAAAAAAGACCTGCATTTCTTCAACAACCCACATTGAGAGACTTTCCTGCACTTTTGACCTATGGTTAACACTCCTCACCTTTCATTCTGTCATCAGTGTTTTGGGGAAACACCTTTAACTCTCTATGATTTACAGGTTATGAAGTGGCCCTTATAATTCCTTCCAGGGGTGGAAAAGACTAATGATGATGGTGTCTGAGCTCACAGCCACAAGCGGGCATGTGTGTTCAGCAGCCATGTGGCTCATGTGCTAGGAGCTTACTAAATACAATGTTCTACATCATTGCTTAACACAAGGGGAGATGCTCCTGACTCAGAGGGTTTAATTGCTCACCTGCTTCTTTTTCTGCCCTCTTGGGCTCCTAAAATGAAAAGAATCCTGGGGTGATAAAGTGAGTCAAAGGGGTGCCAGCCACATCACAGCAAAATAGATTCCTAAAAAAATCCCTGGCCTAAGATGACAGCCTTGGCTGGATAAGTTTGAATGTGCTGATAGTGGACATGGTAGAATGAAGGTGGTTGAAATGTTCATATTAAAGAACTTCTACCCAGATTGCAAGAAAAGAGAGAGGAATGGAGATGGCAGCATGATTCCCTATAATAAAAGCAGATGATTTAAGATCAGTTATCTTTGTTCTGAAAAAAATAAAGACAGAAACAAAAGTTTAGCCTGAGGCTACAATTAATTGGGCAATAAGTGAGAGGCACATATGGCATAGACAGATTTAAACATTTCTCCCTTATATTAATACAAATACTAAAATTACAAATAAATTGATTCCAAATAAAACAAATATTTAAAAAACTTAATGAATAAACACCGGAGTCTACAGTAGTGTTCGAAGGAGATCTCACAAACAAGTTTGGTTTTTGAAGGTTAGAACTGATGGTCTAGAGAATTCATTTCATTCCAGAGAGAGAAAGAGAGGAATTTTTTAAAAAGAACACTTGCAGTGTTTGAAGTGACAAAGGCTGCTGTGACAAAAAAGAAGGGAAAGGGAATTTTTTTTAAAAAAGCAAGCAACAACAACAAAACCCCACAAAAAAGCAGACAACAAACAAACAAAAAACAGAGGAAGAAGTCAAAACATGCTGGGCTGTGACTACTTCCAGGAAGGGGCTACAAGAGGCAGCTGGAAATTCTATTTGCTTTGCAACTGTGAGTTTTCCGGCCTGCTTCCTTTCTAAAGTATATTACTTTGTTTTTGGTTCATGAAGTTATCCATTTCTGTTTTCTGGAACAGCTATGTATTTTCTTTATCTATCATCTATCTACCTGCCTATCATCTATCTATCTATTTACTATCTATCTTTTCTACCTTTCACTATCAAGAGCTTGGGTCAAGCAGGATAGAATTCCAGTGTATGTTCACTCTACCATTTAAAACAAGAGCTCTTGTAGGCATTCTCCAACACATCATAAACCTGAGCTTTCTAAAACAGGGTGTGACAAACTACCATTCATGGGCCATGTCTGACATAGTCTGCGTTTGTAAGAAAAGTTGTAATGGGACACAGCCACATACATGTGTTACATAATGTCTCTGGCTACTTTCATGGTATAACGGAAGAGCTGAGTCATTGAGAGAGGGACCACATGGCTTGGAAAACTTAAAATATTTAACATTTAGCCCTTCGCAGAAAATATTTGCTGACTCTTGTTTTTAAAGATCTCTGTTTAGAATGCTAACTATTGCCTTCTGGATAGAATCACAACTCTTTACCACAATCAACACAGCTTCAACCCTGCTTCTATATCCAGCCTCATCTATTATTTCCGCTCCTCCTCCTTATTTTCCTTCCGGCCATGCTGATGGATTGTCAGCTTCCCAGATGTGCAAGAATCTCTCCTCCCTTCCCGACATTCTCATGCTCTCCCTCTGCCTCTCAAGAACTTCCTGTCCCATCTCTCATGACGAATCTCTTCTTCATTCTTTAAGATGCAGCTCCTTTGCTCCTTCCTTAAAGATGTCTGTCTGGCTCTATTTTGGGTGACATGCTCCTTCTGCATCTCCCAGAGCCAGCCTGTGTGTGTCAGCTACAGCATTTATTTGCATCTCTGTGTCATATATCACCAAATCTGCCTAAGCTTGCGTGAGTCACTGCATGACAACTTCAGCCTCCACCAGCATTGTCCCCACTTACCATGAGGCTTAGATATTTGTCCAGTATGCTCGGGGTTGTGGAGTGGTAGCAGTAACCAACTGGTGAGCATCATTTCTTACATCAGAATCAAATCTGTAGATCTCTGCAATTCATAAGTATTTGGAGTTTAAAATTAGCATAAAGATTTTCTTTAAAATAAGAACAAATGGCTTGAGTAGGCTTTTGGAATGTATAATACTTCTGCTGGCTCCTTTCAGTGTTCAGTATTCCCACATGAATCTAAACACAACTCTGCTCTTAGTAGCTGTGTGACCCTGGGAAAGTCACTCAATCTCCCTCAGCTAAATTTTGTTGTGTGAGTAATGAGAAGAGAGTTGTGATTTGTATTTAGTGAGTAATAACAAACAAAAGGCATTTAGCTTTCTGGAACCTGGTATGTAGTAGATCCTCATGAAATACTAACTCTGTTGATAAAACTAGACTGAAAGAAGCTTTCAAAGTCAACAGCAGTATCATGCAGGGAAGGATGTAGATGAGAAGCTGCTGCTGCTGCTGCTGCAGCCTACAGCTCCTGGAGGCCCGTTTTGTCCATGATTTAGCAGGAATGCACTACCTTTCCATGAGGAGACACTGCCCACAGAAACCAAGGCCATTCTTTGAAGACAAACATGTTTTAATAGCCTTTACATTATGTAATAGTGTAATATAAATAATAATTTATTTACATTATTCTGTTATAACTTTTGTACAGAGCTTTACACCTAGATATTCTGAAGTTGGTGGTCTGTGAGTGGCATCAAGTGGTGAGTGACACACTCTGACCTTGGGTAGAACAACACGTGCCCCTGCAGTTTGCTGAATTTCAGGGCATCACCACCTGTTTTCAAGAGTGTTTTTTCCTATCCTCTAGAGTTTTGCCCACTTAAGCAATGGTTTTACTGTAATAAAGAATTACACTATTTATCAAAATATTACTTTGGAGAATACCGGTTCACATAGTTCATTTTCAAGTTTTCTTAAACTATCAGGCCCATAACTAATGCCAGTGGCTCCAAGGATGAGAAGGTAAAAAGGCCTTTTTTTTTGGGGGGGGGGGGCAAGGCAAAAAAACACCACATTTCAAACTTTACCGTCTCATGCTAGTCCCTGGAAAATTAGAAGTGAACACACTCCCCTCCCAGCCCAATCACAGCTAACGAATAACCAAGATCTCCTGCAGGTGCCTTTGCCTTGGCTTTGTGAGCCTGGAGTTGCTGGCTGGCACTGGGCAGCAGGCAGCAGAGCTGGTCCCATTTCTCCATGCTTTACTCACTCTTTGGGGGACACAGGCACATTGAACAACCTGGGTCCTGGCCTGGCGCTGGCTGGGAAGCTATTTGATGTCAGGCTGAATGTGGGCTTCTGAGTTGAAAAGAGAGTATGGGTCACCCTGCCCCACTTACTCATTTTACCAAGAATGAAAATGGGGATCTATTCCAGACATGATAGTATACATTGTAAGGCTGTGCAAGCTTGCTGCACTTGTATCCACTCAGCACACACTTACTGAGTGTCAAGTGTCTCCAGCATGAAAGGCGCTCTAGTTCCCGGGGTCCCACCCTCCACAGAGGACAGCAGCACCTTGAGGGACGGAGGTGCAAAGAGCAAGGTGGGGGCTCTTCTGCTGGAGAGGCAGCTAGGGAGGGTCCTTAGAAGAAGTGACAGCTGAGTTCTTCTCTGAAGGGTGAAGCTGAATTACTTGAAGCTTAGGGTGAAGGGGTGTCCAGGGAAGTGGAGCCTGTGAGCCAAAAGCATAATGACTTGTCCAGAGAAGTGTAACAAGTTCCATATTGTTTCTATGCCAAATCTGCACAAGAGTCGCCACAGGAAAGAGCAGGATCCTGGAGCCAGGGCCTTGGATTTCATCTGCTGGCAATGGAAATGTTCACTGGGAATTTTGGGGGGCAAAACGTGAAAATGTTTCCTCTTAGCTCCAATTCTCTGTCTCTCTGTCTCTTTCTGTCCCTCTCTCTCTCCTTTATCTTTAATTTTTGTATTATCCTAAGAAAACACAGATGTCTCAGACATGGGGATTAGCAGCCTGCCTCTTTCTGGATGACTTCAGGGGAGCACTTCAGCCTCTGTGAGCTTATTTACAATAATTCACAAATCTTGCCAAAAAAAAAAGTCATGGTAGCAGAGGTTAGAAAATCTCCTAGTGTTTCTTCTGACACTTTGAATTTATGATTAATATGTTTAATCTTCATCTTCTGAAAAGTCACCAGTTACACAGTCAGGACCATAAAGGGAGTCTGTTTCTGTGGTTTGTGGCTTCAACAGTCAAAGGTTTTGCAGCAACAGCATTGCATGTGGGTTTTAGGCTGATGATGCTCAACAGTGGACAATTCTCTTCACCTGCCTGGGCCCCACTGCCCGCCCTTCCAAACAGTGCAGGGTCACAGCTGAGCTCTCTGAGACACCTCACAGGATCTCAGCTTCTAAACTATCAAGTGTCTTCTAGGTGAAGGCTTGGTCTCATAGCCTTTGTGGTTTCCTCCAGGTAACACTTGGTTTTCTGACCTAACCCTGGTATATGTGTGACACATGTGTGAATGTGCTCCCTGTGGCAGCGCTGAGGAAGGACTCAGTCATCACAGATGCTGAAAGGCAAATGCAGTGTGCTTTTTTCCAACATCTCCAGTCTTGTATTATTTTTACCCATCAGCCCATTTGAAAAAGAAAAAAAAAAGCCTCCTGTTAGAATTAAATCCCCTCTGGAGATAATGAGTATTTTTTAAATCTTTCATTTTTTTTATATAGTCATGTTTGCTCCCAGTTCCTGCCAGGATCCACTAGAGGGCAGAGACACCTGTGTGTATTTGTGTAGCACTTGCTGAGTGGTAATAAAAACAGACACCCTGCCCTCCCGGAGCCAACCTCCAGTGCCAGGGCAAGCAGCAGCAAGTAAGAAAACCTTGGTTTCTGTATCTGCATCAGCTACACAGTGCTTGCACACAGGAGATATCAGCCAGTTTTCTCAGTTAAAGAGACAGAAACAAAATGTGTCCTCACTACTTTTTGAATTTACCATGTTATCTAATATTTTAACTTAATTGAATGAATAAACTCCCTATGCATCTGGACACATGCATGGAAAATTCACAAACATTTCAAACCAAAACAGAGTATTTTGCCAAAAGAAAATTTCTTAGATATGTGAAGTTCACTTTTTTCTTTTAGTGATTTTAATGTAATGAAATTGAAAACTCTGTGCTTCTAAAAGACTTTTTAAGGAGCACGGTATTTTTCCATTTTGAAAAAAAATTGGCAAAATATCTTCTACTATAGATAGAAGGTAATTGGCTGAGGGTAATAAACAGAAGATTAAAAAACAACCTTTATCCCCTGATATTCTGTCAAGGGCTACAGTGAATTACACACCCTGGCATGGGTTTGTACACCATGTGCTGGAAGCCAGCAGTCATGCAGGCCATGCTCTCCCACACTTAGAAAAGCAGCCCATAATTTGAGATGACATGATTATATATTTAGAAAACCTCATCATCTCTGCCCAAAATCTCCTTACGCTGATAAGCAACTTCAGCAAAGTCTCAGGACACAAAATCAATGTGCAAAAATCACAAGCATTCTTATACACCAATAACAGACAAACAGAGAGCCAAATCATGAGTGAACTCCCATTCACAATTGCTTCAAAGAGAATAAAATACCTAGGAATCAAACTTACAAGGGATGTGAAGGACTTCTTCAAGGAGAACTACAAACCACTGCTCGATGAAATAAAAGAGGACACAAACAAATGGAACAACATTCCATGCTCATGGATAGGAAGAATCAATATCATGAAAATGGCCATACTGCCCAAGGTAATTTATAGATTCAATGCCACTTGCATCAAGCTACCAATGAATTTCTTTGCAGAATTGGAAAAAACTACTTTAAAGTTCATATGGAACCAAAAAAGAGCCTGCATTGCCAAGACAATCCTAAGCCAAAAGAACAAACCTGGAGGCATCACACTACCTGAATTCGAACTATACTACAAGGCTACAGTAACAAAAACAGATTGGTATTGGTACCAAAACAGAGATATACACCAATGGAACAGAGCAGAGCCATCAGAAATAATACCACACATCTACAACCATCTGATCTTTGAGAAACCTGACAAAAACAAGCAATGGGGAAAGGATTCCCTATTTAATAAATGGTGCTTGGAAAACTGGCTAGCCATACATAGAAAGCTGAAACTGGATCCCTTCCTTACACTTTATACAAAAATTAATTCAAGATGGATTAAAGACTTACATGTTAGACCTAAAACCATAAAAACCCTAGAAGAAAACCTAGGCAATACCATTCAGGACATAGGCATGGGCAAGGACTTCATGCCTAAAACACCGAAAGCAATGGCAACAAAAGCCAAAATGCACAAATGGGATCTAATTAAACTAAAGAGCTTCTGCACAGAAAAAGAAACTACCATCAGAGTGAACAGGCAACCTACAGAATGGGAGAAAATTTTTGCAATCTACCCATCTGACAAAGGACTAATATCCAGAATCTACAAAGAACTCAAATTTATAAGAAATAAAACAAACAACCTCATCAAGAAGTGGGCAAAGGATATGAACAGACACTTCTCAAAAGAAGGCATTTTGTGCAGCCAACAGACACGTGAAAAAATGCTCATCACTGGCCATCAGAGAAATGCAAATCAAAACCACAATGAGATACCATCTCACACCAGTTAGAATGGCGATCATTAAAAAGTCAGGAAACAACAAGTGCTGGAGAGGATGTGGAGAAATAGGAACACTTTTACACTGTTGGTGGGACTGTAAACTAGTTCAACCATTGTAGAAGATGGTGTGGTGATTCCTCAAGGATCTAGAACTAGAAATACCATTTGACCCAGCCATCCCATTACTTGGTATATACCCAAAGGATTATAAATCATGCTGCTATAAAGACACATGCACACGTATGTTTATCGCAGTGCTATTCACAACAGCAAAGACTTGGAACCAACCCAAATGTCCATCAGTGATAGACTGGATTAAGAAAATATGGTACATATACACCATGGAATACTGTGCAGCCATAAAAAGGATGAGTTCATTTCCTTTGTAGGGGCATGGATGAAGCTGGAAACCATCATTCTCAGCAAACTATCACAAGCACAAGAAACCAAACACTGCATGTTCTCACTCATAGGTGGGAATTGAACAATGAGAACACTTGGACACAGGAAGGGGAACATCACACACCGGGGCCTGTTGTGGGGTGGGGGAAGGGGGGAGGGAAAGCATTAGGAGATATACCTAATGTAAATGACGAGGTAATGGGTGTAGCACACCAACATGGCACATGTATACATATGTAACAAACCTGCACGTTGTGCACATGTACCCTAGAACTTAAAGTATAATAATAAAAAAAAGAATGAAAAAAATAAAGAAGCCCATGAGAAAGATCTCCATCAAGTTCACGCGGAATGAACTCCAGCAAGACCTGGAAAATGCTCAGTTCCACAAAATATCTGCGTCCAAATACTTTGAGTGCACAGCTCTGGCATCAGGTTACTGTGAGGACAGACCCTGAGATGGATTTCTGGATGGAGGCTGCTGCTGGAGGAGACAATGTCACTGCAGATGGCTCATGCTGCTCCCATGCTGCAGGGGCCAGTGATTTGGGGCTCCCACCTGCTGTCCCGTTGGGGAACTGCGGAGATTCACCCCAGCTGGGTGGACTCTGCTGTGTCTCCTGTCAAGAATCTCCTCAGCTTACCTTGGTTTTTCCTTTTTAAATACTCTCTGGTGTTTTCCTCTCCAGTGGGGGCTGCATCTCACCTTAGAAGAAAAGATTTTCCAACTAGGGGCTGTCTTGGTAGCTGGTCCAGAAGAAGGTCTCCTCTCTCTGGAGTGAGGTCCACCCAAGTAACTCCAGCCAGAACTCTCACTGAGTGCGGCTGGATCTGCCCTGCTCTCCTCCCATCCTCCTGTGGACTGTGGAAACCCATCCATGCCCTATGCAAAGTCCTGCATCTCAGACTGTAAAATGGCAGAAGCTGAATTTAAAATAAATGATTATATTGACTCTATGAGGGAAACAGAGTTCTGAGGTAGGCAATTGGTAAGCAAGCAATTATGTGTAACTTGTTAGAACACTAGGGTGTTTTTTGTCTTACTGATTATTTTCTGGTTAACAGGCTGGCTAGGAGCCAGAGGGAGAGAAAGCTGGCTGGGAATTGAGAGGCATGAAGTCACCTCAGTCCCAACATTTCCATGTAAATGATGATGCGAGATGGGCTGGTGGCAGGAGTCCCTGGAAATCCTCACAATCTCAGCTTTTAACTTCTGTAAAATATTATGTCATTTATGATCTCTTTAACAAATAACTTTTTTTCTAATTATAAAAGTGTGTATTCTCTTTGGAGGATCTTTGGTAAATATAAAATGAGTTATAAGAAAAAGAAAAATTCATAATTTTATCACTCAAATTTTGATAATTATATTCCTGCACTTTTAATGAAATGTAGAAATTTTAGATTATACTGTACATAAAATGTTTCTGTTTTTTCATCCAATATTGGATCATAAACGTCTTACATGGCATAAACTATATATGTAAATCAACTATTTCCACACCTGGATGCTTGATTTAACCCTCCTTATACTGTTAGCCATTTAAATGATTTCTACTTTATCCTATGAATAACACTTCCACCAGTTATTATTCTTATATATAACTCATTCAATCATTTCATAATCTTGTTGAGCATTTATTTATAATTTGGTTGCCTATTACCTGAGTGGATTGTGGTTATATGTTTATATGCTTATTCCAAATATAGTGCTAAGATTAGCATTAGAGACAGCAAAATATTTACAGGTTTTGAAACTAGAAGGAGCCAAACAAATCCATGATCCAGCTCTGCATACTCTCACCCAGCCTTAGTTCTCTCACACAGAAAGTGAAGACAGTGCTATTTGCCTTGTGGCATTGCTGTGAACTTAAAGAAGGCACCGATTGTACACACAGCAGTGCGCAGACCGTGGAAGGCTGGGCTCCGACCAACTCTAAGGACAATCACCATCGGATGCCCCACGATCCTACTCTCAGGATGCCCATATGCCATATGCCATGTGAGTGTCACTCAGTGAACACATATTTGTTGATTATAAATTACTCCCATGCTGTTTTCTTTGTTTTACATGTTCACAAATCTGTAAAAACAAAGTTAGAATTATGAAATTAAAAGTTAACTAAAGGAGGAGATTTTCATTATCTCTGAAATGTAACCCCCCAAATCCAGATTATAAAGCAAGGAAATGTCTTATGGCCCAACACTTGCCATCAATACTTTTTTTATGTTAGTGGGCAGGGGAGGGTAGTGAAAATGAAGGAATCAGAGCTCCGATGGGTGCACATTGTCTTCCCTACAAATCCATTGCTTGTCCAGCCTTCCTTCCTCATTGGGGCTGCTCTATCCTTTTCCACACATTTGAACTGCTCCCCTGTAGGCCTTTCTCATTTGCTTTACTTCCTAGTCTGAATTCCATGGGACCCACATTTAAGGAGAGGGGAACAACTCTGGGACTGGAGGAAGTTCACCTTATGAGTTATACCTGCCTCCTTCCTCTACAGTGAACGGTCTCTGGTGTCCCTGGGTGTTCAGTTTCTTTCCACTCATGTGTTACTGACTGTTCAGGTGGCAAATGGCCCATGACCTTTATGGGATTAAAAAGAAAAAAAATAAAAAGCTGTGTTTCTTTTTTTTTAACTTTTATTTTAGGTTAGGGGGTACACGGGAGGGTTTGTTATACAGTTAAATACGTGTCACAGGGGTTTGTTGTACCTGTTATTTCATCATCCAGGTATTAGGCCCAGTATCCAATAGTTATCTTTTCTGCTCCTCTCCCTCCTCCCACCCTCCCCCCATCAAGTAGACCCCAGTGTCTTTTGTTTCCTTCTTTGTGTTCACAAGTTCTTATCATTTAGCTCCCACTTATAAGTTAGAACATGCTGTATTTGGTTTTCTGTTCCTGCGTTAGTTTGCTAAGGATAATACCCTTCAGCTTCATCCATACTAATGCAAAAGACATAATCTCATTCTTTTTTATGGCTGCATATTATTCCATGGTGTATATGTAGCACATTTTCTTTATCCAATCCGTGACTGATGAGTATTTGGGTTGATTCTATGTCTTTGCTATTGTGAATAGTGCTGCAATGAACATTTGCATGCATGTAACTTCATGGTAGAATGATTTATATTCATCTGGGTATATAACCAGTAATGGGATTGCTAGGTCAAATGTTGTAGTTCTGCTTTTAGCTCTTTGAGGAATCACCATACTGCTTTCCACCACAGTTGAATTAACTTACACTCCCACCAATGGTGTATACATGTTCACTTTTCCCTGCAACCTTGCCAACTTCTGTTAGTTTTTTAGTTTTTAGTAATAGCCATTCTGACTGGTGTGAGATGGTGCCTCACTGTGGTTTTGATGAGCATTTCTCTAGTGATCAGTGATCTAGAGCTTTTTTCCATATGCTTGTTTGCCACGTTTGCTTTTTTTTTTTTTTTTTTTTTTCTTAGCCCGAGTCTCGCTCTGTCACCCAGGCCAGAGTGCAGTGGTGCGATCTCAGCTAACTGCAAGCTCTGCCTCCTGGGTTCACGCCATTCTCCTGCCTCAGCCTCCCAAGTAGCTGGGACTACAGGTGCCTGCCACCACACCCGGCTAATTTTTTGTATTTTTAGTAGAGACGGGGTTTCACCATGTTAGTCAGGATGGTCTCAATCTCCTGACGTTGTGATCCACCCTCCTTGGCCTCCCAAAATGCAGGAATTACAGGCGTGAGCCACCACGCCCGGCACACATGTTTGTCTCCTTTGGAGAAGTGTCTCTTTATGTCCTTGGCCCACTTTTTAATGGGGTTGTTTTTCTCTTGTAAATTTGTTTAAGTTCCTTATAGATGCTGGATATTAGACCTTTGTCAGATGCATAGTTTGTAAATACTTTCTCCCAATCTGCAAGTTGCCTGTTTACTTTGTTGATAGTTTCTTTTGCTGTGTAGAAGCTCTTTAGTTTAACTAGATCCCACGTCAATTTTTGCTTTCATTGCTATTGCTTTTGTTGTCTTTGTCATGAAATCTTTGCCTGTTCTTATGTCCAGGATGGTATTGCCTAGGTTGTCTTCCAGGGTTTTTATATTTTTGGGTTTTACACTTAAGTCTTTAATCCATCCTGAGTTCATTTTTGTGTATGGTGTAAGAAAGGGGCCCAGTTCAATCTTCAGCATGTGGCTAGCCAGTTATCCCAGCACCATTTATTGAACGGAGTCTTTTCCCCATTGCTTGTTTGTCAGAAAAGCTATTCCTAAGGCTTTGCCCAACATACCTTTAACTTTTGACCATATCTTTCCCCTGGTCAATAGGCTCCAGGAAATGGGACAGGATGCTTGGAAATAAAGAGCTAACCCTGAGACAATGCAGGTGAACACAGACTAGCTGCTGCATAATAAGTAAACAAAATATGTGTCTTTCATTCAATATTAAACAATGATAGACTGAGTATTTAAGCATGTTACCATTACAGGTATGCAAGTGCCTAACTATGACTTAAATTGTAGAGCCTCAGATTTTAGATCTGGAAGAGCCATGGGTTTTAATCCATGCTGGGAGAGGCTCAAGCTTACTCTGGAGAAACACATAGTTTGGGGAGGCTGGAGACCGAGGGGTGGGCTCCCATTCCCCAGGTCCTTCAATGAGTCTGATCGATTTTATAAATCAGTTATTGGAAAATGATTCAAACAACTCAGCCCAATTCCCTATTATTTGGTCTAGGCCATCAGCCCTCAGGCTTCTTGCCACTGCAGCTGTGGGCTCCCACTCTCCACCTGCTCTCCTGCTCAGGTTGGGGCAGCCAAAGACCTTCTCTTCCTGGGGAGAGAGGTTAGGGAGGGACCATTTTTTGATTATTTGAGGGTGCGGTTCAGTTGTAAACAGTGTAAGTTTTAGAATTTGTGTTATTGTGATGGCAATGACCAACTGCAAAATATATCCCATTTGCCTTGTAATAACAAGAGCATGTACTTTACGCAATTAAAGTTTTTGGACCCTACTTATTTACTTTACTTTATTAAGAATAGTAACATTTGAGCAGAGAAGAGTTCTAATTTTGCATCAGAGTCAAAAGTGAAAATGAAAGGAACTGACCCATGAAGGAACAGGTGTGAGCTATTTACTTCATTCCTGCCCATCCTGGTTGATGTTGAGCTCTTGCCCTGCATCCCACTTTCAAATGTGGTGGATGCCTCACCTAGGAAAGGCCCTCACCACGCTGGCTTGCTCTGCTCACTAACTGTACTTACTTCTCTTAATCCCCTATGAACACTCTTTTCTAGGTTGGGTGTCTTTTCCGTAATAAAAAGGTATTGTTGCACCACTTATTCAGGGCTTTTTGGATGCCATGCTAAGCATTTCATAGTCATGAGCTCATTGTATAAACTACCCTTTATAACACTCCTATGAATTCATATTCCCATATGAATTGGCCTGAGGAAGTGGCATGCTGGAGAGATTAAGTAATTGACTGACAGCTTACAGTTAATTACTGAGGGGATTTGGGTTTGGACATAGATCTGTGATTCAAACACCCATGTCTATAACCACAAGTGCTGCCACATCATTTGCATCAGGATTAAGAATCCCTGCTGGCAGGCCTGGGAAGACGCATTGTAACCAGATAAGAGGTAATTACCACATTTACTGAGTGGTGAGAACCACTGTACTGCCTTTCGGAGAATGCCAGGCGCCCCTGTGTTTGTCTCAGTGTCTCCAGCTTGAATTGCTTCACCCCTGGCTCTCAGCAATGCTGCTCCTCTCTCCTGCATGGATCACCTGTTCCTGGAATTCATTCTCCCATTTCTTAGGTTGCATCCCTGTCTTGTGCCAGTTTTCAAAGTGAATGCTTCCTGTTTTTGCCCATTCAGCATGATATTGGCTGTGGGTTTTTCATAAATAGCTCTTATTATTTTGAGATACATCCCATCAATACCTAGTTTATTGAGAGTTTTTAGCATGAAGGGCTGTTGAATTTTGTCGAAGGCCTTTTCTGCATCTATTGAGATAATCATGTGGTTTTTGTCTTTGGTTCTGTTTATATGATGGATTACATTTATTGATTTGCATATGTTGAACCAGCCTTGCATCCCAGGGATGAAGCCAACTTGATCATGGTAGATAAGCTTTTTGATGTGCTGCTGGATTTGGTTTGCCAGCATTTTATTGAGGATTTTTGCATCGATGTTCATCAGGGATATTGGTCTAAAATTCTCTTTTTTTTTTGTTGTGCCTCTGCCAGGCTTTGGTATCAGGATAATGCTGGCCTCATAAAATTAGTTAGGGAGGATTCCCTCTTTTTCTATTGATTGGCATAGTTTCAGAAGCAATGGCACCAGTTCCTCTTTGTACCTCTGGTAGAATTCAGCTGTGAATCCATCAGGTCCTGTACTTTTTTTGGTTGGGAGGCTATTAATTATTGCCTCAATTTCAGAGTCTGTTATTGGTCTTTTCAGGGATTCAACTTCTTCCTGGTTTAGTCTTGGGAGGGTGTATGTGTCCAGGAATTTATCCATTTCTTCTAGATTTTCTACTTTATTTGTGTAGAGGTGTTTATAGTATTCTCTGATGGTAGTTTGTATTTCCGTGGGATGGGTGCTGATATCCCTTTTATCACTTTTTATTGCATCTATTTGATTCTTCTCTCTTTTCTTCTATATTAGTCTTGCTAGCAGTCTATCAATTATGTTGATCTTTTCAAAAAACCAGCTCCTGGATTCATTGCTTTTTTGAAGGGTTTTTTGTGTCTCTATCTCCTTCAGTTCTGCTCTGATCTTAATTATTTCTTGCCTTCTGCTAGCTTTTGAATGTTTGCTTTTGCTTCTCTAGTTCTTTTAATTGTGATGTTAGGGTGTAATTTTAGATCTTTCCTGCTTTCTCTTGTGGGCATTTAGTGCCATAAATTTCCCTCTACACACTGCTTTAAATGTGTCCCAGAGATTCTGGTATGTTGTGTCTTTGTTCTCACTGGTTTCAAAGAACATCTTTATTTCTGCCTTCATTCTGTTATGTACCCAGTAGTCATTCAGGAGCAGGTTGCTCTGTTTCCATGTAGTTGAGTGGTTTTGAGTGAGTTTCTTAATCCTGAGTTATAGTTTGATTGCACTGTGGTCTGAGAGATAGTTTGTTACAATTTCTGTTCTTTTACATTTGCTGAGAAGTGCTTTACTTCCAAATATGTGGTCAATTTTGGAATAAGTGCGATGTGGTGCTGAGAAGAATGTATATTCTGTTGATTTGGGGTAGAGAGTTCTGTAGATATCTATTAGGGCCGCTTGGTGCAGAGCTGAGTTCAATTCCTGGATATCCTTGTTAACTTTCTGTTTCGTTGATCTGTCTAATGTTGATAGTGAGGTGTTAAAGTCTCCCGTTATTTTTGTGTGGGAGTCTAAGTCTCTTTGTAGGTCTCTAAGGACTTGCTTTATGAATCTGGGTGTTCCTGTATTGGGTGCATATATATTTAGGATAGTTAGCTCTTCTTGTGGAATTGATCCCTTTACCATTATGTAATGGCTTTCTTTGTCTCTTCTGATCTTTGTTGGTTTAAAGTCTGTTTTATCACAGACTAGGATTATAACCCCTGCTTTTTTTGCTTTCCATTTGCTTGACAGATCTTCCTCCACCCCTTTATTTTGAGCCTATGTGTGTCTCTGCACATGAGATGGGTCTCCTGAATACAGCACACTGATGGGTCTTGACTCTTTATCCAATTTGCCAGTCTGTGTCTTTTAATTGGAGCATTTATCCCATTTACATTTAAGGTTAATATTGTTATGTGTGAATTTGATCCTGTCATTATGATGTTAGCTGGTTATTTTGCTCATCAGTTGATGCAGTTTCTTCCTAGCATCGATGGTCTTTACAATTTGGCATGTTTTTGCAGTGGCTAGTACCGGTTGTTCCTTTCCATGTTTAGTGCTTCCTTCAGAAGCTCTTGTAAGGCAGGCCTGGCCTGGTGGTGACAAAATCTCTCAGCATTTGCTTGTCTGTAAAGGATTTTATTTCTCCTTCACTTATGAAGCTTAGTTTGGCTGGATATGAAATTCTGGGCTGAAAATTATTTTCTTTAAGAATGTTGAATATTGGCCCCCACTCTCTTCTGGCATGTAGAGTTTCTGCTGAGAGATCCGCTGTTAGTCTGACAGGCTTTCCTTTGTGGTAACCCAACCTTTCTCTCTGGCTGCCCTTAACATTTTTTCCTTCATTTCAACTTTGGTGAATCTGACAATTATGTGTCTTGGAGTTGCTCTTCTCGAGGAGTATCTTTGTGGCATTCTCTGTATTTCCTGAATTTGAATGTTGGCCTGCCTTGCTAGGTTGGGAAAGTTCTCCTGGATAATATCCTGAAGAGTGTTTTCAAACTCGTTTCCATTCTCCCTGTCACTTTCAGGTACACCAATCAGATGTAGATTTGGTCTTTTCACATAGTCCCATATTTCTTGGAGGATTTGTTGGTTTCTTTTTACTCTTTTTTCTCTAAACTTCTCTTCTCATTTCATTTCATTCATTTGATCTTCAATGACTGATACCCTTTCTTCCACTTGATTGAATTGGCTAAAGAAGCTAGTGCATGCATCATGTAGTTCTCGTGCCGTGGTTTTCAGCTCCATTAGGTCATTTAAGGTCTTCTCTACACTGTTTATTCTAGTTAGCTATTTGACTAATCTTTTTTCAAGGTTTTTAGCTTCTTTGTGATGGGTTCAAACATCCTCCATTAGCTCGGAGAAGGTTGTTATTACTGATCGTCTGAAGCCTTCTTCTCCCAACTTGTCAAAGTCATTCTCCATTCAACTTTGTTCTGTTGCTGGTGAGGAGCTGTGTTCCTTTGGAGGAGAAGAGATGCTCTGATTTTTAGAATTTTCAGCTTTTCTGCTCTGGTTTCTCCCCATCTTTGTGGTTTTTACCTACCTTTGGTCTTTGATGATGGTGATGTACAGATGGGGTTTTGGTGTGGATGTGAAGGGGTCCAGCCCCTCCACACCTGTGGGTGTTTCTCATCAGGTGGGATGAGAGACTGAGAAAATAAATAAGAGACACAGACAAAGTATAGAGAAAGAACAGTGGGCCCAGGGGACCAGCACTCAGCATACAGAGGACCCGCGCTGGCCCTGGTCTCTGAGTTCCCTCAGTATTTATTGATCACTATCTCTACCATCTCGGAGAGGAGGATGTGGCCGGAGAATAGGGTAATAGTGGGGAGAGGGTCAGCAGGAAAACATGTGAACAAAGATCTCTGTGTCATAAATAAGTTTAAGGAAAGGTGCTGTGCTTTGATGTGCACGTACACAAACATCTCAGTTCATTAAAGAGCAGTATTGCCGCCAGCATGTCTCACCTCCAGCCCTAAGGTGGTTTTCTCCTATCTCAGTAAACAGAACATACAATCAGGTTTTACACCAAGACATTCCATTACCAGGGACGAGCAGGAGACAGATGCCTTCCTCTTATCTCAACTGCAAAGAGGCCTTCCTCTTTCACTAATCCTCCTCAGCACAGACCATTTATGGGTGTTGGGCTAGGGGATGGTCAGGTCTTTCCGTTCCCACAAGGCCATCTCTCAGGCTATTACATGGGGAGAAACCTTGGACAATACCTGGCTTTCCTGGGCAGAGGTCCCTGTAGCCTTCCACAGTGTATTGTGTCCCTGGGTACTTGAGATTAGAGAATGGTGATAACTTTTACCAAGCATACTGCCTTCAAGCACTTTTTTAACAAAGCACATCCTGCACAGCCCTAAATCCATTAAACCTTGAGTCAACACAGCACATGTCTCTGCAAACACAGGGTTGGGGCTAGCATTACAGATTAACAGCATCTCAAGGCAGAATAATTTATCTTAGTACAGAACAAAATGGAGTTTCTTATGTCTACTTCTTTCTACATAGACACAGTAACAGTCTGATCTCTCTTTGCTATGGGTTCAAACATCCTCCATTAGCTTGGAGAAGGTTGTTATTACTGACCGTCTGAAGACTTCTTCTCTCAACTCATCAAAGTCATTCACCATCCAGCTTTGTTCCATTGCTGGTGAGGAGCTGCATTCCTTTGGAGGAGAAGAGGCACTCTGATTTTTAGACTTTTCAGCTTTTCTGCTCTGGTTTCTCCCCATCTTTGTGGTTTTATTTACCTTTGGTCTTTGGTGATGGTGACGTACAGATGGGGTTTTGGTGTGGATGTCCTTTCTGTTTGTTAGTTTTTCTTCTAACAGTCAGGACCCTCAGCTGCAGGTCTGTTGGAGTTTGCTGGAGGTCCACTCCAGACCCTATTTGCATGGGTGTCACCAGCGGAGGCTGCAGAACAGCAAATGTTGCTGCCTGAGTGTTCCTCTGGAAACTTCGTCTCAGAGGGGCACCTGGCCATAAGAGGTGTCAGTCAGGCTCTACTGGGAGGTGCCTCCAAGTTAGGCTACTCGGGGGTCAGGGACCCACTTTAGGAGGCAGTCTGTCCACTCTCAGATCTCAAACTCCGTGCTAGGAGAACCACTACTCTCTTCAAAGCTGTCACACAGGGATGTTTAAGTTTGCAGAAGTTTCTGCTGCCTTTTGCTCAGCTATGCCCTTTCCCCAGAGGTGGAGTCTACAGAGGCAGGCAGGCCTCCTTGAGCTGTGGTGGGCTCCACACAGTTCGAGCTTCCTGGCCGCTTTGTTTACCTACTCAAGCCTCAGCAATGACAGACACCACTCCCCCAGCCTTGCTGCTGCCTTGCAGTTCAATCTCAGACTGCTGTGCTAGCAGTGAGCGAGGCTCTGTGGTCATAGGACCCTCCAAGCCATGCACAGGATATAATCTCCTGGTGTGCCATTTGCTAAGACCATTGGAAAAGCACAGTATTAGGGTGGGAGTGTCCCGATTTTCCAGGTACCATCTGTCACAGCTTCCCTTGGCTAGGAAAGGGAATTCCCCAGCCCCTTGTGCTTCCCAGGTGAGGTGATGCCCCACCCTGCTTCAGCTCACACTCTGTGGTCTGCACCCACTGTCTGACAAGCCCCAGTGAGATGAACCCAGTACCTCAGTTGGAAATGCAGAAATCACCTGTCTTCTGCGTCACTCATGCTGGGAGCTGTAGACTGGAGCTGTTCCTATTCAGCCATCTTGGAACCAGAAAACCATTTTTTACTCTTTTAAATGCTTCCTTCAAAGAACAAAGTTGTTTTTGGTGAAATACAATTTTTCCATTTTTTTCTTTAAGTTTCTGAATTACAATTAATTGGAATTTTAATCTACTGGTTACTGTGTTGGACAGCATGGGTCAGAAGAAGAGATGAAAAATAACAAAAAATTAATAAATGGTGATAACAGTTGATAAAAAAGCAAGCATGACATTGATTTAGACAAATGTGGTTGTTGAGAGTGATTGTGGACCACTCTCCATTAGGGTGTTCAGGAAAGGCCTTTTTTAAGTGACCTGTAACTCATATCAGTGAAAAAGAACATGCTATAAAAAGATTCCACAAAGTGAGAGCATTAAGCTCAAAGGTCCTGAGGTAGGTGTGTTTGAGGAGCTGGTGTGTAGCTGCTGTATAAGAAGTCAACCTCCTTATTTTCAGGTACATTTATTATTATTTTAACCCCAAGCAGAATTGCCTAGCTGGGTCCCTCACCTTTACACAATAGTCATAGGATTTGACTGTTATCAAAAAGTAAATCCACTCTCAGAGGCCATAGATTTCCTATTACTGAGGTTCTTCAAAAGAATATGTAATCAATTTATATAGTAATTCCTAAAAATGAGATTCTAAAATATAGTAGCATGCAGATGAAGCATAGCTAATGCTTTAAATTATTCTGTAATAATGCATTCCTGAGGATATCCAAATTTTCACAGAACAGTTTTAATGAAATGGAAGCACATACTGGAATCATTTTAGTTAGGGATGATTTGTATCAGACTAAAACACTCTGACCTTTTGGTTTCACATACTAATTGAAAACTCTTTAGGATGAATGTTGAAATAGGGAAGAGAGACTTACAGGCTCAGAAAGCTAGGGAAGTGAAAATAATTGTAAAACAGCTCTAACATTTTTAAATGTAGCAGCTGCTGTTGTGAACTTCATTCTGCCTTTTCTTTCTAATTCTCTGGGTCCAGATCTGTTTACACCACCTCCTGGTACAACACCCCTAAGAGCTGACTTTGGCAGTTGTGTATCTCTGTTACTGGGGCTTGAATTAAACATCTTAGTGAACAAACTTTAGCTTTACTCTTCAATACTGAAAAAAAAAATGTTATGCCCATGGTTAAACCAGTATCCTACTCAATCCTTCTGTGATGTTACTCACAAAATGAATTGCATAAAATCGGATACCTGAGATTGTTTTGGCTGGGAGGATCCTTGAATTATAAAGATTAAATTAGATTAATCAGGAATGACCTCTGTTACTCCTCATGGGGACATTCAACTTCTGACTGAACTTTTTTTTTCCTTTAAAATTGGGGTAATAGCCCATATCCTCCACATCTCAGAAGGTTCATTTTTATTGGTCCAAAGGAAGTATATGAAAACACTTCCAAAAAAAGTGTAGGTGTTATCAGTATATCATACCATGTGAGAGAAGGTGTAAAGCAACAAAAGGAGTTTTGTTTTGTTTTGTTTTGTTTTGTTTTGTTTTGTTTTGTTTTTGAGATGGAGTTTCACTCTTGTTGCCCAGGCTGGAGTGCAATGGCGCCATCTCAGCTCACTGCAACCTCTGCCTCCCAGGTTCAAGCGATTCTCCTGCTTCAGCCTCCCAAGCAGCTGGGATTACAGGCATGCACCACCATGACCAGCCAATTTTGTGTTGTTAGTAGAGATGGGGTTTCTCCATGTTGGTCAGGTTGGTCTCGAACGCCCGACCTCAGGTGATCCGCCTGCCTTGGCTTCCCAAAGTGCTGGGATTACAGGCGTGAGCCACTGCGCCTGGACAGGAGTTTGGTTTTTAAAAATTTAACACAAGAACATGTATATGCATTTGAATGTACACCAGCCTTTAAAGCAGTCACCATTGGAAGCCATATATACCAAATATCATGAGGGAGAAACTGGAACAAAAAGATGAGTTGGCTATAACTTACGGAAAAGTGAAGAAAATTTCAAAAACCTCTTTATGTGAATGCTCAACTATATTTAAAACACATCAATTCTATGAGGTAGGTATTAACCCTTTCTTACAGAAGAAGGAACTGAACCCCATCAAGGCTACACATAATAAGTGGCAGAGGTGAAATTTGAACCCAGATCTACCAACTCCAAGTTTCTTTTCAATTTGACTATAACTGCATTTGTGATTGCTTGTGACATAAGACATACGAGAGAGTAGATTTGAATTATGTATAAGCAGCTGAGAAAAATGCAATTGAGGGACTTTTCTGAATTGAGAAAAGGATGACATTCTTTGGAGAGCAGACTTTCTACCCTCGCCATCTATCATTGAATGTTATATTCATTGCTGCCACTAGTTAAATATTAGCTAGACATTGACTGGTAGTTACAATCAATGACACAGTCACTGGCCTAATTACTTTGGTGATTTTTATACCATGGTGTCTGACATTCCCAGGTGTTTTGTATAAGGCACACGTATTTCAAGAGCTCTTCAGCCAGGCCTAATCTCTATGCTGATGCCTCAGTCTTGCTTGCTGTTGGAAAGCTTGGCATATTCTCCAGACATAGTCAGAGGACTATATTTCAAAGCTATGTGTGGGTGCACTGAATTCTATGCCTCAGATGATTCCACTGTGGAAAATGATGTGGAAACCCAGTTGAAACGCTCTCACTTCAGTTAACTTTTATATCACAAATCTTAAGTCTGGAAAAGGAAAACAAACTCTTGTGTCCATACTTATTCTTTCTTAAGACGTGAAAACAATAGTACATTTTAACATGGCTGAAGAAAAATTAATTTATGTGACTGTTTATAGAATATAATATAGTTTTATAAGATAAAAATTAAGGACAATATTTTACTTTTTTTTTTTTTTGAGACAAAGTTTTGTTCTTGTTGCCCAGGCTGGAATGCAATGGCATGATCTCAGCTCACTGCAACCTCTGCCTCCCAGGTTTAAGCAATTCTCCTGCCTCAGCCTCCCAAGTAGCTGGGATTACCAGAGTACACCACCAGGCCCGGCTAATTTTGTACTTCTTTAGTAGAGACAGGGTTTCACCATGTTGGTCAGGCTGGTCTTGAATCCCTGAACTCAAGTGATCCACCCCTGCACACTCGGCCTCCCAAAATGCTGGAATATTTTACTTTTGTATACATCTAAAAAGTAATTATTAATTTTGAAGATTGAGTCTTCTAAGTTAAAATAGACAGTTGTAACTCATAGACAGAACGTTCACAACTCACAGATACCTAAATAGTGCAGTTTTTGCTTTTAGTTCTGAAATGAAGATTGTCATGAAGCAGCTTATCACTCTCTGTGCCTTCACCATTCTCCTGGGTTATGATTTGGTGAAAAGGCTGCGGGAAAAAATGTGGAACATGTTCAACAGATAGGGAGAAGTGAGAAAGCCGATGGTACCTACAGAAATGAAATCCTTGGCTGGGAGTGGTGGCTCACGCCTGTAATCCCAACACTTTGGGAGGCCGAGGCAGGTGGATCACCTGAGGTCAGGAGTTTGAGACTAGTGTGGCCAACATGGTGAAACCCCTTCTCTACTAAAAATACCAAAAATTAGCCGGGTGTAGTGGCGGACACCTGTAATCCCAGCTACTCAGGAGGCTGAGACAGGAGAATCACTTGAACCTGGGAGGGAGAGGTTGCAGTGAGCTGAGATTGCGCCATTACACTCTGGCCTGGGCAACAAGAGTGAAACTCTGTCTCAAAAAAAAAAAAAAAAAAAAGAAATCCTCTCCAATCAACAAATTAGGTGACTGAATTCTTTCACAATTCTTGCATTTCCATTCAGGACTTGGTGGCTATTCTTTTCAAAGTAGAGGCATGTTGTGCCTTATAGTACCACATACAACTTAACAAAAATATGTAGTTATAAAACTTGCCTTCCTGGAGGGTATTTGTAGCTAAAAGTAAACTAGATTTCAACTTAGATTGCCAGTAAAACACATTATAAACTATAAAGTATTACAAAAATAGGTATATAATATTAAGGTTACATGTGTATCTAAATCTTCCCTAAATCTGAATTTGTTTTATTTGACAAAGTCTATAAACAACCCCAGGACAATAAAAATTGTATCCTCAGAAAGTTTGTCCCAATCCCCTTTCATCCTATCCCCAGCTGCATCTGCCTACAAGTCCCCAGCCTGCCCAGGCTCTGTAGCTTCTATACACCTGTTCCATTTCCAACTGTTCCTGTGTTGTATATTTTATAACAAACTGTTATACACAAGTACAGTGTTTGGCTGAGTTCTGTGAGTATTTTAATCAAATTCTCAAACTTGAGAAAGGGGTTATGGGAGTCCTCACTTCTTAGTAGCTCAGAAGTACGTATGGGTACCTGTGGTTTCTGACTGGCATCTGCAGTAAGAGCAGTGTTGTGGGACTAAGCTCTGGACTCTAGGGCCTGTGCTGACTTTGGTGGTGTGAGATTTAAAATGTTAAACAACTAGTTGGTGTTGGAGAATTGCTTTGTATTCCTCAAACTCTACAGATGTAGTGTTAGAAGAAAGACATCGGCCAGGCATGGTGGCTCATGCCTGTAATCCCAACACTTTGGGAGGCTGAGGTGGGCAGACCATGAGGTCAGGAGTTTGAGACCAGCCTGACCAACACGGTGAAACCCCATCTCTACTAAAAATACAAAAATTAGCTGGGCATGTTGGCAGGCGCCTGTAGTCCCAGCTACTCAGGAGGCTGAGGCAGGAGAATCACTTGAACCCAGGAGGCAGAGGTTGCAGTGAGCTGAGATAGTGCCACTGCACTCCAGCCTAAGTGACAGAGTGAGACTCCATCTCAAAAAAGAAGAAGAAGAAGAAGGAGAAGAACAAAGAAGAAGAAGAAGAAGAAGAAGAACAAGAACAAGAAGAACAAGAACAAGAAGAACAAGAACAAGAAGAAGAAGAAGAAAGAAAAGAAGAAGAAGAAAGAAGAAGGAAGAGGAAGAGGAAGAAGAACAAGAGGAAGAAGAAGAAGAAGAAGACGACGACGACGACGACAGGGGCCTGAGCTAGAGAAAGACTGGGTGTCTGGAGAAGAAAGGCTCTCTTCTCCTGTATATAGGCTGTCACACTGCACATTCTCCTGTGATTTCAGTTCTTTTCCCCAGGTAAGAGGGGACTAAAAACTTCAGAACAGACCCCCTTAGCCTACAGCTACCATCACATACTTTTCACTCACTTATAAACATACTCCTAGGAGGTATTAATGTGGCCATGCCCCTCCCAGGAGTAAGTACCACCCTTAGGAATCCCATCACAGTGCCTTCTCTTCTAGTTTCTTGCCAAAAACCTACACAAGTGCCTATAGGTCTCCTAGTATAATTCTACCCTCAGACACTGAATCTGCAACAGCAACCTGTTCTCTCCACCACCTGTTAATAATCTCAACTGCCTGCACGGACACAGGAATAATTCTGAGTATAGCCCCTTCTAGACCATTATCTTTAACACAAACCAGTCTGTCCACCTACCTTTTACTGTCCTCCACTCATGGATTTTTGGTGGCTCCTTTCTGTTTTCTACATTTTTCCCCACAGTTTCTCTTTTACGTGTACACAGTGTGTCCAGGACCACCCATTAGATACCTAAATCCAGTGTGTACTGAAATTCAGATGTCTGGAAGTTCAAGATCATGTCCTTAATCCAGCTGTTGCTTTTCTTTAAAAAGCATTTAGCCTACACGTACATTTTTGTTTGCTTTTTTGAAATACACACATATATTTAAATTATTTTAACAGCTAAATAAAACTTACCTTTTTTTCTTTTTTTTGACTCAGGATTCTCTTTATCTAGGACCTGAGAACCACCACTTTGTTTTTGCTTTTGATTTGGCAAAGTTTTTTTTTTTCCATTTTCAGTCTTTTAAAGTAGACACAGATTTGTTTAGAATGATAAAGCTCACTTTAAGATCACACAAAAGTTGAGCACAAAGGATAGGATTCAATTCAGCAATACAGAGTAATGAAGAGTAAAAGATACTAAGTTTCTCCAACAGAAAACTAATCATCCAAGGCGATTATATCAAAGGTGATAATATCTGGAGCCTAAAGTATTTAACACTGCAAAAGCTAGAACTGTTAGTGTATAAACTGAGCAATGGAATTTTTAGCTGTGCTTTGGTTTCTACTTATTACTTCAGAAAAATTAGCATAGTTTTGTTTAGTCTTTAGTAGACAACATGCATCCATGTAAATTAAACAGTATTTTCTACAATTGTGTGAATATAAGGCCACAATATTTATTTTGAATAAACTTCTTAAATAGTAATTTTAATATTAATGTTATTAATTTGTTTGAAATATAAAGTATTATAACTTTAAGTTTATATAACTTTATTATAAGTATTAATTTGTTTGAATTAAGTTTATATAACTTTAATATAAGTATAATTTGTTTGAAATATAAAGTATTATAACTTTAAGTTTATATAACTTTATTATAAGTATTAATTTGTTTGAATTAAGTTTATATAACTTTAATATAAGCATTAATTTGTTTGAAATATAAAGTATTATAAAATATTGTAATTAAGCTTACAGATAATTTTTAAAATATATACATTATGACTAATATACCAAAATTATTTATATGTACACATTTATATTTAATACCCAAAGAAAATTTACTACCACATTGCTACAGTAGATATTAACCTGACATGTTTATTAATTGATCCTATAGGTATAATTATAGGTCAGCATAATTTTACAGTCTATTCTTTTATTTTACTAAATTAGGAATGCCACTATTCCCGGACAAATAAATGCAGGTGATGTGGCCACCCAAGAATCATAGTAGCTCTTCAGTTAGCTATCTTGCAATCTCTGATATAATTCTACTATGTGAATAGAGTGAATTCCAATTCTTCATCAAAAAGTGCTGGTGGAGGTTGTCAGGTGTGTTCCAGTATAGATTCCCAATCCAACGGCCGGCAGATGGGAGAGCAGCAGAGATGGAAATTCTGCTCAGAATAAGCCCTCTTTCTCATAATACTTGTATTTCTCATGCTGAGAGTAGCTGTGCACTTTTGGTGTTTAGAGAAGAACTTCTTTGGAAGAATATTTTCTGGTCAATTTGACCAATGTTACATGTAATCTGAATTTGTCTTTAAGATTCTTTCAACCTCTTTTCTTCTCTCAATACGGTTTTACTCAGACTGAGAGCTGTCTTTCTCTTCAATGCTTTGGGAATTCAGTGCTTTGTGTCTAAGCCCTATTAATATCACATGGTGTCTGTGAGTGAGGGGGGCTGTCACCGTGAGAACTCCTGGAGCTGCTCTATCTAGATCCATGCTATGTATCCAGCAATATTCTTTTTGTGTCAGTATTATAAATAGAAACTGAGGCTGAAACATTGCTCCCGTTTCCCTTATTGCAAAAGTGCAATTCTACCCAAGAGCCCTGCAGGCTCTCCTCCTGCAGCTCAGGGACCCCGCTCTGTAATGTAAAATGTGGGGACCCCACTCTCTAATGTAAAATGTGAGCTGCCAGCTGTGGGCTGTGCCTCAGTGGTAGATGGCAGGGTTTGGGAGAGGACACAGGCCACCAGGAGAGGGCAAGCAGAATTGCTGCAGCCCAGGGCTTAGTGAGTAGGGATCCATTGCTTTGAAATATAAATAGCCGGCCGGGCGCGGTGGCTCATGCCTGTAATCCCAGCACTTTGGGAGGCCAAGGCGGGCAGATCACAAGGTCAGGAGATCGAGACCATCCTGGCTAACACAGTGAAATCCCGTCTCTACTAAAAATACAAAAAAATTAGCCAGGTGTGGTGGCGGGCACCTGTAGTCCCAGCTACTGGGGAGGCTGAGTCAGGAGAATGGCGTGAACCCGGGAGGCAGAGCTTGCAGTAAGCCAAGATCGCACCACTGCACTCCAGCCTGGGCGACAGAGCAAGACTCTGTCTCAAAAAAAGAAAAAAAAAGAAATATAAATAGCCAAGATGATAGTACCCTATCTCACTCTTTCTGTACGAGATGGAGGGTGACTTAGAGCCACTTAGAGCCACTTACAGCTGAAGGTAAGGTAGGCTTACCTGCAACAGGCACCTGGCTCTAAGTTGCAAAACTGCCTCCTATCATGATGTTGGAAGTTTATTTTTTCTTTGCATATAACCAACCAGCATACACAGAAGGCCTCCCCAATTACCAGGTGAGTTTAAGATGAACTATGTATAACAAATGGTTTGTACAGAAGGGAGGCAGGAGAATGGGGTATGGAGGCAGAGAACTTAAGGCCAATTTGTGCTGACTTCCTAAAAGAAAAAACACCAAGGTCTGGAGGCAGGAAACCTAAGGCCAATTAAGGCAAACTTCCAACAGCTAAACCAAAAGAAAAAGTCCCATCTCCCCACACCTGAATAGCAAAGGATCAAAGGCTACTGTCCCTACAACCCTCCCCTTTCTACCACTTCTCAGGTAGAAAGGGAAAGTGCCTTGGAGTGGCTGCAGGCCAAGCACCTGCATTCCTTCATCCGCATAGCGTGCCAATTCTCCTAAGCCTTTAATTAGCCACAGACCAAATCCTTAATCCATATCAGTGGTAGCTGATAGGGACCTCAAAAGGAGTACTAAAAACCCAGAAAACTTCGTAACTGGGTCCTTGAGCCACTTGCTCAAGCCCATACCCACCCTATTTCTTACCTTAATAAATTTCCGCTTTTGATGCTTCCTCCCTCTGTTTTGTTCCTTTGTTACTTTGTGCATTTTGTTCAATTCTTTGTTGCCAAGGACCTGGACAACTCACACTCACGGCCTTCGTTCTGGGAACAGAAGTGCAGTTAGATGTGGATGCATGTGATTGGTGCTTAAACTCACAGTGCCCCACACCAAAGGAGAAAAACACATAGTTACAGCCTGTGTGTCCAAATTAGGTCCAGATTAGGTCCAAGGACAAATAGCAAAACAAGAAGATTGCCTTTAATCTTTTCCCTCCACTTCTAAACTCTGGAGGACAAGGCTGTGAAGAGATCTGAAGACATGGTGTTCTCTGCTTGTGTGGCCCCAACATTCTTTGTTTGCTGTCTGATATTTGAAAGGAAGAGGAACCTTTGATAGAGGAGGCAGTCGGACGCTGGTTAGGCAGATAGAGAGAGGGCCTGGGGAGAGGAAAAACACGTGTGGGACCGCACCTGCACCACCTCTGTAGCTAGCAGGAAGAAATGTGGTTAAGAACTTCCTCTTATGCCAGGATGTTGCTCCAAAGGGACTGTCCCAACTTAGCACAGGCGCAATAAATCAACCCAAATGTCCTTAACTTGACCCAGCTCATTATAAGGTCATTAACATGACATTAGCATTGTGGTTTTGGCTCTCCTCGTGTAAGTTTCGCTTAGGCACTCATGGGTAATAACCAAAATGGAGTCACTGTGGCCAATCCCAGGCATGCGCAGATGCAACACCCTTAGTGAGGAACTTTACCCCTCCCATTTGGGCAGAACCCACAGAAGACATACTTGTTCTTGCCACATAAAAGACCCAGACCTCAGCCTCATTTCTGGCAACCTGCTTTCAGGTCCCCTCTTGCTTCTGAGAGCTTTCCTTTTGCTTAATAAATCCTACTCTGCCTTGCTCACTCTCTGGTATCCGTGTGCTTCATTCTTTTTGGTCGTGGCACAAGAGTCCCGACCTGGCTGAACCGAGGAGACCACCACACCTCCACCAAACAGCAACTGGGAAACCGTGGTCTTCACGTGGATACTCTCAGCTTGCAGCCCCTGCTCTCTCTAGGGGCACTGTCCCACCCACCCTTGAGCCTGAGGAGAAAAGTTGGTAGAGAGGCTGGTCCCTTACTTCCAGCAGAAAAGAGGTGTTCAGGCCCTCACTTCCCTAAGGGAAGAGAGCCCTCATGGCTGCGCTCAATGTGGCAGCCACCTGCCATATGTAGCTACTGGGTACCTGGAATGTGACTGGTTTGAAGTAAAATGTGCTGCAAACATAAAATACACAGTGAGTTTAGAAGAATTAGATCAGAAATACATAAAATACACAGTGAGTTTAGAAGAATTAGATCAGAAATATACTTTATTTCTAATTATATATCAATCACATATTAAAACAATATTTTGATACAATGAGTTAAAAATTATTACAAACAACTTCACTCTTTAAATATTATTTTTGACGTGGCTAATAAAAACGCAAAATTCACAAATTAATATTTTATTTTTTAAAGGATTGCTTCCCTCTTAAAATCTCAGGTGTCCTACTCAAAAGACTAGCGGCCAGAAGGGTTATGAAATCTAAAATATTAAAATAATTGTCATTATATCACTTCCGTTTGTGAAAAAGTGTGTGTGCATGCATGTGTGCATGCGTGTGTGTGCGCGCGTGTGTGTGCGCGCGTGTGTGCACGTCTGTGTGTAAGTGTATTTTACAAGTGGACATAACCTTACACACAACAAGGTTAAAAAAAACACCCCTGGGCTGCGTCAGGCCAAGCCGGGAGAGAAAGCCCCGCCTGAAAGGGCCTGGAGGCCCCAGCCTGTCACTCTTGCCACATCAGTGGAGTGTATGGTTGCAAATTCTGTTACTCAAGGCCCGAGGGCGGGGATTGGAGTAATATCCAATCAGAGTGTCGGAATGAGAACTGCCCAATCAGGCCCGCAGCCAGAGAGGAGGGGTTGGCTTCCGGGATCTGGCGCGGCGTTTTCCTCTGGCTCCTGCGAGGGCTTGGTTTAGGGCTTCAGCTCTCTGCGTTCTCGGCTCCGGGAGGCCTCGGTGATTCAGCCACAGCCTCTGCCTCCCGTTGCTCTGTGACCTGAGGGTATTGGACAATTTGTAGCTAAGACTCCCGGATACCCTGAAGTCGGGAAATGGTGAGTGTGCGGGGCAGGGCGTCCGGAGGCTGGGGAGGCCTCATCGGAACCGGCGGGAAATGGCGGCGGCGGGACCGAGTCTGCGAACGGAGTCCCCGCTGCCGCCTCTCAGCCCTCAGTCCCCTCCGGTGACGGACCGGGCTCCTGTCGGTCCCCGCACGGCGGCTCTGGCCCAGCCTGCGGCCCTCCTTGTGCAGTTCTGCGCCCGCAGCCCCGCACCTTCCCTGGGCCGCGGGGTGAGGAGGAGCTCATCTGGAAGACGCCGGCGCCCGCGTGCGAGGTGCCCGCCTGGGAGGAGCTGTGGTCCGGGGGTCCGGTCCCTACTTTACCCTGTTCGGAATGAGATCGAGGCCCCATCGAAACAAAGTTCATGTGAGCAAACGGGGTCTCATTAATGGGACAGCGTCGGCCGCGGCTCCTGGTTTGGGGACTGCCAGCGGGTCTTGAAGGAAAGGCTTTTGTGAGGTGTGTGAGCAAGCGAAGCAAATCACCCGCCCGCTCCAACTATTCCACCAGTCCCTTTGCCCTGTGCACCTCCTCCGCGTGGCTGTTCCTGAGTAACATCTTTTAGAATACGCTGGTGTCGGTGCGCACGGCGCTTCTCAGTTCTGTGAGTAGTTCTGCCACATTGCTGAACTTGAGGGTGTGGGCGCCCCTGGTTTGTAGACAGGCGTTCAGAAATGAAGACGGGTGTCCAGAGGCAGGGACTGGCGTCTGCAGCGGGAGCAGTTGTGGGAAGAGCGCTGAGCTTGTGGGGTCTGCGCTGACTCTGGGTGGTGTCGTTAGTGAGTTGCTGGACACCGCGTTGGGGTTGGAGCATTGACTGGTGTTGAGGAAACTCCGCACGTTTTCTGTCAGAAGAAAGACATGGCTGAGCCTGGGCTGGAGAAAGATGCCTGGTGTCTGCGGGAGGCGCGGCCGGGTTCTGCATATGTGCTGTCCCGCTGGGCACTGTCCTTTTCCTCCAGGTCTCCTTCCGGGGAGAGAGGGGACCCAGAACAAAGAGGAAAGGAGTTCTGAGAAACATCCCTTCCCTGCACCCTGCTGCCAGCCCCCACCCAATGCTAGTCCACTCCTGAGCACGCCCACCGGGCATTCGCATTGCCCCACTCTTCCCAGTACAGGATTCCACCTCAGGAATTGTGCCCATGGCAGCTTTGCGCCTAGCGTTTTCTGCCAAAAACACACGCAGTGCCCAGAAGTCTCCTGGCTCATCTCAACCGCAGACCGGATCTACAGCAGGAACCTGCTTCCTTCACCCACCCAGGCTTCCGGACCACCTGATCCTAATCCCTTCTGTCTTTGTAGACATGGAATCAGAGCGTAGCCCTGCCTCGGCCTGTACCTGTGGCACAAACCAGTGCTTTAGTCAGTCCTGCCCTGCTCCCACTCATGGCTTTTTTTTTTTGAGATGGCGTCTTGCTCTGTTGCCCAGGCTGGAGTGCAGTGGCGTGATCTCGGCTTACTGCAAGCTCCGCCTCCCAGGTTCACGCCATTCTCCTAACTCAGTCTCCCGAGTAGCTGGGATTACAGGCGCCCGCCACCATGCCTGGCTAATTTTTTTTTTTTTGTATTTTTAGTAGAGACGGGGTTTCACCGTGTTAGCCAGGATGGTCTGGATCTCCTGACCTTGAGCCCTCCCGCCTCGGCCTGCCAAAGTGCTGGGATTACAGGCGTGAGCCACCGCGCCCGGCCTCCCACCCATGGCTGTTGATAGCTCCTTTCTCTTCTGCTTTTTCCTTCCCCACAAATTCTCTTTTCTGTGTACACGGTGTGCCCAAGTCCATCCCTCAGGTGCCTATGAGAATTCAGACGTTAGTGAGTTCGAAACCAGGCCTTTTGGCCTGGCTGTTGTAGGAGCAAACACAAATTAGAAGAGGCTTAATGCTTTCTCTTTAGAACGAGGGAAGAATTTTTGCTCTTCTCCTTTTTCTTAAAGCATTTAGTTTGAGAACTTTTATATTTAAATATTTTCTCTGCTTCTTTGAAATATATGTAAATCATTTTTATCAGTTAAATAGGTCATTTGTCTTTTTTGGCTCAAAATTGTCTTCATCTGGGACCTGGGAACTATTGCTTTGAAATGTAAATAGCAAGAATATACACCCTATTTCACAGTTTCTGTAGGGGACTAGGAGGCTGCCTTCAGCAGGTACCTAGCTCCACATTGCAAATCTACATCCTGTCACGAAGATGTGGATGTTTATTTTTTCTTTAATGATTAGAAAAAATTAGAAAACCCAGATGACCTCTCAAATTACATGATGAAATTATAATAAATTGTGTATGACAAATGGTGCTTTCAAGGCTTCTACTTGAGAACTAATTATGGTGACTTTCTGTGTTTGCATTTTCTTAGATTGCTTGTGATGCACATCATATTTTGGTTTAATTATACAACAAAACATTTTCTTGCAGTTCTGTTACTGTGGAGACTTTTTTAGGATTGCAGATGATTTTGCTTTTAGTTATATTTTCCACACACTGTCCAGAATTACCAGATGTTATACACAAAATGTCGAGCAGACTTCACTTGAGAAAACATTCTTTCTCAGGATTCCAGTCACAACCTGCAATTGTGCGGCAAAGTGCAGCAAAGTATTTCCTAAATCTGCAAACAGAATGGTCTCTCTCTTGGCATCTACAGTCCTTTCTAGAGCAGTTAAATTTCTACAAAAATAACTTTTCAGGACAGCAGTCAGTTATTTCACCGCCTTCAGTGCTCCTGGCATCTTCCGTTCTGACACTGATTTCAGAGATATGGGGCCCATAAACCTAACCAGATTCACACATACGCATCGATTAAACCTGAGAAATTCTGCTCCCTCCCACCTCCCCTTGCCCACATGCCCACAAACATTTGGCATGGGCCACATTGTGGCCCACAAACATAGCTCACCAGCCCTCCAAGACCTAAATGTGCAGTTCCAAATTCTGAATTTATGTCCTGAGATTTGATAAAAGAACTTTTATTTGAGAAATACAAGTTTTTAGATTTATCAGACCCAGAGATGTGTTAAAATGAGACCACACTCACATACTGTTCTCCTCCTTGAACTATTTGTCTTTTGAAATTGCTTGCTATTGCCACAAGTGGCTGTAAATTAACCTAATAATGCCACACTGGACACTATGACCCATACCCTATAGCTTAACTATGTATATGGCCAATCACTAACCAATGTTACTTCTATAAACCAATAAGAATTTCTGACACCTTTCTATCAATCTCCTCTCTGACTTCCTTTTTGCCTGTAAAAATATGCTTGTAACTGCTTCTAATTGGAGTGTATATTCAGGGCAACTTTATACTCCAGGATTGCAGTCTTCAAGCTTTGGCTCAAATAAACTCTCTACTTATGTTTACCCCAGCTTTTTCCCTTTAGCTCAAAATATTCTTTAGAATATGTTGAAGGAGGCTTCATGAGAAGGTCTTTCCTCTGATTTTACTCTGTTTCCTGTAACTCAAGAATGCAGCACACATTGATCTCACCTAGAATCTGCACATAAAAGCTGGCTTCTGCCCAGGATTCACAAGACAGGGCCAGACTTTGGGTTGAAGAGATACAGAAAAGTCACAGAAGGTGTTTTCTGCATCATGAGAGGTCAGCATAGACATAAGCCCCACTTTCAGAGTGGAGCCCTTTGAGTTTTCCAGATCTTGTCCAGTGACCTGCTACAGCTGAGTAAGAGGCTTCTGGTGTGAACACAATACTGTGGCAGAATCTGTAAGTGTAAACAAGCACCTTAGCAGTGGGAAGTCAAGGCCACTAAATATCCAGAGCCATAATGCCAACTATGCCTCCCTGTGTTACTGGAGTAGAGTACTTTTTTCCTTCGCCTACCTCAGAGTTAGCTGATCAGGGACAGGGGATATCACATCCAGATCCAGGATCTGCAGCTCCATCAGGGCAGTTCCATTTTCTGTTTGCACCCCAGAAAGTCAGCCTGAGTCTCCTGCCTGGATCACTATGGGGGCATCAGCCCAGGGTCACTGGGGACACTCTCAGCAGCATCAGTGAGTATTTGAGACATTTGAGGATGTCCTGTGCAGACTGGGTCAGTGTTTCATATGGACATTAGAAAAAGAGATGAAATAGTCGTGGTCCCTACCATCAAGGAACTTGCATTCTAGAGCACATTAATAAATGATGGAATTCAGCGTCATGTATTCAGTACAAAGATGAAAACTGTACAGGAGACTTAAGCTTCGTTTGGGTTACTTCCCTTTTATTGTTTTGTGAGTTTTGATACCACCACCTGCATGGCTGTTTATGGACAGAAGAGAAGTCATTATTTGTATTGTTTTTGCCTTGCTAAGAATAAATATTTAACTTCAAATATAATTGGTCTGGAAAAACAAAAGGGTTTTGGTTAAATTCCTTGTTATTGTATGTTATAGATGGGGAAGTGGCAAAATAGATAAAAATTACACAAACTCTGGGAATCAAATTTCTTTTGGGCAGGCTTAGAAAAGACAAAACTGAAACTACTTAGTGGCCTAGAGAGCAGAAGCCTAGGGCCCATTTTCTGTCCCAACTTTGCCCAGATCCCCCCTCTACTGAACCTTGTCCAGGTCTGACCCCACACTGAAATACCTCACAGAACTGCTTAGAGAAGATCAGAGTTTGGAGTAGCTATTCCTACTGCCTCTCCAGAGCTGGTGCTCCCAATTTCCTGAAACACAAAAGCTGATAAATGGAGAAAGGCAATGTACTTTGAATTTAATGTACTTAAATTATTTTATGTAAAATTAAAACCAGTATTTCTAGAGACATCCCATCCAGCAACCTGTTCTCCATCTTTGCAGTTTCAGTGGATTTTTCACAAGTCTCAAAGTAACTATAAACACAAAAATAAAAAATTCCCGAATTGTACTTAAAACTTTCTTCTGTGTCTCTCCCATTTATCTACATTGAGCTATTATTCTATATATTTTTTAAAAATCAATGATAGGAAAACAGAAGAAAAAATAGAAATGCTGGGCCCTGCATTTAAATCCTGGGAAGTATCACACACTTTGTACCCACCTCCCAGGATGCTGTGAGAATTAACACACATAATGTGAGCTTCCCAGCACAGTGCTCTGTGACATACTCCTGAGCACATAGTACATGCTCCACAAATATCGCATTAATGCATGTGGATGTGCTGTTTTTCAAATGCAGACTTACTCAGACATTGCCACCATCTCCAGCCTCTGTAACCTTTAAAGGGCTTGCAGATAATGCCACGTTTCAGGATGTTGATTGCTGGTCTTGTCTTCGGATGAAAAGTATTTGTGTTGTGATAAGGGTGTTGGGGTAAGGGACTCTGCGTGCTGTGTCTGCTTTCTCTAGCTGAGTGGTACTATAACGGGTCTAGGAGGAGCATGAGCATTAATGGGAGACTTGGCTATAAAAAGCTGATTAATGGACCCTTTTCAAACCTGCAGAATTTTGTTACTTACAGTGAGGCCTAGAATACCAAATTTATGTGCACATTGAAGCTTGAGAGGCAATGTTTAGCTAAGTGACTCTCAGCCCAGTCTTCCAGTAGGATCACATGGCAGTTTGAAGAGAAACAGTCACCTGTTCCCTCCCCACAGATCCTGTTAAGTTTCTTGTGTGACATTACAGTGAGGCCAGGGTCAAGCATGAGGGCTTCCAGTTACTTTAATGAGACGTGAGTTCACCCTTTGTTCAAGGAGGTCACAGGACCTGCTTTGCTTGGTTTTGGTAGGGACAGATCAGTGTAGCCCATATTTCCATTGCAGCAACAAAAATTGCTGGCATGCCCTCCTTTTTCTTCAGAATTATACAATACTTTAGATAACATTACTGTGTTAAAAGTTATTTTATCAGATAATTCCAGTCAGCCCCATAAGTCACAACTAGTTCTCTGATTTCACTTATAGTCAAATTAAGAACTCTGTCACATGATAAATATGTGTTTTCAGGAACTCGTAACATTCAGGGATGTGGCCATAGAATTCTCCCCTGAAGAGTGGAAATGTCTGGACCCTGCCCAGCAGAATTTGTATAGAGATGTGATGTTGGAGAACTACAGGAACCTGGTCTCCCTGGGTGAGGATAACTTCAATACATAATTCCTAATACTTCCTCAGAGTTTCATTTTCTTTCTTTGCAGAATGTCTCTTGGGTGCTTCTGCTTTGCATTAATTAATTTCAGTGCCTTTCTACAAGAAAAAAATTGGGATTTGCTGGTGTAAAAAGAAAATCTTTAGGATGTTTCATCATTGCATAAACCATCTCTTTTCTTGAGCTAATTTGTGTCCTTCACTCTAGGATAGTAGTAATTCTAGAAATTCAGTGATGTAAAATATTGTTTTCCACATCTAAAATCTAATTTGCACCACTTATTTTTGATTCAGTAGTACTGGGTAGTGGAACTTAGAACCCACAGATTTAAAATATTTCAGTATTCTAAAGATTCTGTCAGGAAACAATTTTTGGATTAATTTTCTGGAGTCTTCCATAATTTCTTTATTCTACTTAGCATAGTAATAGATTGGTCATTGGAGTATCCCCAGCAATAGTCATGTTAATTTTTTTTTAATAAAACAGGTTTTGTGATCTCTAACCCAGACCTGGTCACCTGTCTGGAGCAAATAAAAGAGCCCTGCAATTTGAAGATACATGAGACAGCAGCCAAACCCCCAGGTAGGTGAGACTGAATGAAGGAGAGGACACAGGCTAGGAGGCCAGAGGTCAGGAAGGAAGCCAGGCCTTCAAATGTAGTCTGGGAAACTGCGCCAATAAAAATAATTTCCGAAAAGGCTGCATTTTTTCTCTTATTCACAAATAGGGTCATCTTCTGTCCCATGCTCTTAAATCTTCTAAGAATTTCCTTTTTTTCTTCAGTGATCTCCAAGTTTACAAGGAGAGCCAATGTCCACTTTATCGCTTATAATGGGCTGCATAATCTGACTGCTGTTCCATTGCTTTTAGAGACATAGGAGTATTTGTATTATTGAGGACCTCTATGTTAAAGTATTTTTTCAAATATTATTTTCGCATCATGCCTAAAATACGTAAGGTGAGTAGTGGACATAATGGGATTTGGTTTAGAAATCTTAGGAACACCGAGGACAGATGTTGCATCTTTTCTGCTTAGTGATTTTTTTTTTTAATTATACTTTAAGTTTTAGGGTACATGTGCACAATGTGCAGGTTAGTGACATACGTATACATGTGCCATGCTGGTGTGCATCACCCTGCTTAGTGATTTTTAATCCTGTAGAGGTTGCAAATGTAATTCTACAAAAACTCTTACTCAGCAATTTTATCAGAACAATAAGCGTTTTTCCAAATATGAAAAAATATGTTATTTTACTTCAAAATGTTATTTTGTATAAACTGAAATTTGTAATTTGAACTCTATATATATTCAAATTTTCAAATTACAATATAGTTTACAGCACAGGTTTTCAAACTCTTGGCTTCCCTGGGCCACATTGGAAGAAGATTTGTCTTGGGACACACTTAAAATTATAAAATACACAAACAGTAATGATAGCCGATGAGCTAAGAAACAAGAAATAGGTTTGTGAATAATTTTTTTGATACCCATCACCACAGATAAGCAAAAACGTCCTCACACTCAAAGGATTGGATACCACTGGTTTAAAGTATCTACTCACCTTCTAGATTTCTTTCTTTTTTTCTTTTTTTTTTTTTTGAGACGGAGTCTTGCTCTGTCACCAAGGCTGGAGTGCAGTGGCGTGACCTCGGCTCACTGCAACCTCTGCTGCCCTGCAGCCTCCACCTCCCGGGTTCAAATGGTTCTTCTGCCTCAGCCTCCTGAGTAGCTGGGATTACAGGTGCCCGCCACGGGGTTTCACCATGTCGGCCAGGCAGGTTTTGAACTCCTGACCTCAAGTGATCCGCCCACCTCTGCCTTCCAAAGTGCTAGAATTACAGGCCTGAGCCACCGTGCCTGGCCCGCCTTCTAGATTTCTTAAATGCACTATGTCATTAACCGGCTTAGAACATTCCTAAGTGTATATTAAGCTCTCAATTGTTACCTTATTTCTTGATAAACTATTATCTTATAATTTTGTCTTATTTAGTAGGAAGCCTCCTGGGATTCTGTCATTGAGCTATAATCCATCTATATGTAGAACTGTGTGTCACACACACATACACATACCTATATGAGTCATATATGTGTATAGGAAATTCTCGCTTAACATCATTGATAGGTTCTTGGAAACTGTAAGTAAAGCAACATATTGTTTAAGAAAACTAATTTTACCAGAGTTTAATAAATAAAAACAAGTTATGTTTGAATGGCATGTAACAACATTGTTTCATTTAAAGATGCAGTTTTCAAGAATCTATTTTGAACATTAAATGAGGACTTAACATACATCTGTGTTTGTGTGATACGGATTTTTCTGATAAAATTATATAACTATATTTAATTTGTACAATGTAATGATTTGATATGCATATACATTTTGAAACAAAATGTCAAGTTGATGAACACATTTATTACCTCACATAGATAACCATTTTTTTTTTTGTCACAAGAACACTTGAGGTCTACTGTTGTAGCAAATTGTAAGCATACTTTACAGTATTACTATAAAGACAATGCTATTTTGCTAATCTAATGCTAATGTACATTAGCTTTCTCAGACTTACTCAACTTACAACTAATCATTTGTACTCTTTGAACAGCATCTCCTCATATTCCCACCCTCAGGCACTAACAACCACCATTCTACTCTCTGTTCCTATGAGTTTACATTTTTAGATTCCTCATCTAACTGAGAACATGCAGTTTCTTTGTGTTTGGCTTATTTCACTTAGCGTAATGTCTTCAAGGTCTATCAATGCTGTAAATGGCTAGATTTCCTTCTCTTTTATGGCTGAATAGTATTCTACTGTGTGTGTATATATATAAATTTTTTTGGCTATTTTAAGCAAAACTAAAATGAACATGGGGCTGAAGATTGTTCTTTGAGGTACTAATTTTATTTCCTTTGGTAGTATTCCCAGAGGTGGTATTGCTGAATTATGTGATGCTTTCATTTTTATTTTTTACTGATTTGTATGATGACTTTATCAATTTATATCTCACTAGTGGCATACAGGATTTCCCTTGTATGTATGTCTTCTTTGTGGGAAAAACAAAACTAACCTTTTGCCTATTTTTGAATAGGTTATCATCATTATTGTTTTGCTTTGAATTGCAGAAGTTTCTTACACATTTTGGATATTAACTATCAGATATATGGCTTGCAAATATTTTTCTATTGTGTAGGATTTTTTAAAATTTTGGTTTTTTCCTTTACTGTACAGAAGCTGTACACTTTGATGCAGTCCCACTCTTTTGTATTTTCTTCTGTTGCTGTGCTTTTGATGACATACCAAATTGCCAAGACCAATATCAACAAGGTTTTTCCATATGTTTTATTCAGGAGTTTTAAGCTTTTATGTCTTACATTTAAGTCTTTTATTTTGAGTTAATTTTGGGGTATGGTATAAGAAAATTTTATTTATGGTATAGTCTAATTTTATTCTTTTGCTTGTGGATATCCAGTTTTTCTGGTACCATGTATTGACAAGACTATACTTTCTGCATTGTATATTATTGGTGGCCTTGTCAAAGATTAGTTGACCTTGTATGCATGGATATGTTTCTGGGCTCCCTATTCTGTTGCATTGGTTTTTGTATCTGTTTTTATGAATATACTATACTCTTTTGATTACCATGACCTTTAAGTAAAGTTTGAAATTAGAAAGTATGATGTCCCCAGCTTTGTTCTTTCTCAAGATTGCTCAGGTTATTTTAAGTTATTTAAGATAACACTTAAATTTTACAATTGTGTTTTCTATTACTGTGAAAAATGCCACTCAAATTTTGATAGGGATGACATTGAATCTCCATATCACTTTGGATAATATTCCTTGACAATATTAGTTATCCTAATGGAATATGTTTTCATTTATTTTTACCTACTTCAATTTCTGTCATCAATATCTTAACTGTGTTAGTGTATACATTTTTATCTCATCCTTTACATTTTAAAATTTATTTTATTTATGTACTTATTTTATGAGACAGAGTCTCACTCTGTTCCCTAGGCTGAAGTACAGTGGCACAATCTCAGCTCACTGCAACCCCCGCCTCTCAGGTTCAAGCGATTCTCCTGCCTCAGCCTCCCGAGTAGCTGGGATTACAGGCGCGCACCACCATGCCTGGCTAATTTTTTTGTATTTTTAGTGGAGATGGGGTTTTGTGACCCAGCAGCACCCTTGTGACCCAGCTATGACCTTTCTTCTCAGCAACCCCAGAGGTAATCTTATCAGCCTGGGGACCCAATAAAAGGAGATCTTTACTTGCCAAAGATAGTTTTTTTTAGTGGAGATGGGGTTTTGCCATAGTTTATAGAAACTGTTAAGAGTTGTTAGATCCTTCAAATATACAGACATGGGGCTGTTTCAGGGACCAAAGCTGAGGCCAAGATCCACAAGCATGCCTCCAGGGCCACAGCTTCTACCTTAACATATTACTGAAAGTTTGTATCAGAACAATTAGACAAGGAAAATAACAAAGCTTTCCAGCTTGGAATAAAAGTAAAAATGTTACTGTTTGTAGATAATATAATTATGCGTATATACAAAACCCTAGAGTGAAACAACAAAAACTGAACTAATAAATGCATTCATTAAGGTATCAGGATACATGACCAACATAAAAATACTTGTGGGGTTTTTTTGTTTGTTTGAGATAGGGTCTCACTCTGTTGCCCAGGCTCATCTCAAACTCCTGTGCTCAAGTGATCCACCTTCCTTGGCCTCTAGCCTCTGAAAGTGTGCAGGGACTACAGAAATGAGGCACTGCACCTGACCCTACATACAAATATTTGTTGCATTTCCATATAGTAACAACAAACTTTCCAAAAAAGAGAGAAAGTTTCCAATTGCAATAGTATAAAAATAAGGAACTTAATCAAAATAAATGTAAAGTGACCGAGCATAGTGACTCACACCTGTAATGCCAGCACATTGGGATGCCAAGGTGGGGAGATCACTTGAGGCCAGGAGTTCCAGACTAGCCTGGCCATTGTGTCACAAGGGTGCTGCTAGGTCTGTTGTTTAAATGGCATATAGCAGCATTGTTTCATTTAAAGATGCAGTTTTCAAGAACCTATTTTGAACATTAAGTGAGAACTTACCATACATCTGTGTTTGAGTGATATGGGGTCTGCCTTTGATGGTTGTATTACCAGAGATTTGGACAGTCATGGATTCTTTCTGGGCCATGGAAAGATTAAATATCCTTGAGGACATTAATCTATATGGCAGGCAGTAGGGTAGGGTTTTACAGTTTGTCTGCATATGATGGCCCAAATACCATGTGTATGAATGGGATTGGCTTCTACTAACTACCTGGGAACAGGTTTCACAAGTCTCCATGTGGGTCCCTGAGTGTGTACAACTGGCCATGGACTGTGGCTGTGAGAGCTAGAACTGAGTCACAGGGCTGCTTCAAGGAGCACAGTTGAGGCCAAGATCTGCAGGCCTGCCTCCAGGGCCATGGCTGGGTGTGTTTCCCTGCAGGTCACTTGATGGGAAGGACCACTTTTGGACTATAGCTGAAGGAGTTTGAGAGAGGTTGCAGAACTGCTTTGTAATCTTCAGTAAGACCAAGCTCGGTGCCCCATTTCCTTGTCTGTAGCCATGTCTGTGGGCCCTTGAGTTGGCCACCTGGGTGAGGGCCTGCTTTTCCCAAATAACCCTTTTTGATCTTTGGCACCACTGAGGTTTCACAACCCTAACCATAGGCAAGCACCTTTCTACTTCCGTTTTCCAGGAGTTTACTATTTAAAATATCTTATATACGTGGAATCATACACTGTCACTTTGTTGGTGTCTTATCTCACTTAAAATAATGGCTTTAAGATTTATCCTTATTGTAGCATCTGACAAGATATTTTCATTTGATGCTAAAGAATATTTCATTGTATGTATAAGCCACATCTTTTTAAATCATTCATCTATTGAAGGGTGTTTGAGTTTTTTCACTTTTTGGCTTTTGTAAGTGATATAGTTTGGATCTGGGTCCCCATTCAAATCTCATGTCAAGTTGCAGTCCCTAGTGTTGGAGGTGGGCCTGGTGGGAGGTGATGGGATCGTAGGGTTGGCTTCTCACGAATGGTTTAGCAGCAGCCCCTTTGGTACTGTCTTTGCCATAGTGAGTGACTTCTTCTGAGATCTCATTTTTCAAAAGCATGTGGCACCTTCCCTCTCGTGCTCTCTTGTTCCTGCTCCCACCATGTGAGATGACTCTCTGTCCCTTTTCTTTCTGCCATGACTGGAAGCTTTTCAAGGCCTCCCCTAAAGCAGAAGCTGCTATGCTTGCCGTACAGCCTGCAGAACCATAAGCCAATTAAACCTCTTTTTAAAATAAATTACCAAGTCTCAGGAATTTTCTTATAGCACTGCAAGAATAAACTAATACAGTGAATATGGATGTGCAAATACTTCTTTCAGGTATACATTGCATACTTTAAATAGATGCTCAGAAGTGGAATTACTGGGTCATACAGTAACTTTATTTTTAATTTTTGGAGGAACCTCCATACATTTTTCAGGTGGCTGCATCACGTTTTTCCCACCAACAGTGTACAAGGGTTTCAATTTCTCTACATTGTTGACAATATATATTATTTTTTGTTTGCTTGATATTGGCCATCTTAATACACAGTAATACCTCATTGTGGTTTTTCTTTACATTTTTCTAAAGATTAGAATTTTTTTTCAATAATTGTGTATTTCATCTTTGGAGAAACATTTTCATCTCTTGTCTATTAGTCATGTAACTTTTTGTTTTTTTTTTTGGAGTTGTTCTGGATGTTATCTTCTGTCAAATATATGTATATTTTGGCTTTTCTGCTGCTTAGGTGGGACTCTTACTAAAACTTTAATGTGGAGAGATAAATTTAATGTAGTCCTACTTTTCTGTGCTTTTGAATTTTTTGCTCATGTGTTTGATGTTACATGCAAGAAAACATTGCTGGGATCAATGTCATAATCTTCCTATATTTTCTTCTAAAGATTGTATAATTATAATTCTTACGTTTAAATATTTAACTCATTCAAGACAGTTTTTGTATATGGTTCAGGGGAAGGATCCAACCTCAGTTTTTTCATATGGATATACAGTTTTCCAACACCATCTATTGAAGAGACTGTCTTTCTCTTATTGTGTGGTTATAGCAACCTTGTTGAAGATCATTTGAACATATACACAGTGGTTTGTTTTTGAGTTCTGTGTTCTGTTCCATCATCTATTTGTCTTCTTGCAAGTACCACACTGTTTTTATTTAGCTTTGTTATCTGTTCTAAAAACAGGAAACGTTGTGCATGTAACTTTGTTCTTGTTTTCTAAGAATGTTTGGGCTATCAGTGGTCCTTTGAAATTCCATGTAAAAGTTAAGAATTGTAAAAAATACTTTTTCACAAAGTATTATTTTTATTTTCATTAGGCTTACGTTGAATTTGAATATCACTGTGTAGTATGGTCATTTAACAATATCAAATCAACTGACACAGATAAGAATATGTTCAAGAGTGTGTTGAGTTTCACAGGTTTTTGGATTTGGCAATTTTGCTTCTGCTTTTGATTTCCAGTTTTATTACAGGTGGTATGAAAGGATGTGTTGTATAATTCAGTGTTGTATGATGAGAACTACGCTCAATACTTTGATGACCAAATAATCTGTACAACAAACCTCCATGACAGAAGTTTGCCAGTATAAGAAACCTGCACATATACTCTGATCTTAAAGTTTAAAAAAAAAGGGTGGGGGGGTTGTTTTGCATTCTAACAGGTTGTCCATGAAACAACAGTTACTCATTTTCTTCTCCACTTAACCCCGACACAGTTTAGTCTTCTTTCTGTTTCTATGAGTTTAACTACTTTAGGTATCTTACATAAGTGGAATTATATCGTTTCTGTCCTTTTGTGCCTGGGCTTCTTCCACATAAATAAAGCCTTAAAAATGTATCCTTATTGTGGATTTAACAAAATTTTCTGCTTTTAAGAAGCTGAGTAATATTTAATTATTTATATATTTGAAATTGTCTTTATTCATTTATTTATTAAGAAAAGTTCTTTTCACTTACTTGCTTTTGTAGATAATGCTACCGTGAATATGGATGTGTAAATTACTCTTCATTTGATAATATATGCAAGGGACTATTTGTGTTCTTTATTCTGTTTCACTGGTATTTTAAAATTGAGTTATAAAGTATTTCAATTACTATAACTTTATAATAGGTGTTTAAAATCAGGAGGTATGGTGCTTATGATGTTGTTTCTCTTTTTGACAGTTGTTCAGCACTTCTGGTCTCTTCAGTTCTGATATGATTTTAGGATTGCTTCTTTTTTTTTTTTTGAGGCGGAGTGGAGTGCAGTGGCGCCATCTCGTTTCATTGCAAGTTCCGCCTCCCATGTTCACACCATTGTCCTGCCTCAGCCTCCCTAGTAGCTGGGACTACAGGTGCCCGCCACCACGCCCGGCTAATTTTTTGTATTTTAGTAGAGACGGGGTTTCACTGAGTTAGCCAGGATGGTCTCGATCTCCTGACCTCGTGATCCGCCCATTTCGGCCTCCCGAAGTGCTGGGATTACAGGTGTGAGCCACTGCACCACGTCAGGATTGCGTCTTATGTTAATGCGAAATATGCATAGCTGTCATCCGAAGTATACCACCATTCCCTTCAGCACTCTACGTCAGAGGAGGCACGTCAGGGGAGACAAAATTCCTCTTCGGACAGTCCCTCAAAAGACAGGAATGTGGACATATATTCCACATTTCTCTTTGTCTCCTGAGGAAGAAGCATAGAGTTGGGAGTTTCTCCTGGATTGCACCATGCTGTATTGGGAGGAGGTCAGGCTGCGCTGGGCATATCTAATAAGCTTTTTCTTCTCTTCTACATGTTTTTGGCATTGTGCTCAACTGAAGTAGTACAAATTCTTAACTATGTTCAGGAATTCTCACAAAGGCAATGTGATCAGCGTGGTGTTAAGTTCATATATCTATGAAGAAACGAGGACCAGTGGTGTTTGTTTTTACGCTTTTCATTTTAAATTTATATTTTATTTATTATTTTAATTTTTGTGAGTACGTAGTACCTATATGTATCTATGGATTATATCAGTGATTTTGATGAAGGCATGAAATGCACAAAAATAACATCATATAAATGGTTATTCATTGCCTCAACTATTTGTTCTTTATTTTACGAACAATCTAATAACATTCTTTTAGTTACTTAAAAATGTACAATTAAATTGCTTTTGACTATAGTCACTCTGTTGTACTAGCAACTACTAAATCTTACCCTAATTATTTTTGTATCCATTAACCTTCCCCACTTCCCCTGAACCCCTCACTATACTTTCCAGCCTCTGATAACAATCCTTCTGCTTTCTATCTCCATGAATTAAATCAATTTAGTTTTTAGCTCCAGCAAATGTGTGAGAACATGCAAAGTTTGCCATCATGTGCCTGGCTTATTTCTCTTAACATAATGACCTCTAGTTCTATCCATGTTGTTGCAAATGACAGGATCATATTCTTTTTTATGATTGAAAAGTACTCCGTTGTGTATTTGTACCACAGTTGCTTTATCCATTCATCTGTTGATAGACACTTAGATTGCTTCTAAATCTTGGCTAATGTGAACACTGCTGCAATAAAATGGAGGTGCAGATATCTCTTTGATGTCCTGATTTATGTACATACCTAGGAATGGGATTGTTGGATAATATAGTAGCTCTATTTTTCATTTTTTGAGGAACCTCTAAGCTGTGCTCCATAGTGGTTGGACTAATTTACATTCACACCAAGAGAATGCTAGAGTTTTTTTCCCCACATCCTTACTGGCGTTTGTTATTGACTGACTTTTGGATAAGAGCCATTGTAACTGGGGTGAGATAATATCTCACTGTTGTTTTGATTTGCATTTCTCTGATGATATTGATGTGGAGCACCTCGTCATATACCTTTTTGTTATTTGTATGCCCTTTTTTGAGAAATGTCTATAAACGTTCTTTGCACATTCATAATCAGATTATTTGATCTTATCCTATAGAGCTGTTTATGTGCCTTACGTATTCTGGTTGTTCCTTTTCTGATGGGCAGTTTGCACATGTTTTCTCTAATTTTGTGTGTTGTCTCTTCACTTTGTTGATTGTTTCATTTGCTGTTTAGAAGCTCTTTATGGTGATTCGTTTGCTGTTTAGAAGCTCTTTAACTTGATGTGATTCCATTTGTTCATCTTTGCTTTGGCTCCCTGTGCTTGTGGGGGTATTATTCAAGACATTTTTGCCCAGTTTAATTTCCTGAAGAGTTTCACCAATGTTTTCTTGCAGTAGTTTCATAGTTCGATGCGGGGGTCTGCCCACAGACCGTGACCCAAACGACAGATGAATAAAGTACACTGATACACAGATATTCTGTTTTGCCAGTCCAGCTGGATGTCCGGGCCACTTACAGACTCCCCAGAGAGTTCTGTAAACAGTTGTGACCCTGACCAGCTAGTGAGACTCGCATTTATTTAGTAAAGACTAATTGACAAAGGCTTGAGTCAACACTACTAAAGAGTAATTGACATTGTGGACTTTCCAAGTAGAAAGCACCAACGGTAGATAATTATCTTTAATATTTTTTCCCACCAGCTTGATTGAATCCCTACAGTTTGAGGTCTTAGATTTGAGTCTCTAATCCATTTTGATTTAATTTTTTATATGGCCAGAGATAGGGGTCTAGTTTCGTTCTTCTGAATATGAATATTGAGTTTTTGTAGCACTTTCCCCGATAAATATCCTTTTTTTTTTTTTGAAGACAGAGACTTGCTCTGTCACCCAGGCTGGAGTTCTGTGGTACAGTCTTGGCTCACTGCAACCTCTGCCTCCCAGGTTCAAGCAATTCTCCCACCTCAGCCTCTGGAGTAGGTGGGACTACAGGCGTGCACCCCCATGCCTGACTAATTTTTGTATTTTTAGTAGAGACAGAGTTTCACCATGTTGGCCACTCTGGTCTCAAACTCCTGATCTCAAGTGATCCACCTGTCTCAGCCTTTCAGAGTTCTGGGATTAGGCATGAGTCAGCATGCTCAGCCTCCAATAAATATTCTTGACACCTTTGTCAAAAATAAGTTTGCTGTAGATGTATGGGTTTATATCTGTGTTCTCTCTACTGTTTTACTGATCAGTCCCATGCTGTTCTAATTACTGTAGCTCTGTAGAATCATTTATAGTTAAATAGGATGATTCCTCCAGTTTCTTTTTTCTTACAGTGACTTTGGCTATTCTGAGTCTTTTGTGGTTCTGTCTACATTGTAGAATTGTTTTTCGTATTTCTGTGAAGAATGTCATTGATCTTTTGATAGGGATTGCATTAAATCTGTAGATTGCTTCAGGTAGTATTGACATTTAGAAAGTATTGATTCTTTTTATTCATGAACATAAAATATCTTTCCTTTTTTTGTCTTTTTAAATTTCTTGCATCAGTATTTCCTGGTCTTCATTGTAGAGACCTTTCACTTCTTTGCTTATGTTAATTCCTAGGTATTTAATTTTAATTTGTGGCTATTGTAAATGGGATTACTCTTGGTTTCTTTTTCACATTGTTCACTGTTGGCATATGGAAACACTACTAATTTTTAAATGCTATATTTTGACTAAATTTATTAGTTCTAATAGTGTTCTAGTTAATTAGGTTTTTTTCAAATATAAAACTACATCATCTGCAAACAAAGATATAATTTGACTTCTTTCTTTCCAATTTGGATGCCCTTTATTTTTTTCTCTTGTCAAATTGTTCTGGCTGGCACTTCCAATACTATGTCGAATAACAGTGGTGAAAGTATGCATCTTTTGTGCCTCTTCTTTTGTCTTCTTCAGGTGCAGACACCTTATCAGAATGCCCTTGGGTTTAGGTTCCCAATTTCACAAGGTAATTCATCCTCATACATCCTATTGTCTTTTCCTGGTCCTAGGTTTCAGAACTGTCTGGGAAGACCACAGATGCCTATGGTGGCCATGTCTCTTGGAATGTCTAGGGAATGACAGCTACTGCATCACATCCTCATGGTGGGCAGCCTGAGGTATAGGGTAGAGCCTCACGGGAGCAGCTGAGTGCCCTGATGCTAAAGCACTCTTCTTGTTTACTTTTCATCCAAAACACCAAATCCTTATGGCATTAAGATTTTCTTTCTCCAAATCCAGTTTCCATGTTTTAGAGACACATTGCTGGTCAGCCAATGGAAAGCTGATATTGATGGGAAAGGCAGAAATAATTCCTACCATCTGGATTTTTTCAGAATTGTGGAAGGGGAAAAAAGTATCCCCAACAACATTGAATGTTCATTCTAGCAAGGTGATACAAGGACCTGCAAAAAAAAAATGTACTCCAGGCACACAGAGGCACACAGTGCAGAGGCCCTTGGGAGGGTGGTCATTGAGTATTTCAATGAGCAGGATGGGGGTGGGAGGATCTATATCATAGGATGGCCTAACTTGCCACTTGAGTCAGACATACCATTCCGGCCAGTACTGCCACTCCCTGGGTTTGTCATCTTGAAAAGATTGTTTACTTATTTCAGCTTTCATTTTTATTAACTGCACAATGCATTCTATTTGTAGAGCTTGAAAAATAGAAAAATATTCTCAAAGAGGCATACAAATGTGAATTTTAAAAAAATCTAGTGATGTATTTCATTTGTTAAAAATTCTTATTTTCATTTTTTTTTTCCCTGAGCAAGGGTAGTAAGTTTCTGAAATCTGTACATTTTGGGAGCTATTTCACACAGAATCTCAGGGCTTAGTTATAAAAATATTACTGGGTGAAAAGAAATAGGAAAAATTTTCTTCTTTTATGGCTGCAGAAAAGTGAATACATTTCCACAAGAAATCGTGGTAGATACATTGGTGGTTTATAGAGATTTGCCAAAACATCAGTTTCTTTTTTCTGCATGGTGGAGAATTTGCAATAGTTGATAAGTCTACTCTGTTATCCTGTTATCTGCATATTTGAGTTTAATGTTAAATTCTATGGACTAGGACTTGACATTCCTGGAAGTGCTCATAAATGATTGCTTAATTATTTGTTATTATGGAAATAATACCTAAATGACATTTGCTGTCTGAAATGGATATTTTGGCTTTTCTTGTTGAAGTATGAAATGTAAGTGCCTTCCAATTTCCATTTCTCCTGTGAACATAAGTGCTGAGTTTGAGGAATTCTGCTGGATTCTTCAAACACTGAGTTCCTTTTGTATAAAATGAAGGGAATAACCTTGACTGGGAATCAGACCTAAGCCCATTAACTGCAGGGTAAGGCCAATCTTGACACTGTCAAAGGATGTAATCAGTAGCCCAGTTGTTACTTACTGGGGAACCTTTCCTGCAGGTGTACCAGCCTGGCTCAAATTAGACATGAAAGGAGCCTTTACACTGAGAAGGTACAGAACTCTGGAAAGCTGAGGATCCACAGGCAGATGCAGTGAGAGTTGGGATGGGAGGTTGTTTGTGATGTCCTCTGAGAGGGTGTAATTGTTACTGTCATGGGGCTCTTCCTAGATATTGTCAAATAAATTCCAATGAGGTAAGAAGTGACTTTATTCTGAGGAATATTGCATTGGGGAAAGCACCAAGCATAAGACCTGCAAGCATCTCCAAAATGAGGCAGAAAAGGGCTATTTGTCATACGGAGGAGCAAACAAGATTAGAAAGTAGGTGTGAGGGAGAGAGCAGAATGGAGAATGGCAAAATCAGATTCAGGATTGGAGAATGTTTCACCCTGACGTCAACCTGTTCTTGGGAGGGACATGAAGAGGGGTTGTATGCTATCTCAGACTGAAGGTGGAGCAGAGTCCAGGGGCCTGGGTAAAGGAGAGAAACTTAAGCAAAGTTTGGTTAACAAGTATTCTGTTCTGAACACTGAAGACAAAATTATTTGTTTATGAGGGAAAAATGAGAATTTAGAATCGGTGAATTTGAGATATCTAAAGAGGGAGCATCATCAAAGTCAATGAAAAGGTGATTTATTAGCAGTAAGCTTTTTTGATAGGGCACAAAGGATTGGAGAGACCATAGTTATAACTACCAAGATTCACTAACCCACCTCCTCTTTTCCCGCACTTTCTTTTGTCCTATATATTTTTTCCCTTTGGCTTTTACTGAATTGTATCCAATATTAGTAATCTGGTAAACATAGGTAAAGTTTTTTCATTAAGTTCTGTGAGTAGTTTTATCAAATCCTTTAACTTGAGGGAGGGAGTTCTGGAAGCCCATGATTTATAGACAGTTGCTCTGAAGTATAGATGGGTCCTTGGGGCTTGTGACTGGCATGTGGAGGGAAGCAATATTGTGGAACTGAGCCCTGAGACGGTGGGGTCTGTGCTGACCGTGGTGTTGTCAGAATTGAGTTGTTGGACACCCAGTTGGTGATAGAAGTTTGGTTGGTGTTCAGCAAACTCCATATATTTGGTGTTAGAATAAAGATATCAGACCAGGTGCGGTGGCTCACACCTGTAATCCTAATACTTTGGGAGGCCACAGAGGGCAGATCGCTTGAGCTCAGGGGTTCGACACCAGCCTGGGCAATATGGTGAAATCTTATGTCTACCAAAAATAAAAAAAAATTAGCTTGGCAAGGTGGTGCATACCTGTAGTCCCAGCTGGGGCTGAGGCAAGAGGATCACTTGAAGGCTGGGATGTTGAGGCTCTCCAGATTTATGATGTATCCTGGAGAATGTTCCATGTGTGTTTGAGAAGAATATAAGTTATACTGTTGGGTGAAATGTTACCTATATATGTCTTTTAGGTGTAGTTCTTTAGTGCTATGCAAGTACATTGTTTTCTGTCTGAATGATGTGTTGTATTAAGTAGGGCAATAAAGTTCCCTAGTATTATCATATTTGTCTGTTTTTCTACATCTGTTAATATATGTTCATATTTTTGAGACAGGTCTCAGTTAATTTAGAAAGTTTATTTTGCCAAGGTTGAGGACACACATCTGTGGCAGGAAGTCCTGGAGACATGTGCCCCAGGTGGTCGGGGAACAACTTAATTTTATACATTTTAAGGAGACATAAGGCAGCAATCGATATATGTAAGAAGTACATTGATTCGGTCTGGAAAGGTGGGACAACTTGAAGCAAAGATGGGAAGACTGGAAGTGAGGAGGGGGCTTCCAGGTCATAGGTAGATAAGAGACAAATGATTGCATTCTTTTGAGTTTCTGATTAGCCTCTCCAAAGGAGGCAATCAGATTCACATCTGTGTCAGTGGCGGAGAGGTGACTGAATAGAATGGGAGGCAGGTTGGCACTAAGCAATTCCCAGCTTGACTTTTCCCTTTAGCTTAGTGATTTGGAGGCCCCAAAATTTATTTTCCTTTTACAATATATTTATGTGCTTCTATATTGGGTATGTATATATTTTTATTTGTTATATTATTTTGACAAATTAGCCTTTTATTACCATATAGTGAAGATCTTTTTTTCATGACAGATTTTTTTTTTCCTAGAAATCTCTTTTGTCTGATACGGCCACTGCTACACTCTTTTAGTTATTATTGACATGGAATATTCTTTTTCATCCTTGGACTATTAACGTATGTGTGTCCTTAACTCTAAGTCTCTTGTGTGCAGCATATGGTTGATTTTATAAATCTATTCAAACATTTTGTAAATGCTTTATTTTTTGCTTCAATAACAATATCCTAGAGTTGGTAATTTATAAAGAATAAAAGTTTGCTTAGCGCACAATCCTGGATGCCAGGAAGTCCAAGAGCATGCCATTCCCATCTGATGAGAATCATACTTCCACATCACAACATGACTGAAGGCTTGAGGATGACAGAAGGTGTACACCAGAGCTCACTTTTATAATAGACCCACTCTCATCATGACTAACCCACTGTTGAAATACTGATACTAATCCTTTCGTGAGAGTAGAGCTGTCATGACCTAATAACTTAAGGGTCTCACTTAATTTTCTCACAATGGCAGTTAAATTTTAACATGAATTTTGGAGAGGACTCTCAAACCATAGCAATGTGTTTTCATTGGATAACTAAATCTTTATATATTTTTAAAAGAATTACTGATTGGTAAGAACTTATTACTGCCATTTTGTTCATTGTTTTCTGACCATTTAGTAGTTTCTGTTTTGTAATTCTTACATGCTGTCTTCCCTTGTGTTTTCTTGAGTTCTGTTTTGTTTTTGTTAGATGCTTTCATTCTTTTTCTTTTGTATGTATCTACTACAGATTTTTGGGGGGTTTTTTGGTTGTTTTTTTTTTTTTAGAATTTCCAAGAGACTTACATAAAACATCTCACAGTTATAAAATCTAGTTTAAGATAACAATTTAACTTTCTGTTTTATACAGATAGGGTCTTGCTTTCTAACCCAGGCTGTAGTGCAATGGTGCATTCACAGCTCAGTGCAGCCTTGACCTCCCCAGGCTCAAGCAATTCTCCAGTCGCAGCCTCCTGAGTAGCTAGGATTACAAGTACATGCCACCATGTCCGGCTAATTTTGTCAGTATTTTTTGTAGAGATAGGGTTTTGCCATGTTGCTCAGGCTGCTCTTGAACTTCTAGGCTCAAACAATTCACCTGCTTTGGCTTCCCAAAGTGCTAGGATTATCAGCATAAGCCATCAGACCCAGCCACTTGTTTTAAGTAAATAGCTTTCTGAGATCCGTATTTTATTTTATGTATTTATTTTAGAGACACGGTCCTGCTATATTGAGCAGGCTGGTTTTGACCTCCTGGCCTCAAGCAAAAGTTAACTTATGTGTGTAGAAAAATCAAGCAGTTGTACTCCCTTCAACACACTATTTATGTCATACTTTACATAATTTTTTATATTGTATACCCATTAACAAATTATTGAGGCTATATATATTTTAATACTTTTTTGTAACTTTTATACCAGAGTTAAAAGGGATTTATGTACCATAATTACAGTTTTATAGCCTTCTATATTTGACTATATATATTTTTTTCCAGTAAGATTTATACTTTTATATGTTTTCTTGTTGTAAATTAGAAGTCCGTTATTACAACTTGAAAAATTCTTATTAGCATTTCTTGTAAGGTCAAATGATTATAAATTTCCTCAACTTGTTTAATCTGAGAATATCTCGATTCATATTTCATTTCTAAAGAACAGTTTTGTCAGGTATACTCTTCTTCGTTGTCAAATTTTTTTCATTTTCTCTCTTCATCTGCACTTTAAATATATGATCTCACTCCTATCTGGCTTGCATGGTTTCTGCTGAGCAATTTGCTGATAACCTTATAGGGGTTCCCTTGTATGAGAAAAATTTCTTTTCTCTTGCTTCTTTTAAGAATCTCTCTTTGTCTTTGAATTTTGGCAGTTCAATTATGTGTTCTGGGCAATTGTTATTAGTTCCTTCTGCTATAGACATTTTAAGCTTCATAAAACTGAATGTCTGTATTCCTTCTAAGATTGAGAAAAATTTAGGACATTATCTTTAAACAAATTTTTAAGATTTTTCTCTCTCTACCCTGAACATGCTAAAATATGTACATTTTTACAGTTTATTATGCAGTATGTGGCCCAAATGCTTTATTCACTCTTTCATTCTTTTTTTTTTTAAATTAGGAACTGTCAAATGACTTAATTTTAACTTTGCTGACTTTTTTTCTGTATAACTGTCTCCTGTTAAAGCTTTCTCTAAAATTTTTTATTATATATTGCGTTCTTCAGCTCCAGCATATCCATTTGGTTCTCTTTCTTTGCTATAATTGTAATTTTGTTCATGTGTTCTTGCAAAAAAAAAAATTAGTATTTTTTTCATCTCATTGACATTCCTTAAGATAATTATTTTGACTTCTTAGCCATTTTTTAGATCTGTGTTTTATTGTAAGTGGTTACTGGAAAATTTTCAGGTTCCTTTGGTGGTGGTATGTTTGCCTGATCCTTTATTATCTGTGAAGCCTTATTTTGATGTCCTTGCATCTGAAGGAGCAAATACCTCTTTCAGTCATTACAGACTAGTTGGGAGGTAAATACTTCTCCTGTTTGATCTCTGGGCTGATGATATTTCCACTGAGATTGCAATTAAATGCTTTGGAGCCAGGTCACATAACTACTACTATGTCTGCAGTGAAGTTCATGTTTGGCAGACCTGTTATCAGGCCATCAGACAGTTGTGGATTCTATTTTCTGGAAAGACTAGACTTTCTTCAAGAACTTTATCAATAAGACTGGCCTGAGACAAAAAAAAATCCAATTATATATGCAGATGGGGGTGCTGATACAATATAAATGTGAGCAGGTGTGGCTCCTGATGTGTGGCTCTTGCTGGATGTTTCAAAATGCTCTAACCTGGTCATTGGACAGGCTCCTAGATGAGCAGTACTGACCCTTGAACACAGCTGTGAGGGTGTGGAACTGATTCATAGGGCTGCTTCAGGATACACAGCTGAGACCAAAGTCTTCAGGGTTTTTTGTTTGTTTGTTTGTTTGTTTTTTGAGACGGAGTCTTGCTCTGTCTCCCAGGCTGGAGTGCAGTGGCGCGATCTCGGCTCACTGTAAGCTCCGCCTTCCTGGTTCACGCCATTCTCCTGTCTCAGCCTCCCGAGTAGCTGGGACTACAGGCGTCCGCGGCCACGTCCGGCTAATTTTTTGTATGTTTAGTAGAGATGGGGTTTCACCGTGTTAGCCAGGATGGTCTCGATCTCCTGACCTCGTGATCCACCCACCTGGGCCTCCCAGAGTCCTCAGATTACAGGCGTGAGCCACCGCGCCCGACCTTTTGTTTTAATCTTTCTGTTTGCCTGGTAATTTTAAACTCTGTACCTTTTATGACCCTGTGGTATTTAATTCAAATAAAAATCATTGGGTTTCACTTTGAGCAAATTAAAATGTACATATAAATCAGATATTTCTATTGCCTATAAAAGTTATCTGTGTGGTATTTGCATGTATAAATATTGCCCCTACTTTGTTCGTAAATTATTTATTCACTTGAGTGGTCACCAGTGTTTTCTTGTGTACGTGAGTAATCAAAGAAACTGTAAAATTGCCACCTATTCGATTATATGTTCTGTGAGAGAAACAGTTTTGTTATTTGAAGGTGATTTTTGAAAAATGAAACCTTTTTAGGTAGATGTAAATATCTAATTGTGATTAAAAACTTAAAATTGCTAACTTAAACATTTTCTTTCTTTCTTTCTTTTTTGAGACAGAGTTTTGCTCTTGTTGCCCAAGCTGGAGTGCAGTGGTGCGATCTCAGCTTACCGCAGCCTCCTGCATCAGCCTCCTGAGTAGCTGGGATTACAGGAATGCACCACCATGCCCGGCTAATTTTGTATTTTCAGTAGAGACATGGTTTCTCCAAGTTGGTCAGGCTGGTCTTGAACTCCTGACCTCAGGTAATCCACTCGCCTCGGCCTCCGAAAGTGCTGGGATTACAGGCATGGGCCACCACCCCCGGCCAACATTTTCAAGTATACGGTCCAGTGGTGTTAAGTACATTTACTTTATTTTGCAATGGATCTCTAGATTAATTTTACCTTACAAAAGTAAAATTTAATACCTTATAAACAATAAGTTGCCCTTTTTTTCTCTTCAGCTCCTGAAGAACACCATTTTACTTACTCTTTCTATAATTTTATAATTCTTCTCAGTGTAATTATATAATGTCTGTTTCTGTTTGACTCTCATTTTATTTAAGGTAATGTTCTCAGGCTTTGTTTTGTAAGATGTGTCAGAATATCCTTCTGTTTTAAAATGAAATAATATGTAATTGTATGTATATGTCACATTTTTAAAATCTGATACTGATCTCTAAAGGGACATTTGTGCTGTTTCCAGGAATTGTCTTTTGTAAATAACAATGAATGAACATGCATGTGTAAATATCTATTTGAAGTCCTGCTTTATCATGTGGGTAATTAATATTTCTAGCACTATTTATTGAAAAGACTGTCTTTTTCCAGCTGTGTGTTCTGGACATCTTTGTTAAAAATCACTTGGCTGTAGGCTCATGAATTTGTTACTGGGCTCACTGGATACTTTGATCTCTTTGTCTGTTTTTATGCCAATATTTTGCTGTTTTGCTTATTATAGCTTTATAGTATATTTTCGAATCAGGTAGTGCAGTATCTCCAGCTTTGTTGTTTTTTTTTTTTTTCTTTTCTTTTGCTCAGGATTACTTTGGGTATTTGGGGGTCTTTGGTTGTTCCCTATAAATTTTAAGCTAGTTTTTTTTTTCATTTCTTTGAAAAAAGTCATTGGTATTTTGATAGAGATTTCATTGATCCTGTAGTATAACCACTTTTTAAATATTATTTCAATTCATAAGCAAAAAAATGTTTTTCAAATTTTCATGTCTTTTTCAGTTTCTTGCCAATGTTTTATAATTTTCAGTTTAGAATGTTCACCTTTTTAATTGTTTGCTGCTAGACATCTTTATTTTTTAGTGTGAATGGTGTGGATGCAGAAGCAGCATTGGGCAAAATTGAATATGTCTTTTTTTTTCTTGAGACGAAGTTTCACTCTTGTTGCCCAGGCTGGAGTGCAATGGCATGATCTCAGCTCACTGCAACCTCCGCCTCCCAGGTTCAAGCAATTCTTCTGCTTCAGCCTCCCAAGTAGCTGGGATTATAGGCATGCACCACCATGCCCGGCTAATTTTGTATTTTTAGTAGAGATGGGGTTTCTTCATGTTGAGGCTGGTCTCAAACTCCTGACCTCAGGTGATCCACCCGCCTCGGCCTCCCAAAGTGCTGGGATTATAGGCGTGCGCCACCGCGCCCTGCTTGAGCATGTCTTTGTGACTTAAAAAACTCAACAAATTAGATATAGATGGTATATACCTCAACACAATAAAGGCCATATATGACAAGTCAATGGCTGATATCATACTGGACAGGAAAGAGAAAATTTTATTTTTCATTTTTTTATTTTTGTCATGCGCATCCGTGTGAAAAGACCACCAAACGGGCTTTGTGTGAGCAGTAAAGCTTTTTAATCACCTGGGTGCAGACGAGCTGAGTCCAAAAAAGAGAGTCAGCGAAGGGAGATAGGGGTGGGGCAGTTTTATAGGATTTGGGTAGGTAATGGAAAATTACAGTCAAAGGGGTTGTTCTCTGGCAGGCAGGGACAGGGGTCACAAGGTGCTCAGTTGGGGAGCTTCTGAGCCAGGAGAAGGAATTTCACAAGGTAATGTCATCAGTTAAGGCAGGAAGCAGCCATTTTCACTTCTTTTGTGGTTCTTCAGTTGCCTCAGGCCATCTGGATGTACACGTGCAGGCTTGGGCTCAGAGGCCTGACAATTTAAGTTCTGGGATACATGTGCAGAATGTGCAGGTTTGTTACATAAGTATACATGCGCCATGGTGGTTTGCTGCACCTATCAACCCATCATCTAGGTTTTAAGCCCCGCACTCATTAGGTATTTGTCCTAATGCTCTCCCTCCTATTGCCCCCCACCCCCTCTGACAGGCCCCGGTGTGTGATGTTCCTTCCCTGTGTCCATGTGTTCTCATTGTTCAACTCCCACTTATGAATGAGAACATGTGGTGTTTGGTTTTCTGTTCCTGTGTTTGTTTGCTGAGAATGATGGTTTCCAGCTTCATGCATGTCCCTGCAAAGGACGTGAACTCATTCTTTTTTATGGCTGCAAGAGCAGAAAACTTAGGATGTTTTCATTTTACATTATAATTGTGTACTACAATATTTCACTGTGTACACTAAGTATGGGGCACAAATCAAATATAGGTCAGTGATGTGTATTTCCAATATAAGAGTCTCTGTTTATCTGTATGCATATTGTTCCTTATTGTTTATAAGTTGTATACTTGTTCTGTTTGTATACAATGGTGATTTTACCCTGCCTAGGTGAGTAGTCATTGAAATTCTTCTGATTTTACCCTCCATTTATTTATAAATCTATGTTTTTCTATGTGTGGGAGACACACTTTTGTGATTTGAAGATAATTTCAAAAACCGTCTTACCACTGTATCTGTTTTAGATATTATTTTTGATTGTCAACACATAAACTTTACAATCTTAAATATTTTTAAATATTCAGCTTAGTCATATTAATTATATTGACATTGTTACTCACTGTATCTCTAGCATATGTTTATCTTGCAAAGCTAACACTCAGTACACATTAAACAACTGACTACCTTTTCTGTTTTCTGGCCCTTTACAAAAACAATTCTGTTTTCTGTTTTAGAGTCAAACTGCTTTAGATATCTCATGTGAGTTGATTCATACAGTTTCTCTTCATGGTTGACTTACTTCATGTTGCACAATGTCATCAAGATTTATCTTTATTATACTTGTGATATTTTTTGCTTTTTACAAGGTGGAGTAATATTTTAATATTTTTAATTTATTCATTTATTTGGTGAGAAATTTGCATTGCTTTCATTTATTTGCTTTCACTAACAATGCTACAATAATTATGAGTGTAGAAATTACTCTTCATCTGACCATATGTGTAAGAGTGTGTATTTTTCCTGGATTTTATTTTATTGATCTAGCTGTTCACCTGTATACCCATACTAAATTTTTTAAGTTCTTTAGCTTTGTATATGTTTTGATATCATGAGCTGTGGTGCTTCCAACATGTTTCTCTTTTTGAAGATTGTGGGGTGCTTCATTGTCCCTTGAAATTCCCTATAATTTGGGGGTTGCTATTTCTATTTCTGCAAAAATTTAATTAAAAATGTGACAGAGATTGCATTTAATCTGTAGATTACATCGAACAGTCCAGATATCTTCATATTTGAAACTTTGAACAAGAGCATGCTAAAGTTTGTGTTGTTTAATTTCTACAAAAGTCCATTTTTTTGGTTTGTGGTTTTTTTTTTTTTTTTTTTTTTTTTTTTGAGATGGAGTTTCACTCTTGTTGCCCAAGCTGGAGTGCAACAGCGTGATCTCAGCTCACCACAACCCTCTGCCTCCCAGGTTCAAGCGATTCTCCTGCCTCAGCCTGTCGAGTAGCTGGGATTACAGGCATGCACCACCACACCTGGCTAATTTTGTAATTTTGGTAGAGATGGGGTTTCTCCATGTTGGTCAGGCTGGTCTCGAACTAATGACCTCAAGTGATCTGCTTGCCTTGGCCTCCCAAAGTGCTTGGATTACAGGCATGAGCCACTGCACCCAGCCAGTTTTCTTTTTTTAATTAATTTCTATTCTCATTCCAGTTTGGTCATTAAAAGTAATCTGTAAAGTTCCTATTTTAAAAAATTTGTTAAGACTTTTTTGTAGCCTAACAGGTGGTCTATCAAGGAGAATATTTTATGAGCTATTCAGATGGGTATGTATTCTGCTTTTGTTTAAGAGTTCTCTACAATTCTATTAGACATAATTGTTTTATACTGCTTTGAAGTCTTCTATTTCCTTGAGTATTCTTTTCTGATTATTCATTACAGAAATTGAGCTATTGAAATATCCTACTATAATTATATTGCTCTCTATGTCTTGCTTTACTTCTGTCAGTATTTGCTTTATATATTTGGAACCCTAATGTAAGACACACATACACACACACACACAAATATATGTATATACACACATTTTTCAGGGTTTCCTAGTAAATGAACATTTTTAATATAGTTTATGTTCTTCTTTGTCTCTTATGAGCTTTTAGTTAAAATAAGTTTTATGAAATGGGAGTTTTTGACTTTAGATGTACTTTGGGTAATATAATTTTGACCTCTTCTGTTTGGTTCTTTGCATAAAGTTTTTTCTTTCATCTTGCCTTTTTCAGTCTCCTTTAATCATTAGATCTCAAGTGACTCTTGTGAAAAAGCAAGTTGTGGCTGGGTGTAGTGGCTCACGCCTGTAATCCCAGCACTTTGGAAGGCCGAGGTGGGTGGTCACGAGGTCAGGAGATTGAGATCACTGGCTAACATGGTGAAACCCCGTCTCTACTAAAAATACAAAAACAAAATTAGCCGGGCGTGGTGGCGGGTACCTGTAGTCCCAGCTACTCAGGAGGCCAAGGTGGAAGAATGGTGTGAACCCAGGAGGCAGAGCTTGCAGTGAGCCGAGATCACGCCACTGCACTCCAGCCTGGGTGACAGAGTGAGACTCCGTCTCAAAAAAAAAAAAAAAAAAAAAAAAAAGAAAGAAAGAAAGAAAAACAAGTTGTATCTTGTTTTTTGATTTCTTAAATAAATTTATTTGCATGTATTTCCAATGCAAAGATTACTTCATAAATATTTAAATAATTTGCTGAAATGGAAAGGCTTATTCATGTTATTTTATTAATTGTTTTACTTGATTATTGTATTTTTGTCCCTTATTTTCTTTTCTGTCTTCCTTTTGACTTTTGTGTGGATAGATTTTTACTTCTTATTTTATTCATGTTATTTTATTAATTGTTTTACTTGATTATTGTATTTTTGTCCCTTATTTTCTTTTCTGTCTTCCTTTTGACTTTTGTGTTGATAGATTTTTACTTATTTTTTCATGTATCCATACAGATACTTACTTTTTGGTATTTTGGAAATTACATAAAATTTCTTAAAATAATACATTTTAAACTGGTTATTTCAGTTGCGTTTGAAAATTCTTCCTCATTACATCTGCCCTCAACTTTGTTATTAATGTCACTAATTATATTTTTATGTTGCTTATTTATTAACAGATTATGATGAACAGTTTATGATCATTTTTATGCTCTTTAAAATTTTAGAGAATAATTAAAATGTTTTCTGCACTATCATGATAATGGTACAGAACCTTACATTTGTATATGTTCATGTCTTTCCCAAAAAGTTACTTATTTTCATATGATTATGTTTTGTTTTCTTGCATCATATTATTTTCAGTGGAAGATACTTTCTTCAGCATTTCTTTTCTAAGGCAGGTGTTGTGCTAATACACTTTTTCAACATTTGGTTATCTTGAAAGAGCTTTACTTTTTCTTCATTTTTAGGACAGTTTTGCATGTTATGGTATTCCTGCTTACAAGCTTTCTTTCAGCATTTTAACTATATCACAATTCCCTCTTGTCTAAAAAAATTTTGTTGACAGATTCACTGGTTATGTAAGACCACACTTATAAATGACACATCACTTTTATCTTGCAACTCCTAAGATTCTCTGTCTTTGACTTTTGAAACTTTGCTTATATAAATCTCTGTGTATGTATCCTAGTTGAAGTTTGTTGAGCTTCTTCATTTTTTACATCCTTATTTTACTTTTGGAACTTTCTCACTCATTACTTTTGTATTTTTCACATCCACAATTTGTTTTTTATATTTTAACGTTTTCATCGATACCTCATTTGTCTTATTATATTTAGTTGTATGTGTTCCCCTTTAGCTCATTGAGGATTTTTCAGGTTAATTTTTTAAAATTTCTACATCTTCATTTCTTATGGTTGTTTTCTGAAAAGTTTTAAATTTTTTAATTGGGCCATGTTGCCCTAATATTTTGTATATATTGTAACATCTGTTTGTTATTTGAACATTAACAAAAAGGTATTTGTCACAATCTTTACAGTGTTGCCTTGTCCTGACATAGTCTGAAACCTGTTGTCTTTGATAGAGATAATGGGAGCCTCTCATACATGTTCTAAGGATGTGTCTTGTCTGGAATTTTGTGTTTGTTTTTCAGTGAAAAGGGATTATTCATGTTTCTTCTTATGGTCTCTAGTCACTCTTCTACCTATTCCCTGTATTTAACACTGCAGCCTGCTCCTGAAACATTTACGTTTGGTCTTAGCAGACCCAAGCTGTTCTTCCAAAGTATAGCACCGTTTCTCTCAGCTCTCTGTGTTGTTGGAGACAGAAACCAGATTTTGTAAAGACCCCAGAAAGCCAGAAGTAAGGATATGTGTATCAGTATTTTTCTTCTAAGTAAGAAGCCAGGAGTTGACAGTTTACTCCTATAGGCACAATGCTATATTGGGGAGGAGGAAAGCTGTGGTGGGTAAATATAACAAACTTTCCTTCCTGTTCCATGTGGTTCTTAGTATTGTACTTACCTGAGGCGTTGCATACAGTTAACTCATTTACAGATTTTGCACAAAGGTATTTTGGTTTGTATATCTTTGTTACATGTCTGTGAAGAAATTATGGCCTGTGATATTTTGTTATGCTATCTTACTAATGCAGTTTGTATACATTTTCGATATTACATTCGTAAAGTATATTCATATGAATCTAGTAAGTGGGATAATTTGTTATTTTTATTTCTTTCAGCTATATGTTCTCCTTTCAGCCAAGACCTTTCACCAGTGCAGGGGATAGAAGATTCATTCCACAAACTTATACTGAAAAGATACGAGAAATGTGGACATGAGAATTTACAATTAAGAAAAGGCTGTAAACGTGTGAATGAGTGTAAGGTGCAGAAAGGAGTTAATAATGGAGTTTACCAGTGCTTGTCAACTACCCAGAGCAAAATATTTCAATGTAATACATGTGTTAAAGTTTTTAGTAAATTTTCAAATTCAAACAAACATAAGATAAGACATACTGGAGAGAAACCCTTTAAATGTACAGAATGTGGCAGATCGTTTTACATGTCACACCTAACTCAACATACAGGAATTCATGCTGGAGAGAAACCCTACAAATGTGAAAAATGTGGCAAAGCCTTTAATAGGTCCACATCACTTAGTAAACATAAGAGAATTCATACTGGAGAGAAACCCTACACATGTGAAGAATGTGGCAAAGCCTTTAGACGGTCCACAGTTCTGAACGAACATAAGAAAATTCATACTGGAGAGAAACCCTACAAATGTGAAGAATGTGGCAAAGCCTTTACAAGGTCCACAACACTGAATGAACACAAGAAAATTCATACTGGAGAGAAACCCTACAAATGTAAAGAATGTGGCAAAGCCTTTAGATGGTCCACAAGCCTGAATGAACATAAGAATATTCATACTGGAGAGAAACCCTACAAATGTAAAGAATGTGGCAAAGCCTTTAGACAGTCCAGGAGCCTGAATGAACATAAAAATATTCATACTGGCGAAAAACCCTACACATGTGAAAAATGTGGCAAAGCTTTTAACCAATCCTCAAGTCTTATTATACACAGGAGCATTCATTCTGAACAAAAACTTTACAAATGTGAAGAATGTGGCAAAGCCTTTACTTGGTCCTCATCCCTTAATAAACATAAGAGAATTCATACTGGAGAGAAACCCTACACATGTGAAGAATGTGGCAAAGCTTTTTATAGGTCCTCACACCTTGCTAAACATAAGAGAATTCATACTGGAGAGAAACCCTACACGTGCGAAGAATGTGGCAAAGCTTTTAACCAATCCTCAACTCTTATATTACACAAGAGAATCCATTCTGGGCAAAAACCTTACAAATGTGAAGAATGTGGCAAAGCCTTTACACGGTCCACAACACTGAACGAACATAAGAAAATTCATACTGGCGAGAAACCCTACAAATGTGAAGAATGTGGCAAAGCTTTCATATGGTCCGCAAGCCTGAATGAACATAAGAATATTCATACTGGAGAGAAACCCTACAAATGTAAAGAATGTGGCAAAGCTTTTAACCAATCCTCAGGCCTTATTATACACAGGAGCATTCATTCTGAACAAAAACTTTACAAATGTGAAGAATGTGGCAAAGCCTTTACTCGGTCCACAGCCCTGAATGAACATAAGAAAATTCATTCTGGAGAGAAACCCTACAAATGCAAAGAATGTGGCAAAGCCTATAACTTATCCTCAACCCTTACTAAACATAAGAGAATTCATACTGGAGAGAAACCCTTCACATGTGAAGAATGTGGCAAAGCCTTCAATTGGTCCTCATCCCTTACTAAACATAAGATAATTCATACTGGAGAGAAATCCTACAAATGTGAAGAATGTGGCAAAGCTTTTAATCGGCCCTCAACCCTTACTGTACACAAGCGAATTCATACTGGCAAGGAACATAGTTGAATGACATTTCTAGTAATCTCTAATTCCAGTGTCTTTACACAGCAAATAAATTGGAGAATATTGCTCCCATATAAACTTGTATTATTTTTCTTATTTTAAATTTTTTAAAATTTCTGTAGGTACATAGTATGTGTATCTATTCATGGCTTATTTGGATTATTTTGATACAGGCATATGACATGTAATTATCACATCAGAGTAAATGAGTTATTCTTCACAAGCATTTGTTCTTTGTATTACACACAGTCCAGTTATACACTTTAATTTTTTTTTTTTTTTTTTTTTTTGAGACAGAGTCTCGTTCTGTCGCCCAGGCTGGAGCGCAGTGGTGCGATCTTGGCTCACTGCAACCTCCACCTGCTGGGTTCAAGCAATTCTCCTGCCTCAGCCTCATGAGTAGCTGTGACTACCGGCAGGTGCCACCATGCCCAGCTAATTTTTTGTATTTTCAGTAGAGACAGGGTTTCACAATGCTGGCCAGGCTGTTCTCGAACTCCTGAGCTCATGATCCACCCACCTCGGCCTCCCAAAGTGCTGGGATTACGGGTGTGAGCCATCGTACCTGGCCACTTTAATTATTTTTAAATGTGCAATTATTTTTTTACTACAGGTTATTTTATGATTATAATAAGTATATGAGTATAATTATAATTCACACATTTCTAAGTCATGAATGCTTTTAAAAAATGTTCCATATTTATCTTTGAACATGTAGCATCTCTTTCCGCAAATAAATGCAGACTTTGGTTTTGATTTACATGGAGTTAAATATGTAAATGTATTGCTCTAAAGATAAAATTTAGGTGTAAGAAAATTATGGGGCAAGCAGTTGAGTTTCTGTGAGAGTTTGTATCTATTTTCCAAGGAAAATAGCAATATTGGAACAAAGATTATTTTAATAAGGTGGATATTTTACTAGAAATCTAGAAACCTAAAACATTCTGAAATCAAATTTATATTTTCTTCTATTACTGTAAAATTTAACGGATCATTGTTGAGACTCTCCCATGCAAATTCTGTTTTTATTTGTCTGTTACTCATGCTAGAGCTATAATTGACTTCTTTCTTATTTTTTTTATTTTTACTTTATGAAGTATTTATTATGTGAGCTGGTCAGAAATTATAATTTTATAAAATTTAGTAGCAAACACAAAATATTTAGATGCAAGTTCATAATTCGTGTATTAAGTTATATTTTAGTTAGGACATTTCATTTTATTGCTTTAGTTGGATAACCCTATATGAGCCGTTTAGTTATTTGTTTCACTTTTTATAATTGACATAAATGAGTTTATTGTGCCAATTTTTTCAGGTAAGTACTGGTGAAACTTAATAATTCATGGGATGTTTTGATATATAATTATAGTAAGCATAAGAAAGTACTGGGTAATAGATGCTCCATAATTAGCCATAAATATTATTCTTTCTGGAGTGAGTTTGTAGCTCCAAGTAAGAGAATGAAAATGTCTATAGTGAAGAAATGGCAGTCTGCATGTGGAGAGAACATCTGTTACCAGGCTGCAAAACTGACTCATTCTGAATTTAAAGAGAACCTCTGATTTTATTTTCTAATTATCTTTAGTTTTGGAATATCTTTATGGTTTATTCCCAGCTATGTATGCCTCACACCCCTTCTTCTTTGTGTTATGGCTACAGTCTTCTCACTGTTCTCTTTTTGCCATGTAATTTCATACAGACTTTCTATGTTCTGATTAGAAGTTTGAAATTTTTCAGTGTGGTAAATTGTTTTTAACTGGAGTGTTTGAGGTTATTTATAGCTTATCAATGCAATGTTTAGATCACTTAATTGAGATAAGTACTTTACTGTCTGCAGGGGCATTGGTGGAACATGAAGTGAAACACCAGGACCTGGTTCTGGAGTTATGGAGGGCAACTCCAATCCCCAGTGTGGGCCCCAGCCTCTGGCACACTGGTGCATGCCAAAAAGTACTCCTCAGGCCACCACTACTCTAATCAGTGCCCTTGCTACCATCACTGTTGTCATCTGTGCTTGCATTCCCCTGGTGCCTGGAAGTTCTGTTCTCCAGGTGGCAGATGACTGCTCCCGGCATTCACACGTTTTTATTCCATCTGTGGAGGAGTACTTTATAATTCTGACTGTCTTCTAAAAATCATTTCACTTAAGATAGCTCATTTAAATGGGATTATATACTCTTTGTCACTATGTTTCTGGTATATTTCACTAAATATGATGTCTTAAAGTTTTATGCTTATTGTAGCATGTGCATAATTTGCTATCTGAAGGTACAGCCATATTCCATTGCCTACAAATGCCATATGTTATCCATTTATCAAGAAACTTAAGTAGCTGTCACCTTTTTGTGTGTAGGGGGTTGGGGAATGCTCTTAAAAATATATGTGTGCAAATGTCTATTCCAGGTCCTGCTTTGGATACATAGATTCCCAGAAGTAGGATTCCTGGATTGTATAATTTCTCTTTTCTTTTCTCTTTCTCTTCTTTCTTTTTCTTTTTTTTTTTTTTTTTTTTTTTTTTTTTTGAGATTGGGTTTCACATTGTCACCCAGGCTAGAGTGTAGTGGTGCAGTAATGGCTCACTGCAGCCTTGACATCCCAGGCTCAAATGATCCGTCCACCTCAGTCACCCAAGTAGCTGGGACTACAGTCACATGCCAGCATACCTGACTAATTTTTGTATTTTTTGAAGAGATGGGGTCTCAGTATGTTGCTCAGGCTGAACTCAAACTTCTGAGCCTAAGTAATTCTCCCACTTTAGCCTCCTAAAATGTTGAAATTACAGGCATGAGCCACAGTTCATTTTTAATATTTTGGAAAACCTGCATCCTACTTTTATTGAGGGCTGCATTATTCTTTTCCACCAACAGTGCATGGAGGTTCCAAATCCTACATACTTGACAACATTGATTACTTTTTATTTGTTGAACAGTGGCCATGCTAATGGGTGAGAGTTAAGAGTTCATTGAGATTTTGCTTTGCATTCTTCTCATAAGTGATTTTGATTGTCTTTTCAAATTCCTCTTGGTTATTTGCATAGCTTCTTTTAGGAAATGTCTTTGAAGACACTGGTCCATTAAAAAAATGAAGTTATTCACCCTTGGTGGTGGTTATGTTTCAGAAGTCAAATGGTGGATGGCATTTGTACTCCACTTAGTGTTTCCCTTGATGTGTGGATATGCAGAAGGTTTTGAAAGTTTGATATAGTACCTTTTCTAATTCCCTTCTTGTTGTTCCTGCTTTTAATGTGATATTCGAAAAACCTGCCAAAACCAATGTTACTAGGCTTCTCCCTATATTTTCTTCTAAGTGTTCAAGAGTTATATGTCTTTTAATTTTATGTTTTTATGTTTAGTGTGTGTAAAGTATTTTGTTTGCATTGAAGAGAAAGGTCCAAGTTCGTTATCTTTCATTTAGACGTTGAGTTTTCTCACACCATTGGTTGGGGAGTCTGACCTTTTCTTCACTGTTTGGTCATGGTAACCTAGTAAAAGATTATATGATAATACTTGCACAGGTTTATTTCTGGGTTCTTTGTTCTGTCATGTATCTTTTTTTCACTTTATGCCATTACCACATTGGTTTTATTTTTGTAGCTTTGGACTCTTTTGACATCATGAGGTATGGTACTTTGTTCTTTTCTAAAGCTGTTGGCTATTCATGGTACCTTGAGATTACACATGAATTTTAGAATTATATAAAATATCTCTGCCAAATAAGTAACATTGGAATTTTAATAAGGATGACATTGAATTTGTACAATACTCAGAAATATTGACAGTTTAACAGTATTACATCTCCTGGCTGAGAAACATGTATTTGTGTCTGTGTTTGTGTGTTTGTGAGTGTGTGGATTGGCATCAGAGATAGTGCTGAGATGCAAGACAAAGAGTTCAAAGTGTTTCCTTGGCCTGTCTCTGGTCTCCTGCACAACTCTTAACATACAGAAGGTAGGCTAACCACTTGATCCTCAACTGGTTTATCTTCTTAGATGTATCATTGTCAAGTTGGTAGGAAAATAAAAATTCCTTTCACAAGTTGAACACAATTGTCTGCTTTTGGCCAAATCTCACACCCAAAGACCCAGAAAGTTGGAAGTTAAGGAAGATAAATTCTCCATGGTAGATTTGTAGGTTAATTTGTTTTATTGAATTTTTTTTTTATTTTCAAATTTTTCGGCACTGTGTCATTTAATCAGAATAAGGCACCGTATATGTTTTATCCTTGCCTATATTTGCATATCCATATAAAATGGAAAGAGAACAAAAGACATAAAAAGAACAAAGGAAAGAATGTAAAATAAGAGAGGAAAAAGGAAGCAAAAAAATGCAATTTTAAAAGTGCTAGAAATTAGAACTAAGAAAGCATCTGGGCAGTGTAATCACCATTTTGTTGTACAAGGCCCAAACCAACAGATGCTCCTGAAACAGAGATATCAGACTGCAAATAACTCCTGAACGTTTTCTATTTTTACTGTATTTTATTCTTTCCCTAAGTTACCTCACTTTGTTTTGTCAGCTGAAATTAAACCCAGATATATTAGTTTGTATTTACACTGCTACAAAGAAATACCTGAGAATGGGTAATTTATAAAGGAAAGAGGTAGCTGGGCATGGTGGTTCACGCCTGTAATCCCAGTATTTTGGGAGGCCGAGGTGGGTGGGTCACAAAGTCAGGAGTTTGAGACCAGCCTGGCCAACGTGGTGAAGCACCATCTCTACTAAAAGTACAAAAATTAGCCAGGTATGGTGGCTGGTGCCTGTGATCCCAGCTATTCAAGAGGCTGAGGCAGGAGAATCACTTGGATCTGGGAGATGGAGGTTGCAGTGAGCCAAGATCTCGCCAGAACAGCATGGGGGAACCACCCCCATGATCTAATAAGCACCCGTGAGTTCCCTCCCCAAACGTGGGGATTACAATTCATATTACAATTCAAGATGAAATTTGTGTGGATACACAAAGCCAGACCATATTATTCCACCTTTGGTCACTCCCAAATCACGTGTTTCTCACATTCCAAAACATAATTAGGCCTTCCCAACAGATCCCCAAAGTCTTAACTCATTTCAGCATTAACCCAAAAAGTCTAAGTCCATAGTCTCATCTGAGACAAGGCAAGTCCCTTCCTCCTATGAGCCTGTGAAATCAAAAGCAAGTTAGCTACTTCCAAGATATAATGGGGGTACAGGCATTGGGTAAATACACCCATTTCAAATGGGAGAAATTGGCCAAAACAAAGTGGCTGCAGGCCCCACCCAAGTCCAAAATTCAATAGGGCAGTCATTAAACCTTAAAGTGATCTCCTTTGGCTCCATGTCTCACATTTAATTCACACTGCTGCAAGAGGTGAGGTTTCACAGCCTCGGGCAACTTCACCTCTGTGGCTTTGCAGGGTAGTCTCCCTCCCAGCTGCTTCACAGTCTGGTGTTGAGTGTCTGTGGCTTTTCCAGGCACACAATGTAAGCTGACAGTGGATCTACCATTCTGGGGTCTGGAGAACTTTGCCCTCTTCTCACAGCTTCAGTAGGCAGTGCCCCGGTGGGGACTCTGTGTGTAGGCCTCAACTCCACATTTTTTTCTGCACTGCCCTAGCAGAGATTCTCCATGAGGGTTCTGCCCCTGCAGCAAACTTCTGCCTGGACATCCAGGCATTTCCACACATCCTCTGAAATCTAAATTGAGGCCTCTCAACTTCAGTTCTTCTGTGTGCCTACAGGACCAACACTATGAGGAAGATGCTAAGGCTTGGATCTTACATCTGAAGCAATGGCTCAAGCTGTACATTGGCCCCTTTTAGCCATGGCTGGAGTGACTGGAATCCAGGGAACCAAGTCCTGAGACTGCACACAGCAGGGTTTCCTGGGCCTAGCCCATGAAATATTTTTTGCCTCCTAGGCCTCCAGGTGTGTGAGAGGAGGAGATGCCACAAAGGTCTCTAACATGCCCTGAAGGCATTTTCCCCATTGTCTTGGTGATGAACATTTGCTCCTCACTTCTGCAGCCAATTTCTTCTGAGAAAATGGGTCTTTCTTTTCTACCACATCATTAGGCTGTGAATTGTCTAAACTTTTATGCTTTGTCAACTTTTGGATGTTTTGCTGCTTAATTTCTTTTGCCAGATAACCATAAATTATCTCTCAAGTTCGACCTTCCACAGATCTTTAGGACAAGAGCAAAATGCTACCAGTCTCTTTGCTAAAGCATAGCAAGGGTCACCTTTATTCCAGTTCCCAACAAGTTCCTCACCTCCACATGAGACCATCTCAGCCTGGACTTCATTGTCCATCACTACCAGCATTTTGGTCAAAGCAATTCAACAAGTCTCTAGGAAGTCCAAACTTTCCCACATCTTTCCTTCTTCTGAGCCCTCCAAACTTCTAGCCTCTGCCTGTTACTCAGTTCCAAAGTCACTTCCACGTTTTTGGGTATCCTTATAGCAGTGCCCCACTGTGTCAGTACGAATTTACTGGTAAGTTTATTTTAATGCTGCTCTGAAGAAATACCTGAGACTAATTTGGAAGAAAAGAGGTTTAATTGACTCACAGTTACCATGGCTGCTAAGACCTCAGACTCTTACAATCACAGTGGAAGGGGAACCAAACACATCCTACTTTACATGGTGGCAGGAGAGAGAAGTATCGTGCAAAGGGAAGAAAAGCTTCTTATAAACCATCAGATCTCGTGGGAACTCACTATCATGAGAACAGGGTAAGGGAATTAACCGCATGATCTAATTACCTATGATATCCCTCCCCGAAAATGTGGGGATTACAATTTGAATTAAAATTGAAAATGAGATTTGGCTGGGGAGGCAAAGCCAGACCATATCATCAGTTCTCTAACAATATTTTACTTTGTTGTTATAATCCAGGTCCAAAGAATAAAAATAAAAATGTTTTCTAGTCATGGTTGCTTTATTTCTAAAGTAATCTGGGCAGATTGATCAATTGTTATATGAAGTTGGGACAGGAATCATTTATTAGCATTCTGAACAGGGATCCTGGCCAAGAAGAGAAATTCTTTAGAAAGGAGCCAGGGGTTCCATATATAAGAAAAACTCTTGGCCAGGTTCAGTGAAAATGACAAGCAATTTTACTCTTGCCAGACAGAATTCTGGCTGGCTGTGTGGACAAAAAGCCCAACTTTGGGGAATTCAATCCAAGACCTATCTACCTTCAGTCTTCTGCTGACTTTTGCATGGGGTTGTCATGGTTTTCTGTCTTTTATTTTATTTTATTTTTTAACAATCTGGCCACCATTTTGTAGGGTGACTGGCTTGCTGGGGCTCCACTCCAGAACCTAGTCACCTTGGATTTTCCAGTACCTGGAAGTTCACCAGGGAAGGCTGAAAACCAGCAAAGATAGCAGCCTGCCCCTTCCTCTGGGATCTCCATCCTAGGGGGATACTGATCTGTTCCCTGCCTGAATGCATCTGTAGGAGGTGGCTGGAGACCCTGGTTTGGAAGAAAAAGTCCGGCTGTGTTTTGGTAGAGCATCTGTGCTGTTGATAGATGCAGGAGGCAGATGAGGGAACCTGCCCAGGGTCTTGTCTGCACAAGCCCACAATGAACTGGGGACCCACCAGTGCACTGGGGGAATGGGATGGAGCTAATGGAAAGTTCACACTTTGTGTAGGGGGGAGGAACATGGCCTCTTTAGTTCCTCTGTGGTGGCCTGGTGTTCAAGATTCCTTCTCACTTTGCTGGGAGGTTTTGTTTTGTTTCGTTTTGTTTTCTCTTTTTACCCAATAAATTCTGCTCGTCACCCTTCAGGGTGTCTGCAAACCTAATCTTTCCTTGGTGTGATAAGAATTCAGTTTTAGCTGAGCTAAGGAGAAAATTCTAAAAAATGTTGGTGCCCAGACATGGGCCTTGAGGAAGGGTAAGATGCAAACCAAGAATCTTTTTTCCCTTTTGCTTCTAAGCCTTTTCATCCTTGTACTTCTTCTGAGAATAGAGGAAACTGCACACCACCTCACTCCAACAGTCGCAGGTGCACATGAGATGGACCAGTGAATGGTCACTCCCCTGCACCCTCTGGGTTGGGGCTGGAGTGCATGGCTTGGGCAGTGAGTTATCTGCCACTTATCCAGTTTCTCCCCCTCCTCTGACCAAGGACTCCAGCTCTATCCAAGCCCTGGAGAAAATAACCCATTTGCATAAGAATAAAAAGTCTCTTTCCTGTCCTACACTTAAACCTTTTTTATTCATTTTCTCCACCCCGTCAGAAGTTAACTTTTAAGTGAGAGAGTCCCCCCCACCCCCCCAACCCTGCTTTTAGAGAACATTTTACTAGGCCAGGACACCAAGTATCACTGTGTATATTCTCTGTAAAGTTTTAATTATAAAAAAAAAAATTATGAAGTTGGTCATAAGCTGTAGACAATCTGGTGTGCTTTGCATGTCTTCCTGTTTGATCAGTAGGGATCTTTGCTGCAGGCCTCCATTTTGTTTTATGTCCTTGGGGACGTGACCTGTAACCACATGGCAATATTTTGCTTTAGCCTCTGCAGTCTGGGTTCAATCCTGGGTAAAGGAATGAGTACTTTTGGGTCGATATCTGTGTGACTTTCGCCATTTGGTGATTATCTTCCCTTCATGAACAACTCTTGAGTTTTATCTTAAACCTTCCTTTTTCTAAGTTGCCTTTAAAGGTTTTAGATTTTGTGGCCAGGTGCGATGGCTCACGTCTGTAATTCTAGCACTTTGGGAAGCGGAGGCAGTTAGAACATGAGGTCAGGAGTTCGAGACCAGCCTGGCCAAGATGGTGAAACCCCATCTCTACTAAAAATACAAAAATTAGCCAGGTGCGGTGGTGGGCATCTGTAATCCCAGTTACTCGGAGGCTGAGGCAGGAGAATTGCTTGAACTCAGGAGGCAGAGGTTGCAGTGAGCCAAGATCGCTGCACTGTAGCCTGGGCAACAGAGAAAGACTCCATCTCAAAAAAATAATAATAAAATAGATTTTGTAAGAACTGCTTACCCCTTTGAAACTCAAGTTAAATCATAACCTTAATTGGTGCTTGTTGGTTTCACCTGTACAGTTACTTTTAGGAAAGTCTGAAAACCAGAAATATTGGCTGCTTGGCACAGCTAAAGCAGGTAATGGGGAATTTAAAAGAATTTTCTTAAAGTACATTCAGCTTAACTAAAAGTGCATACCCAGATTTTATACACACACACACACACACACACACACACACATATATACATTTTTTTTTTTTTTTGAGACTGAGTCTCGCTCTGTAGCCAAGCTGGAGTGCAGTGGTGTGGTCTCAGCTCATTGCAACCTCTGCTTCCTGGGTCCAAGTGATTCTCCTGCCTCACCCTCCCGAGTAGCCGGTACTACAGGTGCACACCACCATGCCCAGATAATTTTTGTGTTTTTAGTAGAGACAGGGTTTCACCATGTTGGCCAGGATGGTCTCAATCCCTTGACCTCTTGTTCCACCTGCCTCAGCCTCCCAAAGTGCTGGGATTACAGGCATGAGCCACCATTCCTGGCCCAAGTTATAGGTATATTTAAAGGCCTTATTTTTTTTTTTATTGGACCTTGTTTTGCTGAAAAAAAGGATTCTCAGTCGACTGAATTCTTTTTCTCCATTTTGTTTTTCCACTTTTAATACATGCATGAGAGGCCAATAATCTAATTAGGAGATTGGGAAACAAAACATCTTATAGCTACTGGATTCTTTTTTGCCTATGTATTTATATATGTGCTGTATCTATGTAATGTCTATTTTTATAAAGCTCTAATTGACCTAGAGGAAAATGAGTTTTTGAATCAAATATTTTTTGAAGGGAAAGTAAAAACTGTGGTACATTGAAGTTCACATGACTAATCATTGAGAAATAAAAACAGACTTAGCAATTATTGGTAAAAAGCAGATGTTAAAATATACATTTTTGTTCAGGGTTAAAGGATTGTTCTGAATTAGATAAGATAAAGCTAAAAGTTTAAACAAGTTATAAAAAGTTTCTATAAAATTCATCTTGCCAAAGAAATTTTGTCCATGAACATTAAATTACGAAAGGTATTATATGTTTTTTTGGTAAATTAAGCATTTAAATAATAGCACAACAAGGTACTCTTAAGGCACTAATCTGCTCTTTAGCAAAATTTGTAAAGTGTTATAAACGGGTTTTACTTTTGTAAATTTTTTGAAACAATTGTGGCAAAATAAATAACATGGTAATCTGGAATTCTATTTCATAACATCAAGTGTTTTAAACCTCTAACATTTCTTCCCAAAATCAAACTTCAGTTTCAAAATTGTCTTTCCTCGTGCCTGACTTTTGAATGCTACAGAGGGCCCCTGGAGTATCCAAAAGAGAGGTAAACTGGATTATTTGACATATTTAGTTACATGGGATTGCCAATCTTCTTTAGGTTATATAGGTTATATTTTGATAAATATTCTATAGGTTATATTTTGATAAATGATACTAATATATGTTCCAAAATTGTATGAGATTTCTAATGTCTGAGTATATGCTATCAAAATTAAGGTTTTTATGTTAAGTTATTGTAAACCACAGAGATTATCAAACTTCTTTGTCAACTGTGTTTCTGACTATAACTACCCTGGACATTTTGTTATTCAAAGACAATTGTCTTGTTTAGATCCTTTTCAAGAGATAGTTTATAAGAAGCTACAGAACTGTGACAGGTGCTCTCAAATGCAGTTTTCCAAATAACTTTGGAGATCATGACATTGAAATAAAGTAAAACATACAAGACTCATGAAGAGCTAAAATGTTCACAAATATCAAGCAGAACAAGGGTTAACTAAATGGACTGAACTAATAGAAAACTGAAATATTTTTTTTTTACTTATGGTTGGACGATTGCTGATTCTTGTTTTGTTTTTCAGAGTCAAGGAAACTTATTTTGAGCTATTTATAACCTTTAATAATTGGGTAAGGTATACTCCTGTGAACAAAATTTGGAGCACATTTGGTCTCTCTCTCTCTCTGCCTGGCTTCTCTAGAATTTCAAAACTAGCTGTGAGTATTCTTAACTTATGACAATATAGTTGTTTGCATCAGTGCAATAAGAATTCATTTTTCTTTTGCAACAGGATGCAACTGGAAAAACTTGTTGTTTCACCAAGGCTTTGACTGGAAGGGTACATTTCCCTTTAAGGAGTTAAGCTTGACTTGCAGAGCTGATAAAAGCCTCTTGGAAAAACTGGCCTTATACCTTGTTACACAGTCCCCAAACAAGGTTCCTAACCAGCAGTGAGTAAAGAATGTCACTTTCCAACAGGCCCAGGAATCACGTGCTCTTGGGACCTCAAGAAGGGAGGAGTTTAACAACTCATAGGTATTTGAGAATGTAAACCCATGGTTGGACTTAGCTTTGGAAAGTTCTATCTGAGATTCTTTGTGTACAGAGTTCCATCAAAGCCAGTCTAAAAGGCCCATATAGAAATAATTATTCTTGCTGTACTTTATGCAAATAATCAGGCCAAGAATAAGACTGAAGTCTATTTTGCAAACAACACAGTCCTATCATGGTTTTGTTTAGATGGAGTCTCACTCTGTCACCCAGGCTGGAGTGCAGTGGCACGATCTCGGCTCATTACAACCTCTGCCTGCCGGGTTCAAGTGATTCTCCTGCCTCAGCCTCCCAAGTAGCTGGGATTACAGGCATGCACCACCATGTCTGGCTAGTTTTTATATTTGTTTTTTTTTTATAGAGATGGGGTTTCACCATGTTGGTCAGGCTGGTCTCAAACTCCTGACCTCATGATCCACCCGCCTCAACCTCCCAAAGTGCTGGGATTACAGGTGTGAGCCACCGCACCTGGCCCATGCTTTGTTTTTTAATACAACTGAGAGAGAAAAAAAAATTTTTTTTTTTTGAGACAGAGTCTCGCTCTGTCACCCAGGCTGGAGTGCAGTGGCATGATGTTGGCTCACTGCAAGCTCTGCCTCCCAGGTTCATGCCATTCTCCTGCCTCAGCCTCCCAAGTAGCTGGGACTACAGCTGTCCACCACCACGCCCAGCTAATTTTTTGTATTTTTAGTAGAGATGGGGTTTCACCATGTTAGCCAGGATGGTCTGGATCTCCTGACCTCGTGATCTGCCCACCTTGGCCTCCCGAGAGAGAGAAATTCAGTTTCAATACTTATCATCATTAAATTCTAGTCTTTAAGTTTTTGCCTACATTTTAGATTAACCCTGCTTATTTCTATAAACCAACCATCAATCTCTGGCTACAGCTCAGAAGGAACAAAGGGGATGGGTAATGTAAAAACCTGGATCAACATTCTAGTTCTGGGCAATTATTATGCAAATCCTGTCAGGTGATAGGAATAAATAGGGTGCCCACCCAAATCTTAGCAAGCATAACTATAGCCACTAGTTATCTGGGTATCTCATAAGACATCCTTTTCTCTCCCTTCTTAAAGGAGGACTCAATTCCACAGTTTCACCTTAGCATTTAGCTTATGACAAAGAGTCTATGCAACCACTCGGAGACACATTTTTGTCCCAATCTCAATTCCAATCTTTGGGTCGATGCCCTTGGAAAGGAAACTGGATCTGAGGGATTTGGAGGCAGATGATAATGGAGCTTAGAAGGCACAGTGTAGGTGAGCACGACTAATTCCTGCTGATTAAGACAAGCCTCCAGTTTCATAGATAAAGGTCATCTCTCGTACCCATGACATAAATGAGGTTTAGGGAACTCCATACTCCTGACAGCAGGGCATATAGGGTGTACGTGGGTAAGAGCAGATATCCCACCCCCTAGGCCTCCCTGTTAACATGGGTAAAAGCCACATTGACACCCATGGGCAGCACCCTGTTGCAGTCACCAAGACTCAGGGATACAAGGATGGAAAAGGTAAAGAAGATCCTCTTCCTTCTCTCCCTCACATACCCCGAGTATTTTCTGGGAGGAGAAGAGAACCAGGGATGCCTGCTCCCCTCTTTCTAGATGAGTAGCCATTCATCTTCAGTCTGAACCTATTTTGATTGCATTCTGAATCCCTGGGACTCCCTGAGAAAAAAATGCCTTCTTTTTTCCTTTTTCCTCCTCTGTCCTCTCTTCACTGACAGGTAATTGTGTCTCTGTAATATGGGACACTCATTTCAGATGCATCCTCCAAACTGGGAAAAGTTAATTTTGAAAACCTTAAACTGGTTGGCTTAGGACTGGGCTCTCAAAAGGGTTTACCAGAAGACTGACATGCTGGCAAAAGCATGAAAGTTTTTTTGCCAGCTGGGCTTGTGGCCTCCGTCTCCCTGTGCAAACTGGTAAAAGGCTTTGGGATTTTTAAGCTGTCCTTACCCCCACCGCTGTTTTTTTTTAATACATGTTTTCTAGTAACCTGGTTTTTCTTTTCACATTCAGGCCATCAAACTCCAAACCATCACGCAACCAGACTGGAGCCTCAAACAATAACCTTTTTTGCCAGGAACCCTTTCATAGGCCCCTGAGGGAGATCAGACTGCTGTTTTCTGAAAACAGTACCCTCTGTCAGCAGGAAGCAGTTAAGATTGGTCTTCATCCTTATCTTTATTCTAACGGCAGTTAGATGTACTTCTTTAGGTGCAAAATGATAGATGCAGGAGGCAGATGAGGGAACCTACCCAGGGCATTGTATGTGTATGCCTGCAATGGACTAGGGACCCACCTGCACACTGGAAGGGTGGGGTGGAGCCACTGGAACATTTACACTTTGCGCAGAAGGGAGGAGCCTGGCATCTTCAGTTCCTGTGTGGTTGCCTGGTGTTCAAGATTCCCTCTTGCTTTGCTGAGAGTTGTTTTTCCTTTTCACCCAATAAATTCTGCTGCTTATCCATCAGTGTGTCTGTGAGCCTAATCTTTCCTGGTCATGTGACAAGAACCCAGTTTTAGCTGATCTAAGGAGAAAATTCTGAAACACTGTGTTGGGGATCCCTTCATCCCCTAATTGGTTTGGGCTCTCCAAGGCCCACAGTCTTCATTAGCTGAGATGCACAAACAGCAAAAGTGATGACCCACCACACCCTCCTGGGCATTCCATCTCAGAAAGAAATTAGAACTCTGATGGACTTAGAACATAAACAGGGGTGGTAGGAATCTCTGGCTGGGAGGACACGCCCAGTAAGAAGGAATTAATTGGGGTCCCATTTAAAGAAAAAGTCAACCTATGCCTCAACAAAACTGCCATGCCATGGTGGGGAACCACCTCTACCCTGGCCAGCTTGGACTCTCCAAAGCCTGCAGGCTGGAACGACTGAGTCACCCAAATTGCAAAGGTGGCAGCCTGGCCCCCCTCCCTGCACACTCCATCCCAGACAGAAATCAGAATTCTGTCCATAGAATATGGGTGGGGGTGCCTGGAAGCCTCTGCTGGGAGGAATCACCCAGTGAGCAGAATGAATTGGGGTCCCATTTAAAGAAGTTGGCCACATGTTGGTAAAGCAGCTGTGCTATGCTGTGGGGTTTCTTCCTCATTTGGATCCTTTGGACTCTTCAAAGCCCATAGGCTGCAATGGCTGCATTATCCAAAGAGCAAAAATGGTGACTCACCTCTCCTGTCAAGGAGTCTCACCCATCTCAGGTAGGTGCTACTCTGTTGCCAGTGGCTGTCTGGAATTCTGAGCCAGTGGGTTTTATCTTATGAGGTGCCATGGAAGTGGGACCAACAGACCAACAAGAGCTTCTTAAGCATGTACTTCAAGAAAAAAATATTTTTGTGTCTAAAGTTTGAAAGTAAGAAACTTGATTTGAGAGCTGACATGTCTTTTCTTCAGGGTTATCAGTCCCTGGCAGCCTTTCACTCACAACACTCTAGAGTTCACAAAATGTTCCTATATCCCATCTCTTCTCTGATCTTCATACCCTGAGGCTGTGCAAAATAGGGGCTTGAGTCCCATTTTGCAGATGAAAAAGCTGAGGCTCAGAAAGAAAAGATAATACACAAAGTTTGAGGCAGAACTGGGACTAGAACACAAGATTCTCAAACCAATGCTTTTCCCATCATTAAATCATTCCTTGGGCTAGGAATCCATTAAGACTCCAAAAGATAGAGCACTATTCAATGCGTCCTATCAACATTAGACCTGACCCACCCCAGAAAACTAAACAGCTCTGGGACCCTGAGGTGGAGAACTCAAAGAGAATGATGCCTACATTTGCACATTGGAGCTCCAATCCAAACTCTGCCACTCAACTACAGAACCTCACTTTCTCAGCCTCAGCCTCTTCTGCTATAAAATGGAACTACAGAAGGCATCAAAAATCTAGGGATAAGGGCAGAACTGTACTCTGAATGCAGGAGTGACTGTAAAGTGGATAGCGCTCCTTGACTTTTGGTTTAAACACATGGATGGTATGTTGTGTTTCTTTGTGTCACCTCCATTGTGTCTAGTTCATGGCTCCAGATCCTGGGGGCTTCTCACCAACCCTTATGCTAACTGATGGGTGGATAGATGAATGAATTAGTAGATGAAAATATAGATATAGAAAGATGAATGGATGTGTGGATCCTCAGGGAAGCAGAAAGAAGTAAACAGGAAGTCAAAGAATGAGGCGATGATTGATGGATGGAGAGTCCATGCATGAAATAGAGGCATAGTCTCCAGACCTCATAACTCCACCCAGCCCCAGCACAACCTCCCTTGGGGTAGCAGTGACATGCTTCAAATGATGCCCCCAGTCACCATGACACAGCTTCAGAAGGTGCCATAGTCCTGGGGCCAATCATGGCTCATGAGAAAGGTGCAGAGAGCCAGCAGAAAAAAAAACCCAGCATGATAAAGTGCATGTTGAAGCTCTTCTCACCTGCCATGGCTTCTTCATCAGGCCCTAGTCTATTCACTGCTGGCAGAGGGTATGCATGTCATCCAGCATAAACACTCAGACAGGCTCACAGTGGGGGATAAAGCTCTGGGATTGCTGCAAATTGAGGCTTAAAGGGAGAGTAAGAACCCTTCAGGTCCAGACACAGTCCCTGTGCCCGCAAGTTCAGCATAGCACGAGGCAGCACAATTGAGTGGACAAGTACACCTACCCACCCACCTTCACTCCTCACCCTCCTGCATTTTCTGTGGGCTAAGCAGTCCTGTGGGACATGTATGAATCTGAATGACAGAGTATGCAGGAAAGAGAGAAGGGAAGGTTACCAGGACTGGGCCCCAGCCAAGGATTTGACATCACCTTATTTGCCTACTATAGGGATGAACTATGTGGACAGGTGCCCATATTATTACACTACATTAATACAAATACACCTCCCAGCCCTAGAAAGTAACATACAATTCTGCAGCCAGGAGACGTTAGAATGCTGCTCGAGGATTCCAGGATCTCAGAGGCTGGATTTCAGAGTTCTGAATTTTAGACTTTTCAAGGACATGTGCCCATCTGGGGTTCAGGCATAATAGACTATACTTACTAGATGGTGACTGTGTGCATGCCACCATAACATGTTACACTATTAACTCATTTAAGGGACTCCATGAGGCAGGTACTGCTATCTTCACTTTACAGGAGACACTGAGCACAGGCAAGTAACTTGCCCATGGTCACAAACCTGGAAATAGCAGAGCAGCTGGGATGTGAACCCAGAGTCTGTGTACTTAGCCACAGTGCAATCCTGCATAACTACAGAACAAACTATGTGTGTGAGCTCTGATGGCAAGGCAAGCTGGCTGGGTTTAGATCCTGGCTCCTCGACTCTGGGGCAGCATGGTCTTGACCTGCCTGTGCTTTAGTTTCCTCCTCTGTAAAATAAGCATAATAACAGTGTCTTCTGGGTTTGGAGCTGTCTCCAGGTTTAGCCTCCCTGTGTTTTTTCTGTCCCCTTCACACTCTGGCCACCAGCCAGTCCTGCTTATAATAATCTCCTCCCATTCCATACCAAGGCTCTGGTAAATTAATGTCTGTGCAGGGTGTGAATGACTGACAGCAACTAACTCAATTTCCTAGCAGCCTAATCCAGAAGGATGCCTTCCTAAAAATAATATTCTAATTTTGGATAAATTTTAATTTATTAAAATTATAATTTTAATTGTTATTAATTCCTGGGGACAGGCTGGTGAAAAAATTTCCTGGGGACAGTCTGATGTCAAAAATCCATTTCCTTTACAGGATTACAAGAAAATAAGAACTATCAATATCTCTAAAAGACCATGTTCACTTGCAGTGTTTATGAGGTTAAATGGTTGATGCAGGATAAAAGGCTTTCATTTGGCTCCTTGACTTTCTGGGTTTTTGGATTTTCCTGTGTTTGGTCATCACCTTCTCTCTCCTCCTCAGCATGGCTGTGCTTGTTCCCTAAACCTACACCTGTGCTCACACCAGGCCTTCTGCCTGGTAGTCCAACCCATAAACCCTTTTTCTTTTTTTTTTCTAGACAATTAAGTTAAACTCAGGGTGACTTTTAATATTGCCAGTCAATATTAATGAAACACAAGTCAAAGACAAATACAAACATATTTTACAACAAAATCAGTGAGAAAGCCATGGACAAATTCTTTTTTTTTTTTTTTTTTTGCAAAATACATTAGCCAGTATTAGTAGTCAAACGGCTAATCACAGAAAAAAATCTATTTTGTAAAAAACTTGGAATGTCAGAAGTAATTCTGGCATTACAAACAGCTGTGTAGAGGATCACCAAGATAAGTTTATATACACATACACTTGAGAGAAACCAGACAAAACATTGAACAACAGACTAACAATATGATCAAATACAAAATTGGGAAGGAGGTATTTTTTTAAGAGTCAGGGAAGTTCATTACCAGAACAAAATTACAAAACTCAGTAATTATTATACTGGATTAATACAAAATTCCAAAGCTTTAAAGTTCAAAGAAAAAAAAAAGGCCAATAGCTGCTTTTCATCAAGACCAGCTGTACACTTTACATATTTGTTTCAAAAAGAAAGCCTATTAACAACAGTAATTGTTTAATGCTAAAAGTTTACAGCAGAGACAAAACTGAAATAGCAAATTTATAAGGCAATACTTCCACAGAATTATCATCCCATGTCTCATGCTAAGGCTACAAAGTGCTCCCAGTTGGATATACAAGTATAATTCACTTAAAACATATATATATAGAGAGAGAGAGAGAGAGAAATTTCATACACAGGTGCATTGAAGGCTGAGTAGTAATGGGCGGTTTTAGCATTTGCCTTATTGAGAGAATATGTTTGTGATCAAGCCCTTGAATCCTTTCTTCAGGCCACCGCGGGAAAAGATACCTTCATTACAGGACAACAGCACACTGAGAGCAACACACCACCACAGCGGTTAATTTTGCAAAGACTGCGTTAACATCCGCCAGTGACTGACATTTTACAGAAGACAGACTGGTAAGACTATATAAAAGCCTGAAAAAGCTATGGTCAAAATACAGTTTTCAATTGTAATTCACAAATAAAAGTCCTAATCAGTAAAACCACTGACACCAATAGAGAGAGTAATTGCAAATTGGATTCTAGCAGTGATTTCGACCTAGCTTGCTTTTTTCATAGTGTTTTTTGCGGGATGAGTAGGTGGGAAATGAGTAGTTTACTAGAAGGCTGACAGAGCACTTCATTTTCTTTCTAATAAGCCAAGATGTTGTGTTCCTATGCGTGGTGGACCTAGTGGCCTCTGATCAGTGAAGAGTGCTCCTTCCTCAGCTGCAGCCTTTACCATCTATGCCCTCGTGAGTTCTTTTTGTAAAAGTGTATTTTTGAAAGTTTCAACATTCAATCCTATACACAGTGGTTCTCTACTCTTCCTAGAAGCAGACAGCAGCAGTGAATGCTTTAGAGGGCCATTGCTGAGGGTCTTCTCTCTGGATATGAATGAATCATAACTTTTAGCAACTCTGAAAATTCTTGGGAAAGCACTTGTGGTATCTGAGGTAATCTATTCTCTCTGATTCCATGCCATTGGTCTCCATTCCTGGGAAGAGCACAGACCAGCAGCACAGACCACTGTGAGGGGAAGTGCAAGATATCTGCTTTTGGTAGATGGTATAATTCTCCTGTAAAACTTCACTTGCAAAAAAAAAAAAAGACTATCAGTCTCTTCAACTTGTGGGTTAGAGATCCTTGTTACATACCCACAATCACGAATTTTACAGGTAACTTTGTTGGATGCCCAGTCATCTTCATCTCCTTCTTCAGAGGCAGCACTGGGGATTGAGGTTTGAGACAAGGTTCCTTATCCCTGTGAATTAAAGACATTGAATGAATATACCTCGAGCCCCGGCCAACTTGCAGAAGGAGATCCTTCAACTCTGCTTCTTTAAAGTAACTCGTGATTCGGTAATTTTCACTTATAGCATCAACAAACCTTCCACCATCACGGTATCCATTCTGTGTAAGCATATGAGCATCTGCCCAAGCAGACAAGTGTCAAAGTACGCGAATGCCGTCCGAGCACTGCCTGAGCATACACTTCTCTCAAAGGGTTCTGCTCATCAACGGAGCCGGCCAGTGACTTTTCTGATCGCTTAATGGCATAAATACATGTATCCAGCCTCTCCACGCTGTTAAAACACAGAATCAAATTCTGCAGAGCCCATTTTCTCTGGCTCATGAAATTCTGTTGTAGGCCGAGAGTTCACATCGCTTTCAGTAACTGTAATTCTCTAAGCAGGTGTAGTTTCATCTTCAAACTCATCATCACTGGCTTCCATGTCTTCACCGCAGGAGTCAATCCCAATACCTCCTCGTGCTACCACGACGCTGTCCTAGCAATGACGCAACGCAGAATCCGGAGTAAAAGGGTGAGAATTCACAGGAGGAATCTGTGGCCGATCAAATCCCTTTTCCTGGTATTTCTGTGTCTCTGAAGAGGGAACTAAGCAGAGGTGAACAGCGCTGCGATCCATCCCTGGAGCTTTGGAGCGCAGACTCTCGGGCGTGCGGCGGTGTCAGAGCCGCGCTTGCGGGAGGACTGCGCGGGGCACCCGGGGGTCCCACAGGGACCAGCAGACGCCCCCTCCGTGCCCGGCGCGCCCCGCAGCCCCGCACGAGGCGTTCCCAGGGCCCCGGCGCCCCGGCCGGGAAGAGCCGCCCAGGAATCAGGCAGCCGCCGGGCCTCGACCTGCGACGAGGAGCCGACCCGCCGTGTCCCGTGAGTCGCCCCGGGCCCTCCGCCCGCCCCTCCGCGCTGGGCAGGGCCCCAGCAGCTTGTCCTCCTCCCGCTCCCGGGCTCGGCCCGGGCTCCATGGGGCTCCAGGCGGGCGGCAGCGGCCAGCGGTCCCCTGAAGGGCCGAGTCCTCCCTTCCCTCCTCCTGCTCCTCCCCCGCGCGGTCGCCGAGGGCGAGACCGACTTTTGCCGCAAGGTGCAGGCGGCCCGGGCGGCGGCGGCTCGGGAAACGCATGGCCCTGGGGACGCGGCGAGGACAGGAGAGCCCGGCTGCGAGGTCGGGACCCTGAGGCCCAGGGGCGGGTCCGCGGCGTGCGGGGCCCTGGCGGCTCCTCTGTGCTGCGCTGGGCTCCGGGCGCGCGGGATGCGGGCAGCGGCGGGACGGTCCACACGGGCGGGGCGGCCGGGTTCACCCTCCTGTTCCACCCGCGGGGTCTCCTTCACTCGCAGCCGCCATCGCCAGCCCTCAGCTCGGTCCCGGCTACACTTGAGAGTTCGGAGGATTAATGGGAAAATGTGTGTAAAGTGCATTGGAAATGAGGGATTGTCGGCAGTTTCTCCTCCTGTTCCTCTGCCCGGCTCTTTCGTCTCCCTCCAGCGCAAAGCAGGGGACAGGCGAGAAGAGGGTTAAAGAGCCTGTCGTCTCCCAGCACAGGGCGTGCTAACCAGTGTTTTCAGGATCCTTGGAGTGGGACCATCCCCACAGGACCCTCGCGGGGGAAGGGGAAAGCGCACACCGATTTGACAGATGCAGAAACGGAGGCCCACGGAGGCAAGGTGAGCGGCCCAAGGTGGCAGCACCTGTCAAGAAGAGAGCTAGAGTCCAGCCAGGTCCCCTGTCAGTCTCTCGCTGAGCCCTGCTGTGTGGCGGACACTCTGAGGAGCACAGGCTTCGGCGATGGATGGCACGCTGTCCTGACTCCTGGGGCACCTTCTGTGGCACAATATGGTCAAGGCTGTGTAGCGTGCCTGAGGTCCAGCAAGTGCATGAGGCAAAGAGAGGGCTAGAGGGGGTGAGGGCCGACAGGACAGATTCACAGAAGGTACCCTTGAGAAGGCAGTTAAAGCTCTTCTTCCAGGGAAGGGAAAGATTTCCAGGCACAGAGGCCAACATGTGCAAAGGCACAGGGGCAAGTACCCACTGACACACAGCTGGAGAGAAAGCTCTAAGTGATGTGTGCAGGCTGCCCACATTGCATCCTCCTCCGGAGACCTGCTCCTCCCCAAACCCCATCCTTCCAGTTAGTGATCCAGGCCACTGTCCTCACCTCCTCTCTCACACCCACCTCCTGTGGGCCCCACCTTCAAGACATAAGAATCCAATTGCTTCTCATCCCCCATGACTACTCATTGCCTTCATCCCTCTCCCCCTAACTGGTCTCCACTTTCATTGTTGACCCCTGAAGTCCCTTTGCAACCCACCACTAGGTGAGACCATATCAGTGCTCTGCACAGAACCATGGACTGGCTTCCTGTCTCATCAGAGTAAAAGCCAGAGGCTTTAAGATGACCCACAAGGTCCCGGAGAATTGGCCCATGCTGCCTGCACATCACCCCTCTGAGTTTGCCTGCCACCGCACCTCCTCTCACTTGCTTCCCTCCGGCCACCCTGGCCCTGTGCTCTTCCTGGAACATACGGGCTCCCCAGTCCCCCTGCACCTGCTGTGTTTTCTGCCTGGACTGCCCTTCTTCCAGATAGCTGCTCTAAAATTGCAGAACCTCCTCCCCCAGGGGTTCCCTGTCTTCCTTTCCCAATCTCTTTTTCTCCATAGTCCTCATCACCATCTGTCACACTATGTACATTATTTATTCATTTTGTCTGTTATCTGTCTCCCCCAACTAGAACTCAAGCTCCCACAGGATAGGGACATTGTTTGGTTCACTGCAATATCCCCAGGGACTACAACATGGTAGGCTCTAGATACATATGTGAATGGAAAGACGGAGTCAAAGTGCCTGGGAGAAGGAGGTGGGAAAGGAAATATAGGCAGAGAACTTCCTGGGGTTAAGGCATCTGACATTTTTCACGGAGGTTATGCAAGGGAGAGAGAGGAATCAGACGTTAATTTTCAATTAGGTAGAGAAAAACTCAACGGAGAAATAATTAGCATCTGGATGAGTGGCAGGGGAGATTGCTGATTGAGAGGGGCTGGGTTAATGTAAAGACCTCCACGGGAGTGGTTCACCAGCCCACTCAGAGGATAACAGAAGTCCAGGGGTGCCCAAGGAAAGCACAGAAGAGGCCTGAGTTGTGAGGGTCCCTGACAGCTGAGCCTCTAGTGGCCGGGACAAGATGAGGTCCGAATAGTGGGTGAAGAAACTGGACAGTTGGACCCAAGAGGAAAAAGACCAGGAAGCAAAACGGAGCCTACTGTAGGCTACAGAGTGGCAGAGCTGGCACTCATGTGGCTCCTTGGTTAGGCACCCTGCCTTTGGGCACAAGGAGCTCCATTGACAGTGAGGCCACTGTGACTTGGAAGCAGACACTGGTTCACGCTGGTCAGGAGACTGTCTTCCTCTGTGGCCCTGGCTCGCTATTCTCCAAGGTGCTGGTGACCTTGAGCAAGTCATCGTCCCTCCTGTGGGCTTTCAGTTAGGACACAGATTAGTGGAAGAGCGAGAGAGAGACAGAGGTGTTTCTGTGCTTCCATCCTTTCCCTCCCCTGCCTCTTCAGTGCCTGCCTGATAAAGTGGTGCCTGTTGGTCACACTCGCTACTCATTAAGTCACCTTTCCTGGGGGAAATTCCTCGCCTTGGGTATGGGAGGTTCCATTATTAACCCTTTAGGAATTGCAGAGGGTCTAATGAATCTGTGTGTGGCCATTTCAGGACCCCTTCAAACCTACACCTCCAGACCCCTAGATCACCCTGGGTTAATATTGGGACAGGAGGAAGAAGCAATGACAGGAGAGAAAGAAAGGAAGGGAGGAGGCACAAAAGGGGATCGATCTGGGGTTTGGTGATGGCAGAGGGAGAGGGTCACAAAAGATCCTGGAGGTGAGGAGTCAGCCCAGGGAAGAGATTCCAGAGAGAGGGAAGGCTGTGCAGGGGCCCCAGTGACACTGGCCAGAGCAAAGGGCAAGGGGGAGGGAGTGGAAGAGGTGAGAAAGTTAGAAAGGAAGGGAAGGCCCAGATCAAACCTCGAGGCTCCCTTCTCCGCAGACCATTGTGAAGGTTTTCACTATTCAAAGTCCCAGAGGGCTGTGATATTGGTTTCCAACAGCTCAGTTTGGCCCAGTATCTGAGCTCAGAAGAGACTGCAGGGTCCTTGGGCAGAAACAGGGAGACCGATTCTGGCCCCTCACACTGTGTGCCAGGGCTACTGAGACAATGATGCAGGCCTGGGTGGGAGGACCCACACTGATGCTGACTTTGTTCTCTGGATTTTCACGTCTCCAAGGCAGTTTTCTCACCCATCAAATGAGAACACCACCATCTGTTGCAGAGCATCTTTGAGGAAGACACAGTGGCAGAGGACCTGACCCATTCAAGGAAAATATCTTGGGCCCCAAAGTAACTAAGCTAAAGGGAAAATTCAAGCTGGCAATGCTTAGGGCAAACCTGCCTTCCATTCAATTCAAAGTCATCCCTCTGCTCACTGAAATAAATGCATATCTGATTTCCTCCTTTAAAAAGGCTAATCAGAAACTCAAAAGAAGGCAATGGATTGTCTCTCACCTACCTCTGTCCTGGAAACCCCCTCCCCACTTCCAGTTGTCTCGCTTTTGCTTGGAGTTGTCCTACCTTTCTGGACTGAACCAGTGTTCATCTTACATATGTTGATTGATGTCTTATGCCCCTCAAAATGTATAAAACCAAGCTGTGCTCTGACCACCTTGGGCACATGTTGTCAGGACCTCCTGAGGCTGTGTCATAGACATGCCATCCACAACCTTGGCAAAATAAACTTTTTAAATTAACTGTCTCAAATTTCAGGGGTTCAGAGGGAACAGAACGAAGGCAATGGGGGAGCGAAACATTGCCCCATGTTTATGCAGTGCCGCTGTGTGTGGGGCATGTGCAGGTACCTGGGGGGACATAAACAATCCTAAGACTGGGAAAATGCACGACACTTTGGTAAATCTCCAGGCCCAGGAGTCTCAGAATGAAAGGCTTCTAGGAGGCAGAGGTAGGCCTGGAGATTGGGAAAATGGGAAAATATTCAGGGGAAGGTGTGCCAGGTGGATGGACTTGTGTGAGCAAAGAACAGGAAGGTTGAAAGTATAGGGCAGGAGGGGGAGATGGTCAGAAAGTCAATTTGGAGTCAGGTTGGGAAGAGCCCTTGATGCCACGCTCCAGTCTGGAGTTTATTTTGTAGCAGCAAAGCGCTTCTGATGGGTTTAGAATAGAGTACTAAAGCGAAGACATAGAGTCCAGCCAGAAACCCCAAGGGAGGATCCTCACGGCCTCTGGTGAGGAGGGCTTACTCCTCCACAGAGGCCATTGCTCCATCTCCCAGTCCTTCTGACACTCTCTCTTATTCCTGCACCTACAAAGTTTGGGATCCTGCTGTGGCTCACAGTGGAGCCTCCTCCACATCCAGGGCTGGCCTGGGCAGTTTCTTGGCTCCCTCTGCTCCTCTTACTGGCATCAGGTTTCAGAAAGCTTCTGTTTCCTGCTGCCACCCTCCCACAGGTGTGGCAGCCTCAGTATTCTGTGAGCTCCACGCGGGGTCCTATAGCAAGGGCCTGAAGATGGATGCTGAGAGCCACCCCTAAGAGGGATGAGAACTCAGGTCTGGTGAAAGAATGCAGCACCTGGAAGTGCTTTGCCCTGGTGCCCTGGATTCCGCTGGTCAAGGTCACAACTCCAGAGTCCTGCCTACCCTCCCTCCCCACCTGCACCTGTAGCAGGATAAGCCACAGACGAAACCCCTCAGACACCGAGTTAAAGAAGGAAGGGTTTTATTCGGCTGGGAGTGTCGGAAAGACTCACATCTCAAAAACTGCGCTTCCCAAGTGAGCAATTCCTATCCCTTTTAAGGGCTTACAGCTCTAAGGGGGTCCACAGGAGAGGGTCATGATTGATTGAGCAAGCAGTGGGTATGTGACTGGGGTAATCAGAACGGAACAGAACAGCAGGGATTTTCCCAGTGCTTTTCCATACAATGTCTGAAATCTATAGACAACACAAGCAGTTAGGTCAGGGGTTGATTTTTAACTACCAGGCCCATGGCGTGGTGCTGGGCTATCTGCCTGTGGATTCCATTTCTGCCTTTTAGTTTTTACTTCTTTCTTTGGAGGCAGAAATTGGGCATAAGACAATATGAAGGGTGGTCTCCTCCCTTACACCCTCTTTCTCAGCTCTTTTTACGAGTTCAGATTCTCCATTTACCTGCTTGTCTTCCCCAACAGACTGCCAGCTCCTGGAAGACAGGGACTTATCTGACTCACCCATGGGCCATAGGGCCTGGCTGCAAGCAGCCTAGTGAGGACTTCCTAACCTCAACTAAACTGCAGGGCTCACTGTGGGCAGGAAGTAGGGGAGCAGCTATACTAGCTGCTGCCCTGGACCTGCCATGAGCCATTGATATCCATTATTTCCAACTCACAGCCACCCTGACAGAGCTTAGGGGGGACTTTTTGATTGTCTGCATTGCCACAGAAATTCAGGAATGGGGAAATCATGGGCAAAGATGAGAGACAGAAATCCTACTTATCCTTTTCTGGTAAAGAAGTGTGCTGGTAAGAAAACGGGTTACAAGGCCAGACACAGTGGCTCATGCCTGTAATCCTAGCACTTTGGGAGGCCAAGGCGGGCGGATTGCCTGAGCTCAGGAGTTTGAGACCAGTCTGGGCAACACGTGAAATCCTGTCTCTACTAAAATACAAAAAATTAGCTGGGTGTAGTGATGCAAGCCTGTAGTCCCATCTACTTGGAAGCAGAGGCAAGAGAATCACTTGAACCTGGGAGGTGGAGGTTGCAGCGAGCTGAGATGATGCCACTGCACTCCAGCATGGGTGGCAGAGTGAGACTCCATCTCCCCAACTAAGAAAAAATAAAATGAGTAACAAAGGTGGCTGGAAGGTGTGGGTCTTGTTGCAAGCTTCCTGGAGACCCACTGATTTAATAGCCTTACAAATGTGCATATTATTTGGTCCATCTAGCCATTCCACTTGAAACCTGGCCAAAAAAAAAAAAAAGAGACATAGCCTTCAATACAATTAAAGATACAGAACAAAGCAAAAGATTGTATCACTGTTTTCTTTCTTTTTTCTTTCTTCTTTCTTTTTTTCTTTCTTTCCTTTCATTCTTTCCTCTCTTTCTTTCTTTCCTTCTTTCTTCTTTTTTTGAGAGAGGGTCTCTCTCTGTCACACAGCCTGGAGTGCAGGGTTGCACTGCACTTGATTTTCAGGCATCTAAGGCAGGATATTGCTTAAGCCCTGGAGTTCAAAGCTGTGGTGAGGTATGATCCTGCCACTCCACTCCAGTCTGGATGACAAAACAAGACCCTGTGTCAAAAAAATAAAGTGTGCAGTTTAATAAGTTCCAAAATACATGTGCACCCATAAAGCCATTACCACAATCATAACAATGAATATGCCCATCACACCTCCAAATTTCCTATGTTCCTCGGTAATCTCTTGCTCGACCCCTCCCTGCCTCTTCCCTTCACATTGTTAGGCAAGCAATGATCTTTTTTCTGTCAGTATCAGTCAGTTTGTTTCCAGAGTTTTATAGAAATGGAATCATAACTCTGTCTCTCTCTGTGGCTTCTTTCACTCAGCATAATTATTTTGAGATTCATCCCTGTTGAAGTATGTGTCAATAGCACATTCTGTTTCACTGCTGAGTCATATTCAATTGTGTGGATATGTCACAGTTTGCTTATTTATTCACCTGATGATGGACATTTTCACTGGTTCCAGTTTGGGGTTATTACAAAGAAAATGAAACATTTGTAAGCAGTCTTTGTGTGAACATATGCTTTCCTTTCTCTCTTTCTCTTGGGCAAATATTTGGTAGTGGAATGGCTAGATTATATGATAGGTGAACATTTACCTGTTTAGGAAACTCCCAATTTTTTTCTCAAAGTAGTTTTACCATTTTACATTCCCACCAACAGTGTGAGTGTTCCAGTTGTTCCACATGATAATATAAACTTGGTATGGTTAGCCATTTTCATTTTAGCCATTTTAATATGTGGAGAGTAATTTCTCATTTTGGTTTTAGTTTGCATTTTCCTTATTTCTGTTGCTTCCAAATACAGACTACTGTTTATGTTGGGCATCTTTTTATGTGCATATTTGCCATTTGTATATCTTCTTTTGTCAAAGACATTTGAACAAGAGCAACTCCATCTCGAAAAGGGGCTGGGTAAATAGAGGCTGAAACCTACTGAGCTGCATTTCCAGGAGGTGAGGCATTCTTACTCACAGGATCAGACAGAAGGTCAGCACAAGATACAGGTCATGAAGACCTTTCTGATAAGACAGCATGCAGTAAAGAAGCCAGCCAAAACCCACCAAAACCAAGACGGTGATGAAAGTGACCTCCGGTCATCCTCACTGCTCATTATATGCTAATTATAATACATTAGCATGCTAAGAGGCACTCCCACCAGCACCAAGACAGTTTGCAAATGCCAAGGCAACGTCAGAAAGTTACTCTATATAATCTAAAAGGGGGAGGAACCTTCCTCATTCAGGAAAACTCACGAATAATCCACCTTCTGTTGAGCATACAATCAAGAAATAAGTATAGTCAGTAGAACCAGCTCATGTCCCATCTCTGCCTGTGGTACAGCCAGTTTTCATTCCTTTACTTTTCTAATAAACTTGCTCTCACTTTACTCTATGGACTCGCCCCATATTCTTGCTGGACAACCAAGAACCCTCTTTTGGGGTCCAGATCAGGACCCCTTTCCTGTAACACCTTGGTGAGGCCTATTCAAATCTTTGGTCAGTTTTAAAAATCAGTTTTTTCCGTATACACTCTGGAAACATGTCTCTTATCAAATATATGATTTGCAACTACTTCCTCCCAGTCTATGGCTTATATTTTAAAAATTAAAAGTTTTTAAATTTTTTGATAAAATCTAATTTGTTAATTTCTTATTGCACGCATTGTGTTTTTCATGTCTTATGGAAGAAATCTTTGCTTAATTCATTGTCATAAAAGTTTTCTTTTAAAAGTTTTCATCTAGAGACCACAAAGTGAAGTGATCTGGACCTGGAGATGTTTTTGTGAGCAAGTTTTTAACTAGAAATTTAATTTTTTTTTAGAAATTTAATTTTTAAAATAAATACATGCCATTTAGATTTTTTTTTCTTGGATCAGTTTTTGTAGTTTGTGTCTCAAATGTATTTTAAGTTCTAAAATTTAGTGACATAAAGCTGTTCAGACTATTTCCTTATCCTTTTTACATCTGTGAACATCTGTAGCTATGTCACATCTTTTAGTCTTGATATTGTTATTTTGTGCCTGTTCTCTTTTCTCCCCTGACTGACTAGTCTAGATATAGGATAATCAATTTTATTAATTTTTTTTAGAAAACTAGCTTTGATTCTATTGACCTTTCTCTCTGTGTGTGTGTGTGTGTGTGTGTGTTGTTTTCTATTTCATTGATTTCTGTTTTGGTCTTTGTTATTTTCTCTTTTCTCTTTGGGTTTAATTTTACTTTTTCTAAATTTTTAAGTTTAAAGCTTAGGTCATTGATTTAGACCTTTTTTTCCCCTAATATGATTACTAATGATATAAATTTACCCCAAGCTCATTTTCAGAGGCAGCTCACAAACTTTAGTGTTTTTATTTTCATTCAGTTCAAAATACTTTCTGATTTTCCTTTTGATGTCTGCTTTGACCCATGGATTATTTAGAGCATGTTGACTTTTTATCATGGGTTTGGGGCAATTTTATTGTGATGTGTCATAATTTTCTTTGCAATTCTTGCACTTTGAACTTTTCATAATTTACCAAATTTGCTAATTTTTTGGCTGCTTCTTCAAATATATTTTTGATCCCCTCCTCTTTCTCCTCTCCTTTGGGGACTGCTATCATATATATATATATGTATATATATGTTAGGGAGCTTCAAGTTATTGTACTACTAGCTCACTGATGCACTCTGGATTTTAAAAATTCTTTTTGTTCTCTCTCTCTGTTTCATTTTGAATAGTTTTTGTGGTTCACTAATCTTTTCTTCTGCAATTTCTAATTTGCATAAGATGAAGATTTGAGGTTTCTGTATCTTGATGTGTTAGGCCTTCCAACCTTCTGCTGGTTTTTTGAACATGTGTGTTGCCCTTGGTGAGAACATGATCACTGTGCTTGTGCATAGATGCCTTTACTTTACCCTGTATTCACTTCCCATGACCTTTCTCTCCGCCTCTTTTCTCTGTGTCTCCATGCCAAATGAAAAACAATATTTTCCTTCATTGGAGGGAACAAGTAAGAGTCTTAGGATTTCCAAGGGAATCCTAGCATTGTAAAGGTTTTGAGGAAAGAGGCTGCAGGCCCGGCCAGAGGAAGAAAATCCACTTTGTTTGGAGTGGAGTTCTGCCGCACTCATGTCAGATGACTTTCACATTTTAAAGAGATTTCTTTATAACACTAAGACATTCTTTGTAAAAATTCAAGTGGACTTGACTAAGCTGAGGGTTCAGAAAATGGAATATGAGACATGGGCTTTTTGTGGAAAACAAAGATTGAGAGGGAACTTCCCCATAGTAAAAGCAAAATGGGAAGTGCAGGGTGAGACCCTTTTACACAGAGTGGTGGAGAGAAAATAGAATACTGGAAAGATTCGCCTAGATGCAGAGTGGCCTACAGAGAAACCGCAGCCCTGTTTTTATTTCTCTGGAGTCTCCAAATGGATTATTCAAGGAGCATCCTGTGTAAAGAATTGAGTCAAGGAAAATATTCATACAACCAGCCTGAGTCAATGAGGCAGTGAGAGGGTGGTACACACGCTGGTGATTATTTCATACCAGCAATGCTTATTTCACTGAGGATATTTGAACCTTCAAATCCTCTTCTCTAACAGCCATTTGTGACCCCAAGAGTTGTGTGGAACATTTTCTTTTAAAACACCCTCTCTACATTTCCCATATACTCAGTTTAGCTCTCAGAGAAGGAGCTAAATTATAAAGACAGTGAAGAGTCATCTGAAGTAGTTCTTGGATGTAAAGAAGAAGAGGGTGACTTCAGCAGGCTTTGTATCAAAATCAGGCTGAAGGCTTGTTATGGGTCTTTGTACCTCTTCTCTCTCCCTCCAGCTGCTGCCTGCCTCCTGCCTCTGTCCCTCAGGGCTTGCTGACTCTGCCTTAGTCCTGGGGCTGGCTATTCAGTGGGCTCCTCACTTCTGGCAGTGTAATAGCAACAGAATGTGATTCTTGGGGTACCCCTTGGGGAGCTGAAGGTGGCTGTATTGATGGATCTATTTTGGGACGCAGGAGAAAAGATGCACAGCCCCATCTTCATGCACAGCCTCATCTTCCAGGAGCCATGACTCAGAGGAAAAGGGTGCTTGGATTTTGTTATAGCCATTTGCTTTGTGGAAATTAATGTTTACCATTTTGTATAAAAGAGAGAATATGCATTAGGTCTTCCAACTGTTTATTTTTTAGCTTCCAACTGTATATGTTTATAGATTTTTAAACCAAGATGCTTTATATATATTTTTTTGTGGAAGTATGATAAGTTTTATGGTGCATGGTTGGTACTGTAAACTTGTTTTTCAACTCTATTTTAGATTAAGGGGGTACATATGCAGGTTTGTTTGATGTGCATATTGTGTGATGTTGCTGTTTTGGGTATGAGTGATCTTGTCACCCAGGTACTGAACATAGTACTCAACAGTTTTTCAACACTTGCTTCCCCTCCTTCCTACATCTACTAGTTCCCAGTGTCTATTGTTGCCATATTTATGTTCATGAGTACCCAACGTTTAGCTCCCACTTATATCTGAGAAAATTCAGTATTTGATTTTCTGTTTCTGAATAAATTTGTTTAGAATAATGGCCCCCAGCTGCTTCCATGTTGCAGCAAAAAAACCCATAATTTTATTCTTTTTATGGCTGCATAGTATTCTGCGGTGTATATGTGCCACATTTCTAAAATCCAGCCTACCACTCATAGGTTACTACGTTGATTTCATGTCTTTGCTATTGCACATAGTGCTGCAATAAACAAGTGAGTGCATGTGTCTTTTTGGTAGAATAATTTTTTAAAGATAAATACCCAGTAATGGGATTGCAGGGTAAAATTGTAGTTCTAAGTTCTTTGAGAAATCTCCAAACTGCTTTCCACAGTGGCTGAACTGATTTACATTCCTACCAGGAGTGTATAAGTTTTCTGTTTTTCCCACAGTTTCACCAACATATGTCTTTTGTTGACTTTTTAACAATATCCATTCTGACTGGTGTGAGATGATATCTCACTGTGGTTTTGATTTGCATTGCTCTGATGATTAGTGATGTGGAGCATATTTTCACATTTGTTGGTGCTTGTAAGTTCTCTTTGGATAAATATCTGTTCATGTTTTTGCACATTTTAAAATAGGTTTATTTGTTTTCTGCTTGTTTAATTGTTTATATTTCTTACAGATTCCAGAAATTAGACCTTCATCAGATCCATAGCTTGCAAATATTTTCTTTCATTCTATAGATTTTCTGTTTACTCTGTTGATAGTTTCTTTTGCTAAGCAGAAGCTTTTCAGTTTAATTAAGTCCCACTTGTTAATGTTTGTTTTTCCAGAAATTGCTTTTGGAGACTTAGCCAAAAATTCTTTCCCAAGGCTAATGTCAAGAAATATATTTCCTAGGTGGCATTGTAGCATTCTTATAGTTTGAGGTCTTAAATTTAAATCCTTAATTGATCCTGTGTTAATTTTTGTATACGGCCAAAGGTATAGGTCTGGTTTTACTCTTCTGCATATGAGTAGCTGGTTATCCCAGCACCATTTATTGAATAGAGAGTGCTTTCTCCATTGCTTATTTCGCCAGCTTAGTTAAAAATTAGATGGCTGTAGGTGTGCAGGTTTATTTCTGAGTGTTGTATTCTGTTCTATTGGTCTGTGTGTCTGTTTTTGTACCAGTACCATGCTATTTTGGTCACTATAGCCTTATAGTATATTGGAAGGTAGACAGAGTGATGTTTCTTGCTTTCAGGCAAAGTAGATCCTGAGTCCCAGCCAACTGCTTAGTAGCTTTGGGGCAGTTATATAAACCTCATCTGCAAGAAAAGGCATAATAAAATTGATTGCATAAATGACAAATTTTTTTTGGCCAGGCGCAGTGGCTCACACCTGTAATCCCAGCACTTTGGGAGGCCGAGGTGGGTGGATCACCTGAGGTCAGGAGTTCGAGACAAGCCTGGCCAACATGGGGAAACACATCTTTACTAAAAATAGAAAAAGTTAGCCAGGCATGGTGGTATGTGCCTGTAATCCCAGCTACTCCGGAGGCTGAAGCAGGAGAATTGCTTGAACCCAGAAGGCAGAGGTTGCAGTGAGCTCAGGTCATGCCATTGCACTCCAGCCTGGGTGACAAGAGCAAAACTGCATCTCAAAAATAAAAAAGACAAATATTTTAAAATTTCTTCTTGTATTCATGCCCTTGGCAGTGGCTTTTATAGTCGTTCCCATCAAGAGACAGATTCTGCTTCCCAAACCTTGACTCTTTCTTGCCTTATTTGCACTGGCCAAAGCTGTGCACATGACAGTATGTCAGTTTGGTACCTAGGTTCAAACAGTTTTAAATGCTTCGTTTTGTTTTTCAGAACCCTTTCATCTCTATTAGAACAAGCCCATTTAACTTTCTGGAGGATAAAATAGCATGCTAAGAAAAGCCAAAGTGCCCCAGTTTACAGACAGCTCACTCCCAGAAGCAGAGCCACCTAATTCACCAGCAGCTGAACACTCATGCCTGAAGGAGCCAAACTGAGCCCAGAATAGCCTTGCTGAGCCCAGCCTAAATTTCCAACCACCTCAATCATGAGCTAGTATGTTTTGAGATTGTTTGTTATGCAGTTATAGCTTAGTAATATATATACCCATTAAATACAGGATGCCAGGACAGATTGATTACAAATAACCTGCAAACGCTCGGCACCCTGTAAGTATTGATTTTATTTTCCCTTTATTTAATAGATTTGTTGTAAGATGGTATTCAGTTATTCAGAAGTGAGGTAGGAGAATAGGGTGTAGAGGCAGGGAACTTAAGGCCAATTTGTGCTGACTTCCTAAAAGAAAAAACACCAAGATCTGGGGGCAGGGAACCTAAGACCAGTTAAGGCCAACTTCCAACAGCTAAACCGAAAGAAAAAGAACCCGTCCCCCCACACCAGAGTGGCAAAGGATCAAAGGCTACTCTCCCTACAACCCACCCCGTTCCACCACTCCTCAGACGGAAAGGGAGAGTGCCTTGGAGTGGCCACAGGCTAAGCACACGCCATCCCTTCATCTGCATAGGATGTCAATTCCTGTCAGTTTTTAATTAGCCACAGACCAAATCCTTCATCCAGATAAGGGGCAGCCAATAGGGACCCCAAAAGCTGTACTTAAAACCCAGAAAACTTTGTAACCAGGTCCTTGAGCCATTTGCTCGAGCCCACGCCCACCCTGTGGAGTGCCTTCTCACTTTAATAAATTTCTACTTTTGCTGCTTCTTCCGGTGTTTTGTTCCTCTGTTACTTTCTGCGTTTTGTTCAATTCTTTGTTCAAAATGCCAAGGATCTGGACAACTCACACTTACGGCCTTCCTTCTGGAACAGAAGTGCAGGTAGATGTGGATGCAAGTGATCGGTGCTTAAACTCACAGCATGCCCCACGCCACAGGAGAAAAACACACAGTTACAGCCTGACAATTAGGTCCAAAGATAAATAAGAAACAAGAAGTTTGCCTTTAATCCATTCCCTCTACATCTAAACTTTGGAGGTCAAGGCTGCGAAGATATCTGAAGACATTGTGTTCTCTCCTACTGGAGCCCCATCATTCTTTGTTTATTGTCTGATATTTAAAAGGAAAACAAACCTCTGAGAGAGGAAGCAGTCAGAGGCTGGTTAGGCAGATAGAGAGGGAGGGTTTTGGGACAGAAAAAACACCCACAGGACCGCACCAGCACTGCCCCTGTAGCTAGCAGGAAGAAATGTGGTTAACAACTTCCTTATGCCAGGATGTTGCTCAGAAGGGATTTTTTCAACTTAGGTGCAGGCGCAATAAATCAACCTAAATGTCCTAAACTTGACCCAGCTTATTAGAATATCGTACACACGACATTAGCATTGTTGTTTTAGCACACCCCTTCCCCCATTTCTCCAAGTTTTTGCTTAGGCACTCATGGGTAATAACTAAGATGGAGTCACTGTGGCCCACCCCAGGCATGCACAGATGCAATACCCTTAGTGGGGAACTTACCCCTCCCATTTAGGCAGAACCCCAGAAGACTTCCTTTTTCTTGCCCCATAAAAGACCCAGAACTCGGATGCATGAAGTGGCTCACGCCTGTAATCCCAACACTTTGGGAGGCAGAGGCAGGTGGATGACTTGAGGTCAGGAATTCAAGACCAGCCTGGCCAACAACATGGTGAAACCCCATCTCTACAAAAATACAAAAAATTAGCTGGGCATGATGGTGGGTGCCTGTAATCCCAGCTACTCAGGAGGCTGAGGCAGGAGAATCACTTGAACCAGGGAGACAGAGGTTCCAGTGAGCTGAGATCAAACCACTGCACTCCAGCCTGGGCAACAGAGCAATACTCTGTCTCAAAAAAAAAAAAAAAAGAAAAAAGAAATTAGGCCCATTTCAGGCAACCTGCTTTCAGGTCCCCTTTTGCTGCTGAGAGCTTTCCTTTTGCTTAATAAATCCTACTCTGCCAAACTCACTCTCTGGTATTGCCATGCTTCATTCTTCTTGGTCGTGGATGAGAGGCTAGACCTGGCTGAACTGAGGAGACCACCACATCTCTACAAAACAGCAACTGGGAGACCGTGGTCTTCACGTGGACACTCTCAGCTTGCAGCCCCTGCTCTCTCTAGGGGTTCTGTCCCACCCACCCTTGATCCTGAGGAGAAAAGTTGGTAGAGAGGCTGTTCCCTCACTTCCAGCAGAAAAGACGTGTTCAGGCCCTCAATTCCCTGAGGTCAGAACCCTCATGTCTGCACTCAATGTGGCAGCCACCTGCCATATGTAGCTACTGGGTACCTGGAATGTGGATGGTTTGAAGTAAAATGTGCTGCAAACAAAAAATGCACAGTGAGTTTAGAATAATTATACCAGAAATATACTTTACTTCTTTTTTTTTTTTTTTTTTTGAGACGGAGTCTTGCTCTGTCGCTCAGGTTGGAGTGCAGTGGTGCAATCTCGGCTCACTGCAAGCTCTGCCTCTCGGGTTCACGCCATTCTCCTGCCTCAGCCTCCTGAGTAGCTGGGACTACAGGTACCCGCCACCACGCCTGGGTAATTTTTTTGTATTTTTAATAGAGACGGGCTTTCACCATGTTAGCCAGGATGGTCTCGATCTCCTGACCTCGTGATCCACCCACCTCAGCCTCCCAAAGTGCTGGGATTACAGGCGTGAGCCACAGCGCCTGGCAAAATATAGGTATTCCTAATTATGTGTCTGGAGTTGGTTCCTTCCGGTGGGTTTGTGGTCTTGCTGACCAAGAATGAAGCCACGGACCTTTGTGGTGAGTGTTACAGCTTTTAAAGATAGCACGAACCCAAAGAGTGAGCAGTAGCAAGGTTTATTTTGAAGAGGGAAATAACAAAGCTTCCACAGCATCGAAGGGGACCCCAGTTGGTTGCCACTGCTGGCTGGGGTGGTCAGCTTTTATTCCACCTCCCATTTCCCCTTAATTGTGCCCTCCCGTGTTCCGTTTTTGTCCTATCACAGTGCCCTTTTTTCAATCCTCCCTGCAATTGGCTACTTTTAGGATCCTGCTGATTGGTGCATTTTACAGAGTGCTGATTGGTGCATTTTACAATCCCCTTGCTAGCTACAGAGCACTGATTGGTGCGTTTTTACAGAGTGCTGATTGGTACATTTTACAATCCTCTTGTAAGACAGGAAAGTTCTCCAAGTCCCCAGTTTACCCAGGAAGTCCAGCTGGCTTCACCTCTCAATTATATATTGATCACATATTAAAACAATAATATTTTGGATATAGTAGGCTAAAATTATCACAAACAATCTCACTTGTTTTTATTATTTTCGATGTGGCTAATAAAAAATTGAAAATTCACTAATAGCTAACATTTTATTTTTTAGAGGATTACTTCCTTCTTAAAATCTCATGTGTCCTACTCAAAAGACCAGAGGCCAGAAAGGTTATAAAACATTAAAATAATTGTCATTATATTGTTTCCGTTTGTGAACAAGTTTGTGTATGCACGCGTGCATGTGTACGTGTGTGTGCATGTGCGTGCATGCATGCGTGTGTGTATAATTTATATTATAAATGGACCTAACCTTACATACCACAAGGTTAAAAAAATGACCACTGGGCTGTACCAAGCCAAGCACAGAGATAACACCCCAGCCTGGGCCGGGCGTGGTGGCTCACGCCTTTAATCCCAGCATTTTGGGAGACATAGGCGAACAGATACCCTGAGGTCAGGAGTTCAAGACCAGCCTGGCCAACATGGTGAAACCCTGTCTCTGCTAAAAATACAGAAATTGGCCGGGTGTGGTGGTGGGCACCTGTAATCCCAGCTACTTGGGAGGCTGAGGAGAATCGCTTAAACCCGGGAGGCAGAGGTTGCAGAGAGCCGAGTTCGCGCCACTGCACTCCAGCCTGGGCGAGAAGAGCCAGACTCAAAAAACAAACACAAAAAACCTGCCTCAAAGTACCAGGAGGCCAGAGCCTGTCACTCTCGCCTCATTCAGTGCTGTGTATGGTTGCAACTTCTGTCACTCAAGGCCTGAGGCGGGAGACTTACAGCTCTATCCAATTAGAGCGCTGGATTGACAACTGCCGAATGAGGCGCGCAGCAGAGAGGAGGGTGCGGCATCCGGGATCTGGCGCGGCTTTTGCTTGTAGCTCCAGCCAGAGCTCGGTTAGGGCCTCATCGCTCTGCTCCCGCTCCTTAGGGAAGCCTCGGTGATTCTGCCACAGCCTCAGCCTCTGTGGCTCTGTGACCTGCCGGTATTGGATGATTCGTATCTAAGACTCTGGGACACTCCTGAAGTCGGGAAATGGTGAGTGTGCAGGGCAGGGCGTCCCAAGGCTGTGGAGGCCTCATCGGAACCGGCGGGAAATGGCGGCGGTGGGAGGAGTCTGTGAATGGAGTTCCCGCTCAGCCCTCTGTCCTCAGTCCCCTCCGGTGAGGGACCCGCGCTCTTGTCAGTCCCCGTACAGCGGCTCTGGCCCAGCCTGCAGCCCTCCTTGTGCAGCTCTGCGCCGGTAGCCCTGCACTTTCCCCGGGCTGTGGAGTGAGTAGGAGCTCATCCGGAAGACACCGCGGCGGCCTGCGCGGTGCCGGCGTGGGAGGAGCTGTGGTCCGGAATCCCGTCCCTACTTTACCCTGTTCAGAATGAGATTGAGGCCCCATCAAAACATGGAGTTCATGTGAGCAAACAGGACTTATTAATGGGAAAGCTCTGCCGTGGCTCGTGGTTTGGGGACTGCCAGCGGGTCTTGAAGGAAAGGCTTTTGTGAGGTGTGTGAGGAAGCGAAGCAAATCACCTGCCTGCGCCAACTTTGCCGCCAGTCCCCTTGCCCTGTGCGCCTCCTCCGCGTGGCTGTTCCTGAATACGCTGGTGTCTGTTCGCATCTTTTAGAATACGCTGGTGTCGGTGCGCACAGCGCTTCTCTTAGTTCTGTGAGTAGTTCTGCCACATTATTGAACTTGAGGAGGGTGTGGGCGTCCCTGGTTTGTAGGCAGGGGTTCAGAAATGAAGACGGGTGTCCAGAGGCAGGGACTGGCGTCTGCAGGAGAGCAGCTGCGGGAAGAGTGCTGAGCTTGTGGGGTCAGCGCTGACTCTGGGTGGTGTCGTTAGTGAGTTGCTGGACACCCCGTTGGGGTTGGAGCATTGACTGGTGTTGAGGAAACTCCGCAAGTTTTCTGTCAGAAGAAAGACATGGCCGAGTCTGGGTTGGAGGAAGTCACCTGGTGTCCGCAGGAGGCGCGGCCGGGTTCTGCACAGGCGCTGTCCCGCTGGGCACTGTCCTCTTCCTCCAGGCCTCCTCCCGGGGAGAAAGGGGACTGGGAACTTAGAGGAAAGCAGTTCTAAGAAACATCCCTTCCCCGCATCCTGCTGCCAGCCCCCACCCAATGCTAACCCACTCCTGAGCACGCCCACTGGGCATTCGCACGGCCACACCTGGCCTAAGACAGGGTTCTACCCTCAGGAATTGTGCCCATGGCAGTTTTGCTCCTACAGTTTTCTGCCAAAAGCACACGCAGTGCCCAGAAGACTCCTGGCTCATCTCAACCCCAGATCTGTTTAGCAGGAGCCCGTTTCCTTCTCCAACCCAGGCTTCTGGACCATCTGATCTTAATCTCCTATGCCTTTATGGACTCAGGAATCAGTCAGTGCGTAGCCCTGCCTGGGCCTGTACCTGTAGCACAAACCAGTCCTTTCATCAGTTGTGCCCTGCCCCCACCCCATGGCTCTTGATAGCTCCTTGCTGTCTTGTGCTTTTTCCTTCCCCACAAATCCTCTTTTCTGTGCATACAGTGTGCCCAAGTTCATCCCTTACGTGCCTACAAGAATTCAGACGTTAGGGAATTCAAGACCATGCCTTAGACCTGGCTGTTGTAGGAGCAAATACAAATTAGAAGAGGCTTAATGATTTCTCTTTAGAGTGAGGGAAGAATTTTTGCTCTTCTCCCTTTTCTTAAAGCATTTAGGTGGAAAATTTTTATAATTATTTTCACCAGTTTTTGAAATATATGTAAATCATTTTTATCAGTTAAATAGGTCATTTGTCTTTTTTGACTCAGACTTGTCTTTATCTAGGACTTGGGAACTATTGCTTTGAAATGTGAATAGCAAGAATATATCCCACAGTTTCTGTAGGAGGGTGGGAGGCTGCCTTCAGCAGGTACCTGGCTCCACATTGTGGGTCTACGTCCTGTCATGAAGATGTGGGAAGTTTATTTTTCTTTTGAATATTACCAATTAGAAAACCCAGATTACCTCCCAAATTACTAGGTGAAATAATAAACTGTGTAAATGGTGCTTTCAAGTCTTCTACTTAAGAACTAATGGTGACTTTTTTTCTGTGTTTGCAGTCTCTTAGTAGATTGCCTGTGATGCACATCACATTTTGGTTTAATTATATAACAAAACATTTTCTTGCTGTTCTATTATGGTGGAAAATTTTTTTAGGATTGGAGATAATTTTTCTCTTTTTTTTTTTTTTTAAGACGGAGTCTTCGCTGTGTCGCCAGGCTGGAGTGCAGTAGTGCGATCTCGGCTCACCGCATTCTCCACCTCCCAGGTTCAAGCGATTCACCTGCTCAGCCTCCTGAGTAGTTGGGATTACAGGCGCGCCACCACACTCAGCTAATTTTTTTGTATTTTTAGTAGAGACGGGGTTTCGCCATGTTGGCCAGGATGGTCTCCATCTTCTGACCTCATGATCCACCGGCCTTGGCCTCCCAAAGTGCTGGGATTATAGGCGTGAGCCACCGTGCCTGGCTGAAAATTTTTCTTTTAGTCATATTTTCCATGCACTGTTTAGAAGTACTGGACGTTATATACAAAGTGCCCACCAGGCTTCACTTGAGAGAAAAACCTTTCTTCTCAGGATTCCAGCCACAACCCACAATTGTATGACAAAGTGCAGCAAGGTGCTCCCCAAATCTGCAAACAAAATAGTCTCTCTATTTGGGATCTACAGTCCCTTCTAGAGCAGTTAGACTAGATTTCTACAAAAATCACTTCAGGACAGCAATCAGTTATTTCACCTCCTTCAGTGCTCCTGTCATCTTCAGATCTGACACGGATTCAGAGATCACGGGGCCCATAAACCCAACCAGGATCATACATGTGCATTGATTAAACTTGAGAACTTCAATTCTCTCCCTCCTCCCTTTGCCCAAATGCCCGCAAATGTGCATAGCTCACCAGCCCTCCAAGACCTAAATGTGCAGTTCCAAATTCTGAATTTATTTTCTGGGATTTGAGAGAAGAAAAGAACTTTTATTTGAGAAATACATGTTCTTTTAATGATCAGACCCAGAGACTGGTTAAAATGAGACCACAGTGATGTACTGTTCCCGTCTTTGAACTATTTGTCTTTTGAAATTGCTTGCTATTGGCACAAGTGGCTATAAATTAACCTAATAATGCCACACTGGACACTATAATCCACACCCAATAGCTTAACAATGTATATAACCAATCACTAACCAATGTTACTTCTGTAAATAAGAATTCCTGACAACTTTCTATCCTGCCTTCCTTTTTGCCTTTACAAATATACTTGTAATTGGAGTGTATATTCAGGTAGCTTTATACTCCAGGATTGCAGTCTTCAAGCTTTGGCCCCAGAAAACTCTCTACTTATATTATGTTTATCCCAGTATTTCCTTTTAGGTCAAAATATTCTTAAGAATGTGTTGAAGGAGCCTCCATGAGGTGATCTCTCCTCTGGTTTTACTCTGCTTACTCTAACCCCTAAGAATGTAGAGGCACATTGATCCCACCTAGAATCTGCATACAAAAGTTGGCCTCTGCCTGGGATTCCCAACACTGGACCAGACTTTGGGTTGAAGACATACGAAAAACTCACAGAAGACATTTTCTGCATCATGAGAGGTCAATGTAGACATCTTAAGCCCCATTTTTAGAGTGGGGCCCTTTGAGTTTTCCAGATCTTGTTCAGTGACCTGCTACAGCTGTGTGAGAGGCTTCTGATGGGAACAGAATCCTGTGGCAGAATCTTTAAGTGTAAACAAGCATCTTAGCAGTGGGAGGTAAGGCCACAAAATATCCAGAGCCTTAATGACAACCATAATCACAAGTGTACCTTCCTCCTCTATACTGTGTTATGGGAGTAGAGTACTTTTGTCCTTCTTCTTACCTCAGAGTTAGCTGATCAGGGACAGGGGATATCACATCTGGAGCCAAGATGTGCAGGACCACCAGGACAGCGCCATTTTCTGTTTGCACCACACAAAGTCAGCCTGAGTGTCTCCTCCGTGGATCACTATGAGGGCATCATTACTCAGCATCTTTGAGTAATGAGACATTTGAGGATGTCATGTGCAGACTGGGGTCAGTCTGACAAGGTCTAATTCTGCTCCCATTTCAGAGGAAGATAAGTGACTCATGCAGGGTTTGTTCCTCCCCTCACAGAAAGAATCTCCTTGGTTTGTACCCAGATAAGAATTGCTCCAGTTTTCTGGTTCTTTGGTGAAAAATGAGGAATCTGGAGACTCAAACTGATCAATAAGCTAATTGCTTCTATTTCATATGATCATTAGAAAAAGACATAAAGCAGTCATGGTCCCTACCATCAAGGAACTTGCAGTCTAGAGCACATGAATAAATGATTGAATTCAGCATCGTGTGTTCAGTACAAAGACAGAAACTGTATGGAGACTTAAGCTTAATTTGTGTTACTTCCCTTTTATTGTTTTGTGAGTTTTAATGCCACCATCTGATCAGCTGTTCATTGACAGAAGAGAAATTGTTGTTATTATTTGTGTTGTTTTTACCTTGCTAAGAATAAATAATTAGCTTCTAATATAATTGGTCTAGAAAAACATAAGGGTTTTGGTTAAATTCCTTGTTATTGTGTGTTATAATGTTATAAAATAGGGAATTAGCTAAAATAGATTAAGATACAGAAACTCTGGGAATCAAATTTCTCTTGGGCAGGCTTAGAAAAGACAAAACTGAAAATACTTACGGGCATAGAGAGCAGATGCCTAGGGCCCACCTTCTGTCCCAGTTCTGCCCAGATCCACCCTCTGCTGAACCTTGTCCAGGTCTTACCCCACACTGAAATCTCTCACAGAACTGCTTAGAGGAGATCAGAGTTTGGGGTGGCTACCCCTACTGCCTCTCCAGAGCTGGTGCTCACAATTTCCTGATACCCAAAAGCAGATAAATGAGGAAAAGCAATATACTTTTGTGCCTTAAATTCTTTTTTATAAAATTAAAGTCAGTGTTTCTAGAGACATCCTATCCAGCAACCTGTTCCCCATCTCTGCAGTTTCAGTGGTTTTTTTCACAAGTCTCATAATAACTACAAACACAAAAATAAAAAATTCCTCTGAATTGCACTTAGCACTTCCTTTCTGTATCTGTCCCGTCTCTCTATATTGAGCTATTATTCTACGCATTTAAAAAAAAAAACAATGATAAGAAAACAGAAGAACAAATAGAAATGCTGGGGCCCTGCATTTAAATCCTGGGAAGCATGGGACTACTTTTCAGGATGTTATAGTATTAACACACATAATGTGAACTTCCCAGCACACTGCTCTATGGCATACTTCTGAGCACATAGTACATGCTCTATAAAGATTGCATTGATGCATATACACGTTTTTCAAATGCAGACTTACTCAGACTTGCCACCATCTTCCGCCTCTGTAAACATTAAAGGGCTTGCAGAGAATGCCGTATTTCAAGATGATGATTGGTGGTCTTGTCTTCGGATGTAAAGTATTTGTGTCGTGATAAGGGTGTTGCAGTGAGGGACTCATGCTGTGACTGCTTTTTCTAGCTGAGTGGTATAATGGGTCTAGGGGGAGGAGTGTCAGCAATAAGAAGACTTGCAATAACAGGAGACTTGCAATAAGAAGCTAATTCATGGACCCTTTTCAAACCTGCAGAATTTTGTTACTTACAGTGAGGCTTTGAATACCAAATAATTTATATGCATTTTGAACCTTAGAGGCAATGCTTGGCTGAGTGACTCTTAGCCCAGTCTTGCAGTAGAATTACATGGACAGTCTGAAGAGAAACCATAACGTGTGCCCTCCCCACAGATCCTGTCTGTTTTTCTGGGTGGAAAAATTCCTGTTTTTGGTTAGGCGCGGTGGCTCACGCCTGTAATCCCAGCACTTTGGGAAGCCGAGGCAGGCGGATCACGAGGTCAGAAGATGGAGACCATCCTGGCCAACATCGTGAAACCCTGTCTCTAATAAACAAAAATTAGCCAGGCATGGTGGCGGGTGCCTGTAATCCCAGCTATTCGGGAGGCTGAGGCAGGAGAATCACTTGAGCCTGGGAGGTGAAGTTTGCAGTGAGCTGAGACCGTACCACTGCACTCCAGCCTGGGCAACAGAGCGGGACTCCGTATTAAAAAAAAAAAAAGAATTCTGTCACTTGATAAATGTGTATTTTCAGGAACTCTTAACATTCAAGGATGTGGCCATAGAATTCTCTCCAGAAGAGTGGAAATGTCTGGACACTTCCCAGCAGAATTTATATAGAGATGTGATGTTGGAGAACTACAGAAACCTGGTCTCCCTGGGTAAGGATAACTTTAATATGTAATTCCTAATACTTTTTCAGAATTTCATTTTCTTCCTTTGTAGAATGTCTCTTGAGAGCTTCTGCTTTGCATGAATTAATTTCAGTTCCTTCACGAAAAAGTTGGGAGTTTGGTGGTATAAAAAATAAAATCTTTAGGATGTTTCATCTTTACATAAACCTTCTTTTGAGCTAATTTGTTTCCTTCGCTCTAGGCTAGTGGTAATTCTAGAAATTAATGATATAAAATAATTGTCTTTCACATCTTAACATGCAATTTGCACTACTTATTTTTGATTCAGTAGTACTCGGTAGTGGAACTTAAAGCCCACAGATTTAAAATACTTAAATATTCTACAGATTCTGTCGGAAAACAATTTTTGGATTAATTTTCTAGAATCTTCCCTAATTTCTCTATTCTACTTAGCATAGTACTAGGTTGGTAATTGGAGTATCCCCAGCAATAGTCATGTTAATTTTTTTTTTAATAAAACAGGTGTTAGTATCTCTAACCCAGACCTGGTCACCAGTCTGGAGCAAAGAAAAGAGCCCTACAATTTGAAGATACATGAAACAGCAGCCAGACCCCCAGGTAGGTGAGAGTGAATGGAGGAGAGGACACAGACAAGGAGGCCAAAAGTCAAGAAGGAAGCCAGGCCTTCAAATGTTGTTTGAGAGGCTGAGCACCGTGGCTCACGCCTGTAATCCCAGCACTTTGGGAGGCCGAGGTGGGTGGATCACCTGAGATCAGGAGTTCAAGACCAGCCTAGCCAACATAGTGAAACCCCGTCTCTACTAAAAATACAAAAATTAGCCGGGTGTGGTGGCGGGCGCCTGTAATCCCAGCTACTTGGGAGGCTGAGGCAGAGAGAATTGCTTAAAAACACAGGAGGCGGCCGAGGCGGGTGGATCATGAGGTCAGGAGATCGAGACCATCCTATCTAACATGGTGAAACTCCATCTCTACTAAAAATACAAAAAATTAGCCGGGTGTGGTGGCGGGCGCCTGTAGTCCCAGCTACTCAGGAGGCTGAGGCAGGAGAATGGCGTGAACCCAGGAGTCGGAGCTTGCAGTGAGCCGAGATCGTGCCACTGCACTCCAGCCTGAGCGACAGAGCGAGACTCCGTCTCAAAAAAAAAAAAAACCCAGGAGGCAGAGGTTGCGGTCGGCTGAGATCGTGCCACTGCACTCCAGCCTGGGCGACAGAGCGAGATTCAGTCTCAAAAAAAAAAAAAAAAACCCAGGAGGCAGAGGTTGTGATTGCGCCACTGCACTCCCTCCTGGGCAATATAGAGCTAGACTCTGTCTCAAATAAATAAATAAATGTAGTTTGGGAAGCTCTGTGACAAAGAAAATAATTTCTGAAAAGGCTGCATTTTTTCTCTTAGGGTCATCTTCTCTCCCATGCTCTTAAATCTAAGAATTCTGTTTTTCCTTTAGTGATCTCCCTTCAAGTTTACAGGGAGTGCCAGTGTCCACTTTATCACTTACAAAGGGCTACATGATCTGACTGCTGTTCATTGCTTTTGGGGACCTGGGAACATTTGTATTATTGAGGAGCTCTATGTTAAAGTTTTTCTTTTTTTCAAATATTGTCTTTGCATCATGTCTAAAATGTGTACGGTGACTAGTGGATATATTGGGATTTGGTTCAGAGATCCCAGGAACACCAGAGACAGTTGTTGCAGGTATTGCATCTTTTCTGCTTAGTGATTTTTAATCCTATAGAGGTTGCAAATGTAATTCTACAAAAATTCTTACTCAGCAATTTTATCAGAACAATAAGTGTTTTCCTAAATATGAAAAAATGTAATTTTATTTTACTTCAAAATGTTATTGTTTTAATATAAACTGAGATTTGTAATTTAAACTCTATTTTTGCAAGTTTTCAAATTATTTAAAGCATGGGTTTCCAACCTTTTGGCTTCCTTGGACCACATTGGAGGAAAAATTGTCTTGGCCACACATAAAATACAGTAACGTGGCCGGACACGGTGGCTCACACCTGTAATCCCAGCACTTTGGGAGACCGAGGGGGCAGATCATGAGGTCAGGAGTTAGAGACCAGCCTGGCAAGCATGGTGAAACCCCATCTCTACTAAAAATACAAAAATTAGCCTGGCATGGTTGTGCGCACCTGTAATCCCAGCTACTTGGGAGGCTGAGGTAGGAGAATTGCTTGACCCCAGGAGGTGGAGTTTGCAGTGAGCTGAGATCGTGCCACAGGCACTCCAGCCTGGGCAACACAGCAAGACTCCATCTTAAAAAAAAAAAAAAAAAAATATATATATATATATATATATATATATATATATGGTAACACTAATAATAGCTGATGAGTTTAAAAAAAAAAAGGTTTGTGAATAATTTTTGTGATATCCACTACCACAGATAAGTAAAAATGCCCTCACATTCAAAGGGTTGGCCACCACTGATTTAAGGTATCTACTCACCTTCTAGATTTCTTAAATGCACTGTCATCAACCAGCTTAGAACATTGCTAAGTGTATAGTAAGCTCTCAATTATTACCTTATTTCTTAATAACTATTATCTTTTAATTTTGTCTTATTTAGTAGGAAGCCTACTGAAGTTCTGTTGAGATCTATCTATATATAAAAATGTGTGTCTCACACACATACACATACCTATATAAGTTATATATGTGTATAATAAATTCTTACTTAACTTTGCTGATAGGTTCTTGGAAACAGTAAGTGAAGCAACATATTAAGTAAACTAATTTTTACCAGAATTTAATACAAGAGTTATGTTTGCATGACATATAGCAACAATGTTCATTTAAAGATGCACTTTTCATGAACCTATTTTGAACATAAAGTGAGGACTTACTGTACATACATGTGCAACCTGGATTTTTCTGATAAATAAAAATTGTATAATGTGTACAGTATAATGATTTGATATGTATATACATTGTAAAATAAAATATAGTCAAGTTAGTGAACACATCTATTACCTCAGGTAGATAACCAGTTTTTTTGTAGTAAGAACACTTAAGGTCTACTGTTGTAGCAAATTGTAAGCATACATTACAGTATTACTAACTATAAATAATGCTATTTTGCTGATCTAATGCTGAATGTACTTTAGATTTTTCAGAGTTACTCAAGTTACAACTAAAAATTTGTACTCTTTGAACAACATTTCCGTATTTTCCACCCTCAGGCACTAACAATCACCATCAATCAATGTTAAAGTTTTTTTGTTTTGTTTTGTTTTGTTTTGTTTTTGAGATGGAGTCTCGCTGTCACCCAGGCTGGAGTGCAGTGGCGCGATATCTACTCACTGCAAGGTCTGCCTCCCGGGTTCACACCATTCTCCTGCCTCAGCCTCCCAAGTAGCTGGGACTACAGGTGCCCGCCACCACGCCCGGCTAATTTTTTGTATTTTTAGTAGAGATGGGGTTTCACCATGTTAGCCAGGATGGTCTCTATCTGACCTCGTGATCTGCCCACCTCGGCCTCCCAAAGTGCTGGGGATTACAGGCGTGAGCCACCGTGCCCAGCCAATCAGTGTTAAAGTTGTTTAAGGTTACACTTAAGTTTCAAAATTGTGTTTTCTATTACTGTGAAAAATGACACTAAAATTTTCACTTTGAATATATAGATCACTTATGATAATACGGTACTTTGACAGTATTAGTTATTCTAATGGAATATTTTTCCATTTATTTGTGTCTACTGAAATTTCTGTCATTAACATCTTATTGTATTTAGTGTATACATATTTAATCTCATCGGTTAAATTTACTATGATTAAATTTTTTATTTTTAAATTGTTGCAAATGAAAATTGTTTCTTTTTTGTTTGTTTGTTTTTGGAAAGTTTGTTGTTACTATTTGGAAATGCAACACATATTTTTATGTTGGGCCAGTTCCAGTGACTCATTTCTGTAATCCCAGCACTTTCAGAGGCCAAGGCTGATAGATCACTTGAGCATAGGAGTTTAAGATGAACCTGGGCAACAGAGTATTAACTCTGAAAATCTGAGACAGGTCTCAGTTAATGTAGAAAGTTTATTTTGCTGGCCAGGCACAGTGGCTCACGACCGTAATCCCAGTACTTTGGGAGGCTAAGGTGGGTGGATCACAAGGTCAAGAGATCAAGACCATCCTGGCCAACGTGGTGAAACCCCATCTCTACTAAAAATACAAAAATTAGCTGGGCGTGGTGGCACGCGCCTGTAGTCCCAGCTACTAGGGAGGCTGAGGCAGGAGAATCACTTGAACCCAGGAGGTGGAAATTACAGTGAGCTGAGATTGCACCACTACTCCAGCCTGGAGACAGAGTGAGACTCTTGTCTTAAAAAAAAAAAAAAAAAAGTTTATTTTGTCAAGGTTTAGGACACGTGCCCCTGACACAGCCTTAGGAAGTCTTGATGACGTGTGCCCAAGGTGGTTTGGGCACAGCTTGGTTTTATACATTTTAAGGAGACATGAGACATAAATCAATATGTGTAAGATGTACATTGGTTCCATCTTGAAAGGCAGGACAGCTTAAGCAGGGATAGTGTTTCTAGGTCACAGGTACATGAGAGACAAACTGCTGCATTCTTTTGAGTTTCTGATTTGTCTGTCCAAAGGAGGCAATCAGATGTCCCTTTATCTCAGTGAGCAGAGGGATGACTTTGAATAGAATGGGAGGCAGGTTTGCCCTAGGCAGTACCCAGCTTGACGGTTTAGCTTAGTGATTTTGGGGGCCCCAAGAGTTCCAAGATTTATTTTCCTTTCACAAGATTATGTATCCTGATGCTTTAATGAATGCATTTATTGAGTTTTTGTTCATTTACTCTAGAGTTATATATATGTGCATGATTATATAATCTACAGACAGTAATGTTTTTATTTCTTTCCCAAAGCTGGAGAGCTTCGTTTTCCTTTTCCTTGCCTAATTGTTCTCATACAAATTTTTAGTAATATGTTAAGATAGAAGCTGTGGCCCTGGAGGCAGGCCTGCAGATCTTGGCCTCAGCTGTGGTCTCTGAAGCAGCCCTGTGTCTGTACGTTTGAAGGATCTAACAATGATTATAATTTCTGTAACTATAACAATGATTACAATTTGGCAGGTAAAGAACTCCTTTTGTTCTGTCCTCCTGCTGATGAGATTACCTCTGCTTTTGATGGTTGTGTTACCGGAGATTTGGACAGTCATGGATTCTTTCTGGGCCCTGGAAAGATTAAATTTCCTTGAGGACATTAATCTGTATGGCAGGCAGTAAGGCAGGGTTTTGAAGTTTGTCTGCGTATGATAGGCCAAGTACCAGGTGTATGAATGGGTTTGGCTTCTACTGACTACCGGGGAACAGTTTTCACAGGTCTCTCTGAGTCCCTGAGTGTGTACAACTGGCCATGGACTGTGGCTGTGAGGGCTAGAACTGAGTCACAGGACTGCTTCAGGGAACATAGCTGAGGCCGAGATCTGTAGGCCTGCCTCCAGGTCCATGGCTGGGTGTGTCTCCTTGCAGGTCTCTTGATAGGAAGGACCACTTGTGTACTGTAGCTGAGAGGAGTTTGAGACAGGTTGCAGAACTGCTTCAGCATCCTTAGTAAGACCAAGCTTAGTGTGCCATGTTTTATCTGCAGCCATGTCTATGGGCTCTTGAGTTGGCCACCTGGGTGAGGCCCTGCTTTTTCCAAATATCCCTACTTGATCTTTGGCTCCACTGAGGTTTCACAACCCTAGCCAAAGGCAAGCACCTTTCTACTTGTGTTTTCTGTGAGTTTACTACTTAAGATATCTTACCTAAGTGGAATCATACACTGTCACTTTATTAGTATCTTATTTCACTTAAAATAATGGCTTTAAGATTTATCCTTATTGTAGCATCTGACAAGATATTTTCATTTGAAGCTAAGGAATATTTCATTGTATGTATAAGCCACATCTTTTTAAATCATTCATCTATTGAAGGGTGTTTGAGTTTTTTCACTTTTTGGCTTTTGTAAGTGATATAGTTTGGATCTGGGTCCCCATTCAAATCTCATGTCAAGTTGCAGTCCCTAGTGTTGGAGGTGGGCCTGGTGGGAGGTGATGGGATGGTAGGGTTGGCTTCTCATGAATGGTTAACACCATCCCCTTTGGTACTGTCTTTGGCATAGTGAGTTTGTTCTCCTGAGATCTCATTTTTTAAAAGCATGTGGCACCTCTCCTTTCACTGTCTCTTGCTCCTGCTCCCACTATGTGAGGTGACTCACTCTTTGTTTGCTTTCTACCATAATTGGAAGCTTTTTGAGGCCTCTCTAGAAACAGAAGCTGCTATGCTTCCTGTACAGCCTGCAGAACCACGAGCCAATTAAACCTTTTTCTAAAAAAAAAAATTACCTAGTCTCAGGTATTTATAGCAATGCAAGAATAAACTAATACAGTGAATATTGCTGCAGTAAACATGGATGTGCAAATATTTCTGTCAGATATACTTTGCATATTTTGAATAGGATGCTCAGAAGTAGAATTAGTGGGTCATAGAATAACTTCATTTTTTTTTTGGAGGAACCCCTATACATTTTTTAGGGGCTGCATCACTTTCTTCCCACCAGCAGTGCACAAGGGTTTCAATTCATCTACATTGTTGACATTTGTTATTTTTTGTTTGCTTGATATTGGCCATTCCAATTAATACACGATAATACCTCATTGTGGTTTTGCTTTACATTTTTCTAAAGATTAAAAATTTTTTCAATAATTGTTTGCTGTGTGTATTTATTCTTTGGAGAAACATTTTCACCTCCTGTTCATTTGTTAATCATATTACTTACTCTTTGTTGACTTTTTGGAGTTTATTCTGGGTGTTAACTTCTGTCAAATGTATACTTTTTACTTTTTTTTTTCTTACTCGGGACTGACTAAATGTTTATTTTAATGTTCAGAGATAAATTTAATGTAGTCCATTTTTCTGTGTTTTTAAATTTGTTACTCATGTAGTTGATGCTATATGCAAGAAAACATTGCCAAGACCAATGTCATAATCTTTCTTCCTGTATTTTCTTCCAAAAATTGTAGAGTTATGCTTCTTACATTTAAATATTTAATTTATTCAAGATAGTTTTTGTATATGGTTCAGGATTTTAAATTTTTATGAGTACACAGTAGCTTTTTGTATCTATGGGTTACATGAGATATTTTGATGTAGGCATGAAATGCATAAAAATCATATCAGGGTAAATGGGTATTCATTACCTCAAGTGTTTATTCTTTGTTTTACAGACAACCTAACTACATTCTTTTAGTTATTTAAAAATGTACAATTAAATTGCTTTTGACTATAGTCACTCTGTGTACTAGCAACTGCTACATCTTACTCTTTCTAATTATTTTTCTACCCATTAATCTTCCCCACTTCCCCCAGTCCCCTGCTACACTTTCCAGCCTCTGGTAACAATCCTTCTGCTCTCTGTCTCTATGAATTAGTTTAATTTTAGCTCCAGCAAATGTGTGAGAACATGCAACGTTTGCCTTCATGTGCTTGGCTTATTTTTCTTAACATAATGACCTCTAGTTCCATCCATGTTGTTGAAGATGATGGGATCTTGTTCTTTTTTATGATTGAAAAGTACTCTGTTATGTATGTGCACCACATTTACTTTGTCCATTCATGTAAGGGACACTTAGGTTGCTTCTAAATTTTGGCTAATGTGAACACTGCTGCAGTGAAAATGGAGCTTCAAATATCTCTCTGATGTCCTGATTTCCTTTCTTTTATGTACATACCTAGCAATGGGATTGCTGGATAATATTGTAGCTTTATTTTTCATTTTTTGAGGAACCTCTAAACTGGTCTCCATGGTCATTGTAGTAATTTACATTCCCACCAAGAGAGTACTAGAGTTCAACTTTCACTTTTCTCCACATCCTCACCAGCATTTATTAATCACCTGACTTTTGGATAAAAGCCATTGTAACTGGGGTGAGATAATATCTCATTGTCATTTTGATTTGCATTTCTCTGATGATAAATAATGTTGAGCACCCTGTCATATGGCTTTTTGTTATTTGTAGGCTCTCTTTTGAGAAATTTCTATTCAAATTTTTTGCTTATTTATCATCAGATTTTATCCTATAGAGCTGTTTGTGTGCCTTATGTATTCTTGTTATTAATTCCTTATAGGCAGTTTCCAGATATTTTCTCCCATTTTATGTGTTGTCTCTTCACTTTGTTGATTGTTTCACTTCCTGTTTAGAAGCTCGTTAACTGATGTGATTCCATTTGTTCATTTTTGCGTTGGCTGCCTGTGCTTGTGGGGTATTACTCAAGACATCTTTGTTCAGTTTAATTTCCTGGAGAGTTTCACCAATGTTTTTTGTAGTAGTTTCATAGTTTGATGTCTTAGATTTGTCTCTAATCCGTTTTGATTTAATTTTTTTTAGATGGCAAGAGATAGAGGTCTAGTTTTATTCCTCTGAATATGGATATTCAGTTTTTGTAACACAATTTGTTGAAGAGACTCCCCCATTATATTGAGGCAGGAAAATAGAGTCTGGAGGCAGAAAACATAAGACCACTTCACACTTCACCTTTCCATAGGGCATGGGCCATAAATAACTTTGTAACTTTATTTCATCCTCTCCATTTACATAGGGCATACTAGGGGGTATTTAAACTCCCAAAAATTCTGTAATGGGGCCTTTGAGCCCCTACGCTTGGGCTTTTTCCCACACTGTGGAGTGTATTTTCATTTTCAATAAATCACTTCATGCCTTCCTTGCTTTGTGCGTTTTGTCCAATTCTTTGTTAAAGACGTCAAGGACCTGGACACCTACAACTGGTAACGTATATTTTGGCCAGCCAGGAGGAAGAAGTAAGCCCAAAGTTTGGGATTCATTTTTCTCTCTTTCCTTTCTGCTCCATACAAGAGCTTTCTCTTTTCATTTCCAACTTGGAACACTTGGTGGGCAGCACCTAAACGTGGAGGCAACTGCAGGTTTCTGGCTGTGGCCTGTGAAACTAATGGGTTTCCGTGCAGAGAAGGCTGACTGCCACCTCCTGGTTTGCTTAAGGAACCTGGGTCTTTTTCATTTTTTTTTCCTTTATTTCTCAGTCTTTAAGTCGCTGTTTATAATTGCCCTGCCCAGAAGGGGGAATGACTTTTTTTTTTATCTTTTCTGCACGTGGTCCCCGATCCCTATGTGTGGCGCAGTTCAGAGCAAACTCGCACATGTTTTAAGGGACTTAAACCTTCTTATGCTAAATTCTTCCCTTACCGTACTCAACTGGCTACGGAACAAAAAGGCCCACCCGGCATCCAGTTCTCATTGCAGTTCATGGCTATTTTTATAAAGCTTATAGTGTGCTCTGGAGGTGCCCACCTAAGGTCAGAGACATCTGACACTGAGATCGGATCCACAGGAGGATACTCTGTGGGTCCTGCGGACCTCAACCTTCCCAAAGGGGACGTTCTTGGCAGAGGTTCTGAGGTCTGGTACTAAACCCTCCTTGGAATTTTCTCTCATAGTTGCAATGCTGTTTGGCCCCAACATTGTTTGGAATTTGGAGTTTACTGTTGAATGGAAAAGTGGAATGGCATTGTATCTATGCAGGCTTTTGTGCTGTGGTTCCAAGCAGGGGACCTGGTTAATGTGTGATGCCCTCCTTTGGTATGGTTTGGCCCCAGTGCTCTTTGGATTCTGGGGAGGTTTGGCCTTTAAAAATCAAACTGCCATGGAGACTGCTTTACCCAAAATTTTGGTTCACAGCCTTCATTGGATTATCTACTGGGGCAAAGTAAAACCAGTAAGTTTCTATTGCTATCTCATGGCTAAGGTTCCAAGCTATTGAGTCTTCATTTATGTGTGTGTATACATGTCTAGATGTCTTTATTTGCATGTACACTTACTGTTATATGTTATGTCTACCAAATTGGCTTATAAGTAAAAGAGCACTCATAAGTAAGTCTAAGCAATTTTCAAGTTCATGTGACTTAAAGTATAACTTTACTAAACAAGCTAGCTTTAAAATTATTGGTGGAATAAAAATATAAATGCCTTCATAATTATCAGCATACATTTTGTCTGAATTTTATGTTTGTCTTTGCTAAATATTTTTAAATGTCAGTGTTAATTCAAGCTGGGAGCTACTTAGGGTGAGCCTGCCTTCTTCCATTCTATCCGAAGTCTCTTCTAAAGTTGCGGAATTGTCCATATCCATTAGTTCAGGATTTTTTGTTTTTTAGGGTTTCACTAAAGTTTCAGGTTTCTATTTAACATGTAATTCTGTATACCAAATGTACCAGAAAGGGTTATGTTATTCATGAAAAAAAAAGAGAATAGTTTTGTCTAATTCAATAGTTATCTAAAAGTTGGTTCAAATTACAGATTTAAAAAGGTTATTCATAAAACAATGTAGTAAGGAATCATTAGGCAAAAAATGTGGGAAAAGTTTAAATCATAAAATATTTTTTAAACCCTGATAAAGAATTGGAGACGTTTGGCTAATTAAACATTTTCATAAAGCTGTTAGTTTTGATTAAAGTAAAATAAAAAGTATTGTAAAAATGCATCAGCAGTTTGGCAATTATTTTTTTAAATATAGTTAAGCATGAAGCTGGATATAATGTAAAGCCAAATTTCACATACATGCTTGTTTCCTAATGCCTGGCTTTTTGGATGGATCAGAGGGCCACTGAAAACATTCAGAAAGGAGGTAAACAGGATTATTTGACATGTTTGGGTACATGTGATTGCTAAAATGATGTTCAATCTGCTTTAGGTTATATTTTTGTGAATAATACTAATATATGTTCCAAAACTGTATGAGATTTCTAAAATAGTATATGCTGTCAATTATAATTATGGTTATTATGTTATTATAAACTGCAGAAATAATCAAATTTCCTTGTATAAAGCTACTGACCTACTAACACAAGTAAAACAAAAATTAAATACCAAAACAATACAATACAATTAAAGCTTCAGGTATATTTGGTCACCTGGTGGGCCATTTAAACATTTTATAAAGGGATTTCATTCAGTTGTTATTTTCAATGCATGTTTTCTGTTGTATAAAAGCTTTACTATGCAAGGAGGCTGAGATTATTATGCTACAGTATATTTCCAGCAGGTAAAAAAGCTTTTTATGGTTTAAATCTTCTGAGAACATAGGAGAAAAACTGTCCTTGCCACCCACACTACAACAAAATGTCAGGACTTTGGGCTTTAGGTTAACGGGTTTTGATAAGGGTCCCTCCACATTTTTGGAACTGTGCAGCCATTGGAACCCTTGAGGTGAAGCTAACCAGGGAGATTTCTCCCAAGAAGATGGCATCCTTGATGTAAACAGCTTTTCCCAAGTTCACAAATTAAAACTTCTATCATAAAACTCTTACCTTTGAATTTTTTTTCTTATGCTTCTACAAACATTAAAAGTAGAAAAGGGATCTGTTAAGTGCATTTATGGAGTATACTTCTATTTGTGAAGGAGTTTGCAGCCAGCCTTATATATGGATAAGCTTATACTTAGATAAATAAAAGATGAAAGCCCAGTCAGTGTAAGTAAGAAACTTTAATGGTACATACATTGCCTCATAATCAGTCCAAAAACAAAACATTGGTTCACTCCTGTTAACCCACACCGTGGGCTAAAGAGACCATTGCCAGGAGGCCTTCACTCTTCTAGAGGGGCATCATTTGTTAGGTCCTTTCCCATGGTTTAAAGTAAAAGAAGCAATGATTTAAAAAGGTATCCCTCATGATAGGCTCTATAGCAAATTCTACTGTAAAGGCTACAGTTACACAATAGACTTTAAATTCTTTTGTGAAAGTTATAATAGAATTGACTAAACAAAGAGGTACCTGTGCAGCTGCTGGCACTTGTGGCTTATGGAGAAATACATCAAATGAAGATTATAGAAATTCAGTGGTAGGGGATTAACAAAGAAATTGCTTAGTTAAGTAAGTAAACTCTTTATCTGGCTCATTCTTTGATCTATTTAATTTTACGAGGTTTGGTTTATGGAAACCTTGAGTAAGGAGCATACTGTGAACTCTTGGTATTTTCCTCCCAATAGTCATAATAATAGTCTCCCTTGTGTGCTGTATTCTCTCAAAGGTTTTAAATGCTTGCATGCAGCCATCTCTAGGATGTCATATGGTCTCTCTTCAACTAGAATAACAGAAGCTAAAAGAAACGTGCAACCATGAGAACACCGTAACCTATAAATAATGTGCTGAGACCAGAAATCCAAAATGATGGTAACTGAGAGTGGCTCTAAGGCCCTAAATTTTGGACACACACTAATCTAAGTGAGAACCTAACCAAAAAGGGGGAATTTCGTTTTGTTTTGTTTGAGACGGAGTCTCTGTCACCCAGACTGGAGTGCAGTGGTGTAATCTTGGCTCACTGCAACCTCTGCCTCCCAGGTTCAAGCAATTCTTTGCCTCAGCCTCCCAAGTAGCTGGGATTAGTGCCTACCACCACGCCTGGCTAATTTTTCTATTTTTAGTAGAGACGGGGTTTCACCATTTTGTCCAGGCTGATCTTGAACTCCTGACCTTGTGATCCACCTGCCTTAGCCTCCCAAAGTGCTAGGATTACAGGCGTGAGCCAGTGTGCACGGCCAAGGGGGAAGTTTTTAAACAAAATTCTGGGATGCCATTGTTTTGGACTAAGCTCATACACTAGGCACCAACAGACCAAAACAAAATGGAGTTGCTTGTGCCAAGACTTTAAGGAAACACATAAATTCTAGAACAAATCAGGTTTTTTTTCTCCTGCAAATCTCTGTAACAAACATTCTTAACAGCATAGGTATCCACCCCCATTATATCTTTTAACCAAACACGTTTGCTCTTGCCTAGAGACCATCAAGCTTCACTGATCATGCAGTGAAATCTCCAGCCAGTTCCAGGTGAAAACACACCCCTGGCCATCAAGAAACTACCCTGCCTCCACTAGACAGAACAGGGCGAGAGTACTGTGATCCCCAATAGACAGGGACTATGCCCCAAGCCAGCATAAAGCAGTTACAGAAAGAAAAAGACCGTTGACCCCCCCGTCTCCTATAAGGATTTATGGGGATCACATCTCTCGGGGGACATGAGGCAGGAAAACGGTCTGGAGGCAGGGACCATAAGCCCAATTCACACTTCAGCTATAACAGGAAATATCCTCTCCATAGGGCATCCACCGTTAATAACTAAATTTACTTCACCCTCTCCATTTACGTTGGGCATACCCAAAGTAACCAATGGAATACTCTAGGTGGTATTTAAGCTCCCAAAAATTCTGTAAGGGGGCCTTCGAGCCCCTATGCTCGGGCCCGCACTGTGGAGTGTACTTTCATTTTTAGTAAATCCTTTTATTCCTTCCTTGCTTTGTGTATTTTGTCCAATTCTTTGTTCAAGATGCCAAGAACCCGGATACTTTCTAGCGGTAACAATATATTCCTGACAGCTTTGTCAAAAAGAAGTTTGCTGTAATATGGATTTATCTCTGCATTCGCTCTACTGTTTTACTGATCAGTTTTATGCCATTTTAATTACGGTAGCTCTGTTGTATCATTTAAATTCAAATACTATGATTCCTCCAGTTTCTTTTCTGGTACAATGGCTTTGGCTATTTTGAGTCTTTTATGGGTCTGTCTACATTATAAGATTGTTTTTCCTATTTCTGTGAAGAATGTCATTGATGCTTTGATAGGAATTGCATTAAATCTGTAGATCATTTTGGGTAGTATGAAAATTTTAATAATACTGATCCTTCCTATTCATGAACATAAAATATCTTTCCTTTTTTTTCTCTTGTTTAATTTCTTGCATCGATGTTTTATAGTATTCATCATAGAGATCTTTCACTTCTTTGGTTAAGTTCATTCCTGGTATTTAATTTTAATTTGTGGCTACCGTAAATGGAATTACTCTCTTGGTTTGATTTTCACATTGTTCACTGTTGGCATGTAGAAACACTAATTTTTTAATCCTGTATCTTGACTAAATGTATGAGTTCTAATGGTGTTTTAGTGAAGTAGGTTTTTTCAAATATAAGACCCCATCATATGCAAAGTTTTTTTTGTGACAGATTTTTTTTTTCTATATGTCTCTTTTGTTTGATATAGCCACTCGTACACTTTTTTAGTTATTGGCATGGAATATTCTTTTTCATCTTCGAACCACTAATTCCCAGTGTGGGAATAATGATACTAACCCTTTCATGAGAGTAGAGCTCTCATAACCTAATAGCTTCTTAAGGGGCTCACTTCATTTTCTCACAGTGGCAGTTAAATATTAACATAAATTTTGGAGGGACACTCAAACAATAGCAATATGTTTTCACTGGATAAGTAAATGTTTTTCTATTTAGAGGAATTATTGATGAGAACTTATTACTGCCATTTTGTTCATTGTTTTCTGACCAGTTAGTAGTTTCTGTGTTTTAATTCTTTCATGCTTTCTTCCCTTGCGTTTTCTTGAATTTTTGTTTTGTTTTTCTTATATGCTTTGATTCTTTTTCTTTTGTATCTACTGCCATTTTTATTTTAATTTCCAAGAGACTTACATAAAACATCTCATAGTTATAAAAGTCTAGCTTGAGATAACAATGTAACTTCTTTTTTTGTACAGATAGGGTCTTCCTTTGTTACTCAGGCTGAAGTGCAGTACATTCACAGCTTAGTGCAGCCTCGACCTCCCCAGGCTCAAGCAATCTTCCCACCTTACCCTCCTGAGTAGCTGGGACTACAAGCACAAGTCTGTCTACTTTTTTTTGTACTTTATATAGAGGCAGGGTTTTGCCATGTTGCTCAGGCTGGTCTTGAACTCCTGGGTTCAAGCACTCCACCTGCCTTGGCCTCTCCAAGTGCTAGGATTACATGCATGAGACATCACACCCAGTGCTTCTTTTTTTAAAAAAACCAAACAGCTTTGTGAGATCTTTATTTTATTTTATTCATGTATTTATTTTAGAGACAGAGTCCCGCTATATTGACCAGGCTGGTTTTGAACTCCAGGCCTCAAGCAAAAGTTACCTTCTATGTATAGAAAAATTAAACAATTTTACTTCCTTTAACACACTATTTATGTCACCCTTTACTTTTTTTTAATATTGTGTACCTGTTAACAAATATACTGAAGCTATATGTGTTTTAATGCTTTTTTTGTAACTTATATCAGAGTTAAAAGTGATTTATGCACCATAATTAGTGATATAGCCTTCTATATATATATATATATATATATGTTTTCCAGTAAGATTTATACTTTTATATGTTTTCTTGCTGTAAGTTAGGATTCCATCCTTATAACTTGAAAAATTCTCATTAACATTTTTTTGTAAGACAGGTCTAGTGATTATAAATTCCCTCAACTTATTTTTTAATCTGAGAATATCTTGATTGATACTTCATTTGTAAAGGACAGTTTTGTCAGGTATAGTCTCCTTATTTGTCAACGTTTTTTCTTTTTCTCTGTTCATTTGCACTTTAAATATACGGTCTCACTTCTGTGTGGCTTGCATGGTTTCTGCTGAGCAATTTACTGATAACCTTATAGATGTTCCCTTATATGAGAAGAATCTCTTTTTCTTGCTTCTTTTAAGAATCTCCCATTGTCTTTGAATTTTTGGCAGTTTAATTATAATTGTGTCCTGGGCAAGTTTTTTATCAAGTTCTTCTTGCTACTGATATTTTGAGCCTCATAAAACTGAATGTCTGTATTTCTTCCAAGATTGGGAAAATTTTAACACATTATATCTTTAAACAATAAAAAAAAGTTTTCTCTCTTTTGAACCTCCTAAAATATGTACCTTTTTATGGTTTATCATATAGCATGGGTTCCAAATTCTTTATTCACACTTTCATTTTTAAAAAATTTCTAATTAGAAACTTTCAAATGACTTACGTTTGCTGGGGTGTTTTTTTTTTATATAGCTGAGTCTCCTGTTAAAGCTTTCTCTTAAATTTTTCAGTTCTACTATTTTTACTTTGACTCCAGCATATCTATTTGGTTCTTTTTTAATGGTTTCTTTTTCTGTATTGTGATTTTGTTCATGCATTGTTGCAAAAAAATTTAGTAATCTGTGTACTTTTGCATCTTACTGAGTTTTTATTTTTATTTTTTATTTTTCTTGAGACAGAGTCTCACTCTGTTGCTCAGGCTAGAGTGCAGTGGGGTGATCTTGACTCACTGCAACCTTCACACTCCAGATTCAAGCGATTCTTTTGCCTCAGCCTCCCAATTAGCTGTGACTACAGGTGTGCACCACCACACCTGGCTAATTCTTGTATTTTTAGTAGAAAGAGGCTTTCACCATGTTGGTCAGACTGGTGAGATGCTTGAAGATTATCTTGAATTCTCTGTTAGTCATTTTTTAGATCTGTGTTTTATTGTAAGTGGTTACTGGAGCATTTTTAGTTTCCTTTGGTGGTGTTATATTTGCCTGATCCTTCATGATCCATTAAGGATGTCCTTGCGTCTGAAGAAGCAAATGCCTCTTTCAGTTACTATAAACTAGTTTGGGGAGGTAAATATCTTCTTCTGTTGGATCTCTGGACTGATGCGATTTCTGCTGATATTGCAGTTAAGTGCATTGGAGCCAGGTCATGTAACTACTACCGGGCCTGCCATGAAGTTCATGCTTGGCAGACCTGTAATCAGGGCATCAGACAGTTGTGGTTTCGTCTGTTTTCTGAGAACACCAAACTTTCTTCAAGATGTTGATCAATATGACTAGTGCTCAGAAAAAAAAAATCCCAGCACTTTGGGAGGCCAAGGCAGGTGAATTGCCTCAGCTCAGGAGTTCGAGACCAGCCTGGGCAACATGGTGAAACCCCGTCTCTACTAAAATACAAAAAATTAGCCAGTCGTGGCAGTGTGCGCCTGTAGCCCCAGCTACTTGGGAGGCTGAGGCAGGAGAATTGCTTGAACCCGGGAGGTGGAGGTTGCACGGAGCTGAGATCACACCACTGCACTCCATCCAGCCTGGGCGACAGAGCGAGATTCCATCTCCAGGAAAAAAAACCCTCCAATTATATCTGGGGGTGCTGATACAGTAATGTTATCTGGTGTGACTCCTGTGAGGCTTTTGCTGGTTTTTGGAAATGCTCTAATCCAGTCATTGGACAGGTTCCTGGAAGAGCAGGGTTGGTCCTTGATCACAGCTGAAAAGGTGTGGAACTGATTCATAGGGCTGCTTCAGGATACACAGCTAAGACTTCAGCTCTGTTTCTGGGTTCACGGCATTTATGCCTTCAGATTTCTGGGCGGGCAGGACTGCTCCCAGACTCTAGCGGACAGGGAATGGCGCTGGTTACAGGGCTACTTCAAGATTCATAGTGGGAATAAAGTCAGCCAGCATGCCTATAGGTGTGCTTTTTGGCAGGTTTCAGGCTAGGAAAAACTGCCCCTGGACTTTGGTTGCATGGACTCGGAGCCAGGTTATAGTGCCACATCAAAATCCACCATCAGGGCCAGGTGCAGTGACTCACATCTGTAATCCCTGCACTTCGGGAGGCCAAGGTGGGCGGACCACCTGAGGTCAGGAGTTCGAGACCAGCCTGGCCAAATTGGCCAAATCCCATCTCTACTAAAAATACAAAAATTTGCTGGGCATGGTGGCGGGCATCTGTAATCCCGCTTACTCAGGAGACTGAGGCAGCAGAATTGCTTGAACCTGGGAGCTGGAGGTTGCAGTGAGCAAATATCACGCCATTGCACTCTGCAGCCAAGGTGACAGAGTGAGACTCTGTCTCAAAAAAAAAAAAAAAAAAAAAAATCCACCATTGAATAAATATTGGCAGGCCTACATCCAGGGGCACAGATGGATGTTTCTGTGGGTCTCTGTGTGTGCAGGATTTCTTCCACACTATGACTGATCAGGGAAAGGGGTGGGTTTTGGGCTAATTTATAGATCACAGGCAGGACCAACATGTCAAGGCCTTTCACCTGAGACACAGGACATTATGAATTCTCCTAAGTGTCTTGGCAGATGGTGATAGTGGCAGGAACAAAACCAAATGATCTATAGCTATGTTTACAGTGAGAATTATTCATATTTCATTCGGTAGCTGGGACTATGATGGGCAAGCATGCCACTCAAGCAAGTGCATGCCCTCTTAATACAGCCCTCCTCAGTCTTGGATTCACAATCTTTTACATGGATTTCTAAGTTTTCATAAAGGTTCTTTTGTCAGGGCATAACTGCTGTATTTTCATAACTAGAAGTTGTGGGTAGAGAACCTCCTATTCTGCCATCTTGCTATGTCACTCCCCTTGTATGTTTCACTTTCTGATATGTTCTATGCCAAATTATCTGATTTCAAATTCAAAATTTCTGAAATAAAATGCCCAAGTTTACACATTGTGTAATAAGTACATGTATTGACATGGCTCATTTTCATTAGAGCATTTTATTAATTATTGAGATGCATTTTCTTTTACTGCTTTACATTTCATGCCAAAGATTCAAAATCCCGGCTCTTCAATAAGAACATAGTCACAGTTAAAAACTGTAGTTATTTAAAGGATTGTTTTTATGGTACATCTGTATATATTTAATATTTTGTGGGTTAGAATTTTTATTGTATTCAACTCCATTTTACTGGGCAATCTTTTTTCATGTAGATACTCCTTGATTATTTAATTTTTTTCACTTCTAATCTTCATATTTGGTAATTTTCAAATCTATACCTTTAATGATCAAGTGGTGTTTAATTCAAATAAAAATAATTGGGTTTCACTTGAGGCAATTTAAAATACATTTATAAATCAGACATTTTTATTGCCTATAAAAGTTAGGTGGTATTTGCCTGTATAAATAGTGCCCCTCCTTTGATTATAAATTATTTATTTTCTTTGGTGGTCATCAGTGTTTTCTTGTGTAGGTGAGTAGTCAAAAAACAGTGTAAAGTTACCATCTGTTTATTGTCTTATTACATATTATTCTGTGAGACAAACACTTTTGCAATTTGCAGGTAATTTCTGAGGAATGTAACCTTTTTAAGTAGGTGTAAATAATAGTTATAAAAAAATAAAATTGCCTTCTTAAACATTTTCAATTGTACGGTCTAGTGATGTTAAGTATATTTACATTATATTGCAATGGGTGTCTAGATTTATTTTATCTTGTAAAATACAATACCCAATAAAAAATAAACTGCCCCCCTTTTTTTCTTCAGCTCCTGAAGAACACCATTTGACTTACTGTTTTTATAATTTTGACTAATTTTTATATTCTTATTAGTGTCATTAATGTCTGTTTCTGTTTGACTATCTAATTTAATGTAATGTTCTCAGGCTTTGTTTTTGTAAGATATGTCAGAATATCTGTTTTAAAATGAAATAATATTCTATATATATGTCACATTTTAAAAATCCGATACTGATCTGTAAAGGGACATTTGTGTTGTTTCCAGGAATTGTCTTTTGTAAATAATAATAAATGAACATGCATGTGTAAATATCTATTTAAAGTCCTGCTTTGAATATTCTTGGGATATTTTGGATACGATGATGTAGTACCATGTGTATTTTCATGTTTTTGTTTCCTGAGCCTTAGGTGTTATATCCAAAAATGATTGCCAAGACCAGTGCATGAAGCCTTATCATTTATTGTTAGATTTCATATATGTGTAAGATCATCTGGTACTTGTCTTGGTGGATCTGGTTTATTTCACTTAATGTAACGGCCTCCAGGTTCATCCGTGTCCTTGCAAATATCAAATTTTTGTTGTCTTTTATAACTGAATAGTATTTTGTTGTGTATCTGTACTAGATTTTCTTTATCATCTGGCTTTCAATAATTGGATTGATTCCATATATTGGCTATTATAAATAGTACTATAATAAACATAGGAGTGTAGATGTCTCTTTGACATACTGATTTTGTTTTTTTTAGCTACAAAGAAAGTAGAACTTTTATATGCTCCAGCAATAGTGTTTAATTTAAAAATTAAAAATAGAACTAACATGCTTCAGCAGTCCTGTTTAATTAAAAAATAGAACTAACATATGACCCAACAATTTGAATTTTGTGTGTGTGTGTGTGTGTGTAGTCATCAACATTTTATTGTCTAGGTGATGAGTCAAAGAAACAGTCTAAATTACCATATATTGATTGTTTAAATATGTTATCCTGTGATACTTTTTTTCCTATAATGGCTCTACTAACTTACAATTTTACAACTGTATTTGTTTTCTTTTCTATACAGTCTCACTAACAATTGTTAGTCTTATTTTTTAATTAATTAATTTATTTATTTTTGAGATGGAGTCTTACTCTGTCACCCAGGCTGGAGTGTAGTGGTGTGATCTCAGCTCCCTGCAACTTCTGCCTCCCGGGTTCAGGCAGTTCTCCTGCCTCAGCCTCCCAAGTAGCTGGGACTACAGGTGCATACTGCCATGCCCAGCTAATTTTTTTTTGTATTTTAGTAGAGACGGGGTTTCACCGTGTTGCCCAGGCTGGTCTCAAACTCCTGAGCTCAGGCAGTCTGCCCAGTTTGGCCTCCCAAAGTGCTAGGATTACAGGCATGAGCCACCAAGCCCAGGCAGTCTTTTCAATTACAGTCTTTTCAATAACAGTCATTCTCACTGGAGTAATGTTTTTTTGTTTTGTTTTGTTTTGTTTTGTTTTGTTTTTTTGAGACAGAGTTTTGCTCTGATTGCCCAGGCTGGAGTGCAGTGGCATGATCTTGGCTCACTACAACCTCCGCCTCCCAGGTTCAAGTGATTTTCCTGCCTCAGCCTCGCAAGTAGCTGGGACTACAGGTGCCCACCATCATGCCGTACTCATTTTGCCTTTTTAGTAGAGATGAGGTTTCACCATGTTGGCCAGTCTGGTCTTGAACTCCTAACCTCAGGTAATCCACCCACCTCAACCAACCAATGTAGGGGTGGGTTGCCCCTACACACCTGTGGGTGTTTCTCGTAAGGTGGGACGAGAGATTTGGAAAAGAAAAAGACACAGAGACAAAGTATAGAGAAAGAAATAAGGGGACCCGGGGAACCAGCGTTCAGCATATGGAGGATCCCGCCAGCCTCTGAGTTCCCTTAGTATTTATTGATCATCCGTGGGTGTTTCTCAAAGAGGGGGATGTGTCAGGGTCACAAGACAATTGTGGGGAGAGGGTCAGCAGACAAACACGTGAACAAAGGTCTTTGCATCATAGACAATGTAAAGGATTAAGTGCTGTGCTTTTAGATATGCATACACATAAACATCTCAATGCTTTACAAAGCAGTATTGCTGCCCGCAGGTCCCACCTCCAGCCTTAAGGCGGTTTTTCCCTATCTCAGTAGATGGAGCATACAATCGGGTTTTATACCGAGACATTCCATTGCCCAGGGACAGGCAGGAGACAGATGCCTTCCTCTTGTCTCAACTGCAAGAGCCATTCCTTCCTCTTTTACTAATCCTCCTCAGCACAGACCCTTTACGGGTGTCGGGCTGGGGGACGGTCAGGTCTTTCCCTTCCCACGAGGCCATATTTCAGACTATCACATGGGGAGAAACCTTGGACAATACCTGGCTTTCCTAGGCAGAGGTCCCTGCGGCCTTCCGCAGTTTTTGTGTCCCTGGGTACTTGAGATTAGGGAGTGGTGATGACTCTTAAGGAGCATGCTGCCTTCAAGCATCTGTTTAACAAAGCACATCTTGCACCGCCCTTAATCCATTCAACTCTGAGTTGACACAGCACATGTTTCAGAGAGCACGGGGTTGGGGGTAAGGTTATAGATTAACAAAATCTCAAGGCAGAAGAATTTTTCTTAGTACATAACAAAATGGAGTCTCCTATGTCTACTTCTTTCTACACAGACACAGTAACAATCTGATCTCTCTTGCTTTTCCCCACAAACCAAAGTGCTGGGATTACAGGCATGAGCCACCGTGCCTGGCTGTGATGTGATATTTTATTGTGGTTTTTAAATTGTTATTTTTGTTTTAAGTTTGTTATATATTCTGTAAGTTTATCTTTTGTCATAAGTATACTTCGCAAATATTTTCTTTCATTCTGTAGATTATCTCTTCACTCTGTTGGGATTTTTTTGCTATGCAAAACATTTTTAGTTTTTTGTAGTCACGTTTGCAGATTTTTACATGTACTTTGAGGTCTTAAACATTTTTTTCTCTGTAATATGTGGTAAAACATTTCTCTATGTTTATTTCAAATAGCTTTATATGTTTGGGTTTCCCAAACATATAAATCTTTATTTGTGATTGAGTTTTTTATATCAAAAGAGGTAGGGGCCTAGGTTTATTTTTTACTTTTTTTGATTATCATGTAGATACTCAGTTTTCCTTGCACTATTTATTGAAAAGACTCTCTTTCTCCAATGTGTGTTCTAGACATCTTTGTTTAAAATCCCTTGGCTCTAGGTTCATGGATTTATTACTGGGCTCACTGGATACTGTCATCTGTCTATTTTTATGCCAGAATCATGCTCCTTTGCTTATTGTAGCTTTATATTATATTATGGAGTCAGGTAGTGTGATGTCTCCAGCTTTATTCTTTTTGCTCAGGATTTCTTTGGCTATTTGGGGGTCTTTGGTAGTTCCCTATAACGTTTAAGCTTGTTTTTTCCATTTCTGTGAAAAAAGTCATTGATATTATGATAGAGATTGCATTGAATCTGTAGATCACCTTGGGTAGTATAGCAACTTTCATAATAATTTTTCAATTCATGAGCATAAAAATCTTTCAGTTTTTCATATTTTTATCAATGATTTATAATTTTCAGTGTAGAGTGTTCAGCTTTTTAATGAAGTTTGCTGCTAGACATCTCTTTTTTATTGAGGATGCAGAAGCAGCATTTGGCAAAATTCAACATGCATTTGTGATTTAAGAAACTCAACAAATTAGGTATAGATGGTATGTAGCTCAACACAAGAAGGGCCACATTTGACAAATCTATGGCTGAACAAATCTGTATACTGAACAGAAATCTATATACTGACAAATCTATATACTGAACAGAACAAAAAAAGCAGAAAATGTTTTATTTGAAATTTGGGACAAGACAAGGATGTTATTTGATATTATAATTGTGTATGACAATATTCAACTGTGTACACTATAAGACAGTGATATGGTTTGATTGTGTCCCCACCCAAATCTCATCTTGAATTATGGCTTTCATAATTCCCATGTGTTGTGGGAGATAATTAAGTCATGGGGGCAGTTTCCCCCATACTGTTCTCATGGTGGTGAATAAGTCTCAGGAGATCTGATAATTTTATAAGGTTTCCCCTTTTGTTTGGCTCTCATTCTGTCTTGCCTCCTGCCATATATGACATGACTTTTGGCTTCTGCCATGATTTTGAGGCCTCCCCAGCCACATGGAACTGTGAGTCCATTAAACCTCTTTTTCTTTATAGATTATCCAATCTCAGGTATGTCTTTATCAGCAGTGTGAAAATGGACTTCTGCAGTAAATTGGTACCAGTAGAGTTGGGAACTGCACCTGAAAATGTGGAAGTGACTCTGGAACTGGGTAACAGGCAGAGGTTGGAACAGCTTGGAGGGCTGAGAAGGAGACAGGAAAATGTGGGAAAGTTTGGAACTTCCTGGAGATGTGTTGTATGGCTTTGACCAAAGTGCTAATAATGATATGGACAATGAAATCCAGTCCAAGGTGCTCTCAGGTGGAGATGAGGAACTTGGGAAATGCAGTAAAGGTGTCTCTTGCCATGTTTTAGCAGAAAGACTGGTGGCATTCTGCTCCTGCACTAGAGATCTGTGGAACTTTGAACTTGAGGGAAATGACTTAGGGTATCTGGTAGAAGAAATTCCTAACCCATAAAGCATTCATGAGGTGACTTGGGTGCTGTTAAAAGCATTCAGTTTTAAAAGGGAAACAGCATGAAAGTTCAGAAATTCTACAGCCTGATGATGTGATAGACAAGAAAAACCCATTTTCTGAAGGGAAATTCAAGCTCACTGCAGAAATTCGCATAAGTAATGAGGAGCCAAATGTTAATCACTAAGACACTGGGAAAAATGTCTCTAGGGCATTTCAGAGAACTTTGTGATAGCTTCTCCCATCACAGGCCCAGAGGCCTAAGAGGGAAATAATTTTATGGGTTGGGCCTAGGCCCCCCTTCCTAGGGCGTTGGTGCCCTGTGTCCCAGCTACTCTACCCATAGCTAAACAGGGTCAAGGTACAGCTTAGGCCTTGGCTTCAGAGGGTCCAAGCCCCAAGCCTTGGTAGGTTCCATGTGATCTTGAGCCTGCAGGTACACAGAAGTCAAAAGCGAGGTTTGGAAACCTCTGCCTACATTTCAGAATATGTATACAAATGCCTGACTGTCAAGTTTGCTGCAGGGGTGTGGCCCTCATGGAGAACCTCTGCTAGGGCAGTGCAGAAGGGAAATGTGGGGTTGGAGCCCCCACACAGAGTCCCCACTGGGGCACTGCCTAGTGGAGCTGTGAGAAGCAGGCCACTGTCCTCCAGGCCCCAGAATGATAGATCCACTGATAGCTCGCACCATGCACCTGTAAAATCCACAGACACTCAACACCAGCCCATGAAAGCAGCCAGGAGACTGACTGTACCCTGCAAAGCCACAGGGGTGGAGCTGCTCAAGATCATGGGAACCTATTTCTTGCATCAATGTGACCTGGGTGTGAGACATGGAGTCAAAGGACATCATTTTGGAGCTTTAAGATTTGACTGCCTTGCTGAATTTTGGCCTTGCATGGGGCCTCTAACTTCCTTGTTTTGGCCAATTTCTCTTACTTGGTATGGGTGTATTTACCCAATGCCTGCACCCCCATTGTGTCTAGGAAATAACTAACTTGCTTTTGATTTTACAGGCTCATAGGTGGAAGGGACTTACTTTCTCTCAATGAGACTTGACTGTGGACTTGTGAGTTCAACCTGAAATGAGTTAAGACTTTGGGGGACTGTTGGGAAGGCATAATTTGTTTTGAAATGTGAGGACATGAGATTTGGGAAGAACCAGGGGTGGAATGATAGGGTTTGGCTGTGTCTTCAGCCAAATCTCATTTTGAATTATAGCTCCCATAATTCCCATGTGTTGTGGGAGGGACCCAGTGGGAGATAATTGAATCAGGGCAGTGGTTTTTCCCATACTGTTTTTACAGTAGTGAATGACTCATGAGACCTGATGGTTTTTATAAGAGGTTTCCCCATTTGTTTGGTTCTTATTCTCTTTCGTCTACCACCATGTAAGATGTGCCTTTCACTTTGTACCTCCCACAATGATTTTGAGGCCACCCCAGCCACATGTGAGTCCATTAAACCTTTTTTTCTTATAAATTACCCCATCTTTGGGTATGTTTATCAGCAGTATGAAAATGGACTAATACAGACAGTGTGGAGCACAAGTCAAATATGCATCAGTGATATGTCTATTTCCAATATAAGTCTCTGTGTTTATCTGTATTTGTATTGTTCCTGCATTGTTTATAAGTTGTATACTTGCTCTGTTTGTGTGTATACAATGATCATTTTACCCTGTCTAGGTGAGTTGTCATTGAAATACTTCTAATTTTACCCTCTATTTATTTGTGAATCTATATTTTTATGTGTGGGAGAGCACTTTTGTGATTAGAAGATAATTTCAAAAGCCATCATACCTCTGTATCTCTTCTAGATATTACTATTTTTAATTGTCAAAAAAAACAGACTTTACAATCTTAAATATTTTTAATACTCAGTCATATTATATTGACATTGTTATGCATTGTATCTCTAGAATGTGTCTTGCAAAGCTAAAATCACTCTACACATTAAAAAACCATGTATTTCTGTTTTCTGGCGCTTTGCAAAAACAATTGCTTTCTATTTCAGAATCAGACTGTTTTAGATAGCTTATGTAAGTTGATTCATATAGTTTCTGTCTCTTTGTGGCTGACTTATTTCATGTTGCACAATTTCATTAAGATTTATTTTTATTTCATTAGATTATTTTTTGCTTCTAAAAAACTAATATTAATATTTCAAATTATATTTATCCATCTGATGAGAGACATTTGCATTACTTTCGTTTATTTGCTTCAGTAACAGTGCTGCAATAATTATGAGTGTACAAATTACTCTTCATGTGACCATGTATATGAGAGTTTATGTTTGTGCTGGATTTAATCTTATCCATCTAGCTGTTCCGCTTATACTCATACTAAATTGTTTCAATTTTTAGCTTTGTATGTGTTTTGAAATCAGGAGCTGTGATGCCTCCAACATTGTTGTTTTTCTTTTTTTCTTTTTGTTTCTTTCTTTCTTTCTTTTTTTTTTTTTTTTTTTTTTTTTTTTCAGACAGTTCCACACTTGTTGCCCACGCTGGAGTGCAATGGTGCAATCTCAGTTCACTGCAACCTCTGCCTCCCAGGTTCAAGTGATCCTCCTGCTTCAGCCTCCTCAGTAGCTGGGATTACAGGCATGTGCCACCATGCCCAGCTAATTTTGTATGTTTTTAGTAGAGATGGGATTTCTCCATGTTGGTCAGGCTGGTCTTGAGCTCCCAACCTCAGGTGATCCACCCACCTCGGCCTCTCAAAGTGCTGGTATTAACAGGTGTGAGCCACCGCACCCGGCCTTGTTGTTTTTCTTATTGAAGATCGCTTGGTGCTACATTGTCTCTCGAAATTTTATCTAATTTTGGGGTTGCTGTTTCTATTTCTGGAAAAACTCGATTAGAAATTTGACAGGGATTGCATTTAATCTGATTATTACATTCAACAGTCCAGATGGCTTCATAATATTAAATATTTCAAACATTGAACAAGAGCATGCTAAAGAGTATATTGTTTGCTTTCTATAATTATGTAAGATTTTCAGTTTTTTTATTCTACTCTCTTTCCAGTTTGGTCATAAAAAGTAATCTGTAAAATTTTAATTTAAAAAAATTTGTTGAGGGTCTTTTTGTGGCCTAACCGGTGGTTTATCAAGAAGACTTTTGTATGAGCTATTGAGAAGGGTGTGTATTCTGCTGTCATTGAGCAGTGTTTTCTACAATTCTGTTAGGCATAATTTTTTAATACTGCTTTCAAGTCTTCTGCTCCCTTATGAATATTGTCTTTTTGTTTTATTCATTACAGAAATTGGGGTATCAAAATATCCTAGTATAATTATATTGCTTTGTATATCTTGGCTTTACTTCTGTCAGTATTTGCTTTATATATTTGAAACCCTAATGTGAGATACACACACACACATTAATATGTATATATACACACATTTGTCATGGGTTTCCAGTAAATGAACACTTTCATTATTGTTTAATGTCCTTTGTCTCTTATAAGCTTTTAGTTAAGGCATATTTTATGAAATAGGACAGTTTTTCACTTAAGATGCACTTTGTGTAATATAATTTTGACCTCTTATTTGGTTATTTGCATGAAATGTCTTTTTTCATCTTGCCTTGTCTCCTTCCTTTAATCATTAGATTTTAAGTGACTTGTAGAAAAGCAGGTTGGATCTTGTTTTTTTAATTGTTAAAATTTTTTTATTCAGTGCATGTATTTTGAATGGAAAGTTTACTTCATAAATATTTAAATAATTTGCTGACAGAAAGGCTTACTAATATTATTTTATTGTTTTACTTGATAATTTTATCTTTGTCCCTTATTTTCTGTCTTTGTGTCTTTTTGATTTTTGTATTGATAGGCCCTTACTTCTTGTTTTTTGAGTATCTCTACAGATCCTTTTTTATTTGATATCTTGGGAATTACATAAAATTTCTTAAATTTAAAATAATATATTTTAAACTGGTAAGAACTTAACTTTAGTTGCATGTTGAAATTCTTCCTCATTATATCTGCCCTCAACTTTATTATTGATGTCACTAATCATATTTTTATTTTGCATATTAACAGTTTATGATTAAGGGGTTTTTTTGTTTGCTTTTATCTTTCACATTTTGGAGAATAAAATATTTTCTGTGCTATCATGATAATGATATAGAACTTTATATTTTTGTATGTGCATATCTTTCCTAGAAAATTATGTTTTCATATGATTATGTTTTGTTTTCTTGCATTATGTTATTTTCAGTGAAAGATACTTTCTTTAGCCTTTTTTTTTTTTTGCAAGGCAGATGTAGTGCTAATATACTTTTTCAGCATTTGGTTATCTTGCAAGGTCTTTACTTTTTCTTCATTTTTAGGACAGTTTTGCTGGTTATATTAGTCCCACTTAGGAGCTATTCTTTTTTTCTTTTTTCTTTTTTTTTTTTTTGAGATGGAGTCTTGTTTTGTCGCCCAGGCTAGAGTGCAGTGGCGCGATCTTGGCTCACTGCAACCTCTGCCTCCTGGGTTCAAGCAATTCTTTTGCCTCAGCCTCCCGAGTAGCTGGGACTACAGGCATGTGCACCACACCTGGCTAATTTTTTTGTATTTTTAGTAGAGACAGGGTTTCACCATGTTGGCAAGGATGGTCTCGAACTCCTGACCTTGTGATCTGCCCACCTTGGCCTCCCAAAGTGTTGGGATTACAGGTCTGAGCCACTGTGCCTGGCCGAAGCTATTTTTCTTTCACCACTTTATATTACAATTCCATGACATCTGGAATTTTTTTTTTTTGACAGATTCACTGGTTATCTTATAAGACCACACTTATTTATAAATGACACATCACTTTTACCTTGTAACTCCTAAGATTCTCTTCTTGTCTTTGACTTTTGAAACTTTGCTTGTATGTGTCTTGTTATAAATCTCTATGTGTGTATCCTAGTTGAAGCTTGTGGAGCATCTTCAGTTTTTACATCCTTTTTTTACTTTTGAAAATGTCTCAGTCATTATTGTTGTATTTTTCACCTTCATGACTTGTTTTTTATATTTTTAATGTTTTCATTGATATTCTTATTTTTCTGATTTTATAAATTGTATATGTTTCTATTTCACTCATTGAGCATTATTCAGGTTAAACTTTTAAATTTTGAATATCTTCATTATTTATAGTTGTTTTCTGAAAATTTTCAAATTTTTTAATTGGGCCATGTTGCCCTAGTATTTTGCCTACATTGTAATATTGTTATTTGAACATGAACTAAAAGCTATTTGTCACAATCTTTACAATGTTGCCTTGTCCTCACATAGTCTGAAACCAGTTGTCTTTGATAGAGATTATGGGAGCCTCTCATACATGTTGTAAGGGTGTGTCTTGTCTAGAATTTTGTGTTTATTCTTCAGTTAAAAGAGTTTGTTCATGTTTCTTCTTATGGTTTCTAATCACTTGCTCTACCTGTTCCCTGTTTTTAGCACTGCTGTCTGCTCATGAAACATTTACCTTTGGTCTCAGCAGACTCACCACCATTTCTTTCAGCACCCTGTATTATTGGAGACAGAAACCAGCTTTTGTAATAATTTCCAAAAACCAGAAGTAGGAATGCGTGTGTCACTATTTTTCCTCTAAGAAGCCAGGTGTTGGCAGTTTACTCCTAAAGCACAATGCTATATTTGTGGGAAGGAAGAGCTGCAGTGGGTAAATGTAACATACTTTACTTCGTGTTTTATGTGGCTCTTGGAATTGTGCTTACCTGAGGCATTGCACATAATTAACTCATTTATAGATTTCACACAAAGGCATTTTGGTCAGTATATTTTTGTTATATATGTCTGTAAAGAAATTATGGCCTGTGGTATTTACTGAGCATCTTACTGATATACTTTGTATAATTTTATATATTAGATTTGTAATTGTATTAGATTTGTAAAGTATATTTATTTACTTATTTGTTTATTTATTTATTGAGATGGGGTCTCACACTGTCACCTTTTCTGGAGTGCAGTGGTGTGATCTTGGCTGATGGAAGCCTCTACCTCCCGGGTTCAAGGGATTCTCCTGCCTCAGCCTCCCAAGTAGCTGGGATTATAGGCATGCACCATCATTCCCAGCACATTTTTTTTGTATTTTTAGTACAGACAGTGTTTCACCATGTTGGCCAGGCTGGTCTCGAACTCCTTACCTCATTATTTGCCCACCTTGGCCTCGGAAACTGCTGGAATTACTGGCTTGAGCTATAGTGCCTGGCCTGTAAAGTATATTTATATGAATCTAGTAAGTGGGATAATTTGTTATTTTTATTTCTTTCAGCTGTGTGTTCTCATTTCACCCAAAACCTTTGGACAGTGCAGGGCATAGAAGATTCATTCCACAAACTTATACCAAAAGGACATGAGAAACGTGGACATGAGAATTTAAGAAAAACTTGTAAAAGTATAAATGAGTGTAAGGTGCAGAAAGGTGGTTATAATAGAATTAACCAATGCTTATTAACTACCCAGAAAAAAACAATTCAATCTAATATATGTGTCAAAGTTTTTCATAAATTTTCAAATTCAAACAAAGATAAGATAAGATATACTGGAGATAAAACCTTTAAATGTAAAGAATGTGGCAAATCATTTCACGTGCTCTCACGCCTAACTCAACACAAAAGAATTCATACTGGAGAGAACCCCTACACATGTGAAGAATGTGGCAAAGCCTTTAATTGGTCCTCAATTCTTACTAAACATAAGAGAATTCATGCCAGAGAGAAATTCTACAAGTGTGAAGAATGTGGTAAAGGCTTTACTCGGTCCTCACACCTTACTAAACATAAGAGAATTCATACTGGAGAGAAACCCTACATATGTGAAAAATGTGGTAAAGCTTTTAACCAATCCTCAACCCTTAATTTACATAAGAGAATTCATTCTGCACAAAAATACTACAAATGTGAAGAATGTGGTAAAGCCTTTAAGTGGTCCTCATCCCTTAATGAACATAAGAGAATTCATGCTGGAGAGAAACCCTTCTCATGCGAAGAATGTGGCAATGTCTTTACCACATCCTCAGACTTTGCTAAACATAAGAGAATTCATACAGGAGAGAAACCCTACAAATGTGAAGAATGTGGAAAATCCTTTAATAGGTCCACAACTCTTACGACACATAAGAGAATCCATACTGGAGAGAAACCCTACACATGTGAAGAATGTGGAAAAGCCTTTAATTGGTCCTCAACCCTTAATGTACACAAGAGAATTCACTCTGGAAAAAATCCCTACAAATGTGAAGATTGTGGCAAAGCCTTTAAAGTGTTTGCAAACCTGCATAATCATAAGAAAATTCATACTGGAGAGAAACCCTACATATGTAAACAATGTGGCAAAGCCTTTAAACAGTCCTCACACTTGAATAAACATAAGAAAATTCACACTGTAGATAAACCCTACAAATGTAAAGAATGCGGGAAAGCTTTTAAGCAGTACTCCAACCTTCCTCAACATAAGAGAACTCATACTGGAGGAAAATTTTAGAAATGTGAAGAATGTGGGAGCCTTTAAGTCTTCCTCAGTCTTTTCTAATCATAATTCATACTGGAGAGAAACTCTACACATGAAAAAATTGACAAAGCTTTTAACCGCAACTCAATCTGTTCTAAACATAAGAGAAATGGTATTGGTGAGAAGCCATAAAAATATGAAAAATGTGGAAAAGCCTTCAAATGCTTGTCACATATTACTGAATATAATTCTTACTGCAGAAAACCCCTAGGAATATTAAAAGTGTGGCAAAACCTTTAACCAATGCTCATATCTCTTTGCACATGATAGCATTTATACTTGAGAAAAATTGTACAAATATAGAAAATGTAGAAAAGCCATTAATGCCTACTCATGTGTTACTAAATATCAGAGAGTTTGTACTTAATAAAAGGATTATAAATGTAGTATTTGTTGAAAGACCTATTAGAAAATACAGGTCTTAAAAGTGAAGAAGAGTATTCTGAAGATAGACAATAGAAATAGTAAGAGGGTTGTAGTACCTGTACTTGCATCATGGGTCTTATTGTGCATATTTCATACTAGAAGAAAACCCTGAAGCAGTTGCCCAAACTTTCTTTGACATTAGAGAATTTATATTGGAAAGAAATTTTACAAATGTAATAAATTTGGAAAAGCATTTGTTCAAAAACTATAGCTTAAAAAAAACCAGTTTATACTAGAAGATATTTTGTAGATGCGGTAAGTATGAAAAGATAGTCTGAAATTAAGACTAAATGTCAGAATATTTACAGTAGAAAGAAAAAGGCATTAACACTTGAAACATTACAGTATATCAGAGTGTAAAGTATAAAAAAATTCCAAAGCTGAAACTGTTAGATAATTTCTTTCTATATAAGTTGAAAAGGAGTAGCTTTTTGAAATTATTCCATTGAAATTATACTTTTTTTACCTGAAAAAATTATAGATTTTTTGAAAAGCAAATTCAACTCTAAAATTACTTCATACTGATTCAACTTATTGTTTATATGAAAGCATGTGATGAATTGTTGCATCAGAGGTATGAGTGATTCTTTTTAGGTGGGCATCATTCATGAACTTTTTTTTTTTTTTTGAGACGGAGTCTCGCTCTGTCGCCCAGGCTGGAGTGCAGTGGCGGGATCTCGGCTCACTGCAAGCTCTGCCTCCCCCTGGGTTCACGCCATTCTCCTGCCTCAGCCTCCCAAGTAGCTGGGACTACAGGCGCCCGCCACTACGCCCGGCTAATTTTTTGTATTTTTAGTAGAGACGGGGTTTCACCGTTTTAGCCGGGATGGTCTCGATCTCCTGACCTCGTGATCCGCCCGCCTCGGCCTCCCAAAGTGCTGGGATTACAGGCGTATTCATGAACTTTTACATGAATGAGTAAGGACATTGAAAGATGCATGAGATGATGCATACATCTTTGTGGTTGACTTATCATTGCATGATGCATGACGTACATGTTCAGAGTAATATTCTTCTGCATTATAGTGAGAGAAAAATCTTGAATTTTAGTAATAAATTGCTTTTACCAGTTGCACATTTATGTAATAAAATACAGTAAATTTTAAAATTCTCTTTTAAGATTGTGTGTGAACCTTACTCAAGGGTGTAGGTAAAAAATGGTAACAGTATACTTTTAGTAACATAGTTTAATGACATTTCTAGTAATTTCTTTTTCCAGTGGCTTTAAACAGCAAATAAGTTGAAGAATATTGTTCTCATGTTAAATTTTTATTATTTTTTATATTTAAATTTATTTTTAAAAATTTATGTGGGTACATGGTATGTGTATACATTCATGGCATAGATGGGTTACTTTGATACAGACATGCAACATGTAATCACATCAGAGTAAATGAGTTATTCATCACCTCAAGCATTTATCCTTTGTATTACAAACAATCCAATTATACACTTCATTTTTAAATGTACAATTAAATTATTTTTTATTACAGGTAATTTTATGATTGTATTTAGAATTATATCAGAATATAATTATAATTTAGACATTTCTGTGTCCTGAATAAATATGTTTTTAAATGTTCCATATTTTTCTTTGGACATCTGGCATCTCTTCTGGCAAACATGTACAGACTTCTAGTTTTGATTTACATGGAGATAAATATATAAACATATTGCTGTAAGATAAACCTTAGGTGTAAAAAAATTGTAGACCAAGCAATTGTGTTTGGAAATTTGTACCTATTTTCCAAAGAAAATAGCAACATTGGGACAAAAAATATTCTTTTAATAATATATATAACTTACTAGAAACATAAAAACCTAAAATATTCTGGAATCAAATCTACACTATATTCTTTGTATTTAATTAATTGCTGTAGAATCTAATGGATCATTGTTGAGAATCTCCTTGTGCAAATTATCTGTTTTGTCTTATACTCATGCTAGTGATATAATTCACTTGTTTCTCATAGTTTTTTGTTTTAACTTCATTAAGTATTTATTGTGTGAGCTGGTCAGAAATTATAAGAATGATTTTTATAAAATTTAGTAGAGCCCACAAAATAAATTTAAGATGTTCACAATGTGTGTGTTAAGTAACATTTAGTTAGAATATTTTGTTTAATTGGGGAACCATATATAAGCTGTTTAGTTACTGTTCCTTTCACTTTTTATAATCAACATAATTGAGTTTATTTATTGGGCCAATTCAAGTAAGTACTGGGAACACTTTATAACTTATGAGGATGTTTTGATATGTAATTGCAGTGAACAAACATAAGAAAGTGATAGGTGTGTAATAGCTGCTCCATAATTAGGTATAAATATTTTTCTGGAGTTTATTTGTAGGTCCAAGTAAGAGATTGAAAATATCTGTGGTGAAGAAATGGTATTAATTCTGTATGTTAAGAGGACATCTGTTCCCAGGCTGTAAAAGTGACTCATTCTGAATTTAAAGAAGATTTCAGTGTTTATATTCTAATTATCTTCAGTTTTTTGATGTCTTTATGTGTTCATCCTCAGCTGTGTGTACCTCACAGCCCTTCTCCTGATTTGTGTTAGTTTTTTCACTGTTCTCTTCATGCCATGTAATTTCACATGGATTTTCTAGGTTCTCATGAAAAGTTTGGATTTGTTTTAATGTGGTAAATTACTGTTTTTAAGTGGGGTGTTTGAGGGTATTTATAGCTTATCAATGCAACATTTAGATTACTTAAGAGTCATTTACTGTTCACATGTAAAAGGATTAAGGCAGTCAGCATTGTTTTTCTCTGTAAAAGAAAAATTTTATGAAATTCTAAACAAAGTATGTTAAATGAAACATAAGCTAGAATAGGTAAAGCATCAATATGAGTGGGTTGCATATTGTAAGCATCATATGAAGAAACTCATCCAAATTTTGAAATCTCTTAGAAGAAAATGTCTTAGAAATTAATTTCTAGGCCGGGTACAGTGGCTCACACCTGTAATCCCAGCACTCTGGGAAGCTGAGGTGGGTGGATAACCTGAGGTCAGGAGTTCGAGGCCAGCCTGGCCAACATGGCAAAACCCCGTTTCTACTAAAAATACAAAAATTAGCCAGTTGTGATGGTGGGTGCCTGTAATCTAAGCTACTTGGGAGGCTGAGGCTGGAGAATTGCTTGAACCCGGGAGGTGGAGGTTGCAGTGAGCTGAGATGGCGTCACTGCACTCCAGCCTGGGTGACAGAGTGAGACTCAGTGTCAAAAGAAGGAAATTTCTTGGAGACAGTGATAGGTGAGATATTTTACGTTCTTTTTTTTTATTATTATACTTTTAAGTTTTAGGGTGCATGTGCACAACGTGCAGGTTAGTTACATATGTATACATGTGCACATGTGCCATGTTGGTGTGCTGCACCCATTAACTTGTCATTTAATATTAGATATATCTCCTAATGCTATCCCTCCCCCAACCCCACAGCAGGCCCCAGTGTGTGATGTTCCCCTTCCTGTGTCCATGAGTTCTCACTGTTCAATTCCCACCTATGAGTGAGAACGTGCAGTGTTTGGTTTTTTGTCCTTGCAATAGTTTGCTGAGAATGATGGTTTCCAGCTTCATCCATGTCCCTACAAAGGACATGAACTCATCATTTTTTATGGCTGCATAGTATTCCATGGTGTATATGTGCCACATTTTCTTAATCCAGTCTACACTGTTGGACATTTGGGTTGGTTCCAAGTCTTTGCTATTGTGAATAGTGCTGCGATAAACATATGTGTGCATGTGTCTTTATAGCAGCATGATTTATAATCCTTTGGGTATATACCCAGTAATGGGATGGCTGGGTCAAATGGTATTTCTAGTTCAAGATCCCTGAGGAATCGCCACATTGACTTCCACAATGGTTGAACTAGTTTACAGTCCCACCAACAGTGTAAAAGTGTTCCTATTTCTCCACATCCTCTCCAGCACCTGTTGTTTTCTGACTTTTTAATGATCGCCATTCTAACTGGTGTGAGGTGGTATCTCATTGTGGTTTTGATTTGCATTTCTCTGATGGCCAGTGATGATGAGCATTTTTTCATGTGTCTCTTGGCTACCTAAATGTCTTCTTTTGAGAAGTGTCTTTTTATATCCTTCACCCACTTTTTGATGGGGCTGTTTGTTTTTTTTCTTGTAAATTTGTTTGAGTTCTTTGTAGATTCTGGATATTAGTCCTTTGTCAGATGGGTAGATTGCAAAAATTTTCTCCCATTCTGTAGGTTGCCTGTTCACTCTGATGGTAGTTTCTTTTGCTGTGCAGAAGCTCTTTAGTTTAATTAGATCCCATTTGTCAATTTTGGCTTTTGTTGCCATTGTCTTTGGTGTTTTAGACATGAAGTGCTTGCCCATGCCTGCGTCCTGAATGGTATTGCCTAGGTTTTCTTCTAGGGTTTTTATGGTTTTAGGCTAACATTTAAGTCTTTAATCCATCGGGAATTAATTTTTGTATAAGGTGTAAGGAAGGGATCCAGTTTCAGCTTTCTACATATGGCTAGCCAGTTTTCCCAGCACCATTTATTAAATAGGAAATCCTTTCCCCATTTCTCGTTTTTGTCAGGTTTGTCAAAGATCAGGTGGTTGTAGATATGTGGCATTATTTTTGAGGGCTCTGTTCTGTTCCATTGGTCTATATCTCTGTTTTGGTACCAGTACCATGCTGTTTTGGTTACTCTAACCTTGTAGTATAGTTCGAAGCCAGGTAGTATGATGCCCCCAGCTTTGTCCTTTTGGCTTAGGATTGCTTTGCAATGTGTGCTCTTTTTTGGTTCCATATGAACTTTAAAGTAGTTTTTTCCAATTCTGTGAAAAAAGTCATTGGTAGCTTGATGGGGATGGCATTGAATCTATAAATTACCTTGGGCAGTATGGCCATTTTCATGATATTGATTCTTCCTACCCATGAGCGTGGAATGTTCTTCCATTTGTTTGTATCCTGTTTTATTTCATTGAGCAGTGGTTTGTAGTTCTCCTTGAAGAGGTCCTTCACATCCCTTGTAAGTTTGATTCCTAGGTATTTTATTCTCTTTGAAGCAATTGTGAATGGGAGTTCACTCATGATTTGGCTCTCTGTTTGTCTGTTATTGGTGTATAAGAACGCTTGGGATTTTTGCACATTGATTTTGTGTCCTGAGACTTTGCTGAAGTTGCCTATCAGCTTAAGGAGATTTTGGGCCTGAGACGATGGGGTTTTCTTGATATACAATCTTGTCATCTGCAAACAGGGACAATTTTACTCCTGTTTTCCTAATTGAATATGCTTTATTTCTTTCTCCTGCCTGATTGCCCTGGCCAGAACTTCCAATACTGTGTTGAATCGGAGTGGTGAGAGAGGGCATCCCTGTCTTGTGCCAGTTTTCAAAGGGAATGCTTCCCTTTTTTGCCCATTCTGTATGATATTGGCTGTGGGTTTGTCATAGATAGCTCTTATTATTTTAAGATATGTCCCATCAATACCTAATTTATTGAGAGTTTTTAGTATGAAGGTTGTTGAATGTTTTCAAAGGCCTTTTCTGCATCTATTGAGATAATCATATGGTTTTTGTCATTGGTTCTGTTTAGATGCTGGATTACGTTTATTGATTTTCATATGTTGAAACAGCCTTGCATCCCAGGGATGAAGCCCACTTGATCATGGTGGATAAGCTTCTTGATGTGCTGCTGGATTCGGTTTGCCAGTATTTTATTGAGGATTTTCACATTGATGTTCATCAGGGATATTGGTCTAAAATTCTCTTTTTTTGTTGTGTCTCTGCCAGGCTTTGGTATCAGGATGATGCTGGCCTCATAAAATTTAGTTAGGGAGGATTCCCTCTTTTTCTATTGATTGGAATAGTTTCAGAAGGAATGGTACCAGATCCTCCTTGTACCTCTGGTAGAGTTCGGCTGTGAATCCATCTGGTGCTGGACTTTTTTTTGGTTGGTAAGCTATTAATTATTGCCTCAATTTCAGAGCCTGTTATTGGTCTATTCAGATATTCAACTTTTTCCTAGTTTAGTCTTGGGAGGGTGTCTGTGTTGAGGAATTTATCCATTTCTTCTAGATTTTCTAGTTTATTTGCGTAGAGTTGTTTATAGTATTCTCTGATGGTAGTTTGTATTTCTGTGGGATCGGTGGTGATATCCCCTTTATCATTTTTTATTGCATCTATTTGATTCTTCTCTCTTTTCTTCTTTATTAGTCTTGCTAGTGGTCTATCAATTTTGTTGATCTTTTCAAAAAACCAGCTCCTGGATTCATTGATTTTTTGAAGGGCTTTTTGTGTCTCTATCTCCTTCAATTCTGCTCTGATCTTAGTTATTTCTTGCCTTCTGCTAGCTTTTGAATGTGTTTGCTCTTGGTTCTCTAGTTCTTTTAATTGTGATGTTAGGGTGTCAATTTTAGATCTTTCCTGCTTTCTCTTGTGGGCATTTAGTGCTATAAATTTCCCTCCACACACTGCTTTGAATGTGTCCCAGAGATTCTGGTATGTTGTGTCTTTGTTCTCACTGGTTTCAAAGAACATCTTTATTTCTGCCTTCATTTCATTATGTACCCAGTAGTCATTCAGGAGCAGGTTGTTCAGTTTCCATGTAGTTGAGTGGTTTTGAGTAAGTTTCTTAATCCTGAGTTCTAGTTTGATTGCACTGTGGTCTGAGAGACAGTGTTATAATTTCTGTTCTTTTACATTTGCTGAGGAGTGCTTTACTTCCAACTATGTGGTCGATTTTGGAATAAGTGCAGTGTGGTGCTGAGAAGAATGTATATTCTGTTGATTTGGGGTGGAGAGTTCTGTAGATGTCTATTAGGTCTGCTTGGTGCAGGGCTGTGTTCAATTCCTGGATATCCTTGTTAACTTTCTGTCTCGTTGATCTGTCTAATATTGACAGTGGGGTGTTAAAGTCTCCCATTATTATTGTGTGGGAGTCTAAGTCTCTTTCTAGGTCTCTAACGACTTGCTTTATGAATCTGGGTGCTCCTGTATTGGGTGCATATATATTTAGGATAGTTAGTTATTCTTGTTGAATTGATCCCTTTACCATTATGTAATGACCTTCTTTGTCTCTTTTGATCTTTGTTAGTTTAAAGTCTGTTTTATCAGAGACTAGGATTTCAACCCCTGCCTTTTTTTGTTTTCCATTTGCTTGGTAGATCTTCATCCCTTTATTTTGAGCGTATGTGTGCCTCTGCACGTGAGATGGGTTTCCTGAATGCAGCACATTGATGGGTCTTGACTCTTTATCCAATTTGCCAGTCTGTGTCTTTTAATTGGAGTATTTAGCCCATTTACATTTAAGGTTAATATTGTTATGTGTGAATTTGATCCTGTCATTATGATGTTAGCTGGTTATTTTGCTCATCAGTTGATGCAGTTTCTTCCTAGCATCGATGGTCTTTACAATTTGGCATGTTTTTGCTGTGGCTGGTACCAGTTATTCCTTTCCATTTTTAGTGCTTCCTTCAGGAGCTCTTTTAGGGCAGGCCTGGTGGTGACAAAATCTCTCAGCATTTGCTTGTCTGTAAAGTATTTTATTTCTCCTTCACTTATGAAGCTTAGTTTGGCTGGATATGAAATTCTAAATTGAAAATTCTTTTCTTTAAGAATGTTGAATATTGGCCCCCACTCTCTTCTGGCTTGTAGAGTTTCTGCCGAGAGATCAGCTGTTAGTCTGATGGGCTTCCCTTTGTGGGTAACCCGACCTTTCTCTCTGGCTGCCCTTAACATTTTTTCCTTCATTTCAACTTCAGTGAGTCTGACAATTATGTGTCTTGGAGTTGCTCCTCTTGAGGAGTATCTTTGTGGCGATCTCTGTATTTCCTGAATTTGAATGTTGGCCTTCCTTGCTAGATTGGGGAAGTTCTCCTGGATAATATCCTGCAGAGTGTTTTCCAACTTGGTTCCATTCTCCCTGTCACTTTCAGGTACACCAATCAGACGTAGATTTGGTCTTTTCACATAGTCCCATATTTCTTGGAGGCTTTGTTTGTTTCTTTTTATTCTTTTTTCTCTAAACTTCTCTTCTCACTTCATTTCATTTATTTCATCTTCCATCACTGATACCCTTTCTTCCAGTTGATTGAATCAGCTACTGAGGTTTGTGCGTTCGTCATGTAGTTCTCATGCCTTGGTTTTCAGCTCCATCAGGTCCCTTAAGGACTTCTCTGCATTATTATTCTAGTTAGCCATTCGTCTAATTTTTTTTCAAGGTTTTTAACTTCTTTGCCATGGGTTCGAACTTCCTCCTTTAGTTCGGAGTAGTTTGATCATCTGAAGCCTTCTTGTCTCAACTCATCAAAGTCATTCTCTGTCCAGCTTTGTTCCATTGCTGGTGAGGAGCTGCGTTCCTTTGGAGGGCAGAGGCACTCTGATTTTTAGAGTTTCCAGTTTTTCTGCTCCGTTTTTCCCCCATCTTTGTGGTTTTATCTACCTTTGGTCTTTGATGATGGTGATGTACAGATGGGGTTTTGGTGTGGATGTCCTTTCTGTTTGTTAGTTTTCCTTCTAACAGTCAGGACCCGCAGCTTCAGGTCTGTTGGAGTTTGCTGGAGGTCCACTCCAGACCCTCTTTGCCTGGGTATCAGCAGCAGAAGCTGCAGAACAGCGGATATTGGTGAACAGCAGATGTTGCTGCCTGATCGTTCCTCTGGAAGTTTTGTCTCGGAGTACCCAGCCATGTGAGGTGTCAGTCTACCCCTACTGGGGGATGCCTCCCAGTTAGGCTACTTGGGAGTCAGGGACGCACTTGAGGAGGCACTCTGTCTGTTCTCAGATGTCCAGCTGTGTGCTGGTAGAACCAGTGCTCTCTTCAAGGCTGTCAGACAGGGACGTTTAAGTCTGCAGAGGATTCTGCTGCCTTTTGTTTGGCTGTGCCCTGCCCCCCAGAGGTGGAGTCTACAGAGGCAGGCAGGCCTCCTTGAATTGCGGTGGGCTCCACCGAGTTCGAGTTTCCTGGCCGCTTTGTTTACCCCCTCAAGCCTCGGCAATGGTGGGCGCCCCTCCCCCAGCCTCACTGCCGCCTTGCAGTTTGATCTCAGACTGCTGTGCTAGCAGTGAGTGAGGCTCTGTGGGTGTAGGACCCTCTGAGCCAGGCATGGGATATAATCTCCTGGTGTGCGATTTGCTAAGACCATTGGAAAAGCGTAGTATTAGGGTGGGAATGACCCAATTTTCCAGGTGCCGTCTGTCATCCCTTTCTTTGACTAGGAAAGGGAATTCCCTGACCCGTTGTGCTTCCCGGGTGAGGCAATGCCTCGCCCTGCTTCAGCTCAAGCTTGGTGCGCTGCACCCACTGTCTTGCACCCACTTTCCAACACTCCCTAGTGAGATGAACCCGGTACCTCAGTTGGAAATGCAGAAATCACACGTCTTCTGCGTCGCTCACGCTGGGAGCTGTAGACTGGAGCTGTTCCTATTCGGCCATCTTGGCTCCACCTGTCGAGATATTTTACATTAACTTTCTATGACATACTTATAGCAAAACTTATTTTTTCATGCAGAATAGTCTATATTCTATATTTATTGTAAAGCATATACCGTACATGGTGACTAGTCACCATGCTGTACAATAAATTTTCTGAACTTAGTCAACTGTATTTACGTATTATTTTACAGAGATCTCTCCAAATGCCTCTTTTTTTCTGAATAAACAAGCATCCAGTAACCAGCATTTTGCCGTCTGGCTTATTTCACTTGGCATAATGTACTCTAAATTTATCCATATTGTTTCAAATGACAAGATTTTTTCTCTTTTATTACCAAGTAGTATTTCATTGTGTGTAAACACATTTTTAAAAATTTAAATATATAGTCATCTATTGGTTGAAAAACTCATGTAATGAAAATACATTTGTGTTAAAGCATGTATTAATGTAATTCAGCATGTAAAATTTTATTAATCATAGCTAATTTGTGCCAAACACTAAAACTCTATGTGTGTTAATAAATTTAATTCTCACAGTAACTCAATAACATAGGTACTTATTTTACGGAGAAAGATACAGAGCCACAGAGAAAAATGACTTGGTCACATTGCAAAACCAGTATTAAAACACAAGCAACTTTGACTTCAGAAATAACTCTTGTCTATTATAGTAAACACCTTCTTCAAACAAAATAAATGATTAACAACCATTCTTAGTAAAAATTTAACAAAAATGGAAACAACTGATACTTTTTTTTGTTATACATGTGTGTGTAAATGTATAAAACATGATACATGCCAGGTGTGGTGACTCTCACCTGTAATCCCAGCATGTTGGGAGGCTGAGACGGGTGGATCACAAGGTCAAGAGATTGAGACCATCCTGGCCAACATGGTGAAACTCCGTCTCTACTAAAATTAGATGGCCATGGTGGGGTGCACCTGTAGTCCCAGCTACTCAGGAGGCTGAGGCAGGAGAATCGCTTGAACCTGGGAGGTGTAGGTTGCAGTGAGCCAAGATTGTGCCACCGCACTGCAGCCTGAAGACAGAGTGAGACTCCATCTTAAAAAAATAAATAAAATAAAAATAAATAAATATGATACACAAAGGAGAAATACTTCCTGTATTTATACCATATAAACTCTAGAAATTGCCCTTTGGTACTGACATGTACTTGGGAACAACTTTTTTTTTCAACTGCCCTTCCCCACCCCTCCAGCAACTCCGTACTTACAGCATAATTTTAAACTAAACCTGTAGTCAGCAAATGCTGTAATGTAATTAAATATTATTTACTACAAACACAAGCAGTATACTCTGATTTTATTACCTTCGTTAATACAAATTTATTTATTGAGCTATTTCACTCGTTTAGTTTCCATTGTGCCCATTTCTCAGCTTTGCTGAAATACTACTACCTATAATTATTTCCACCAAAATCGTTTTCTATTTGTTTATAAAACTTTAAATTTTTAATCTTTGGGAACCTCAGCTCAGCAGTCAGAGCTCTTAGTCCTGACAAGAGCCCTAGAACTAGGAAAGAAACCAATAGTTACTATTTATACACAGTTCAAATGTGCCCTTTTAGTTTTCCACACTTAACAGCCATCTGAAAAGAAAAAGGAATTTTTGACAGCAAAGGATACTTCTGTTAAATATGGGTCGCAGGTTTTTACCCTATCCCAGGCTGTCCACCTACTACAAAAGTAGCTGTAGTTCATTGGTGGGGCTACCAGAAGGGCCAAGATAAAATTGCCCAGAGAAACAGGAGGGCTGACCAAGCAGCTAGGGCCACCACCTGCAGAGTCCATCCCACAGAATTTGGCTGAGCGAGGGATGAAAGAAGTATGCAGACACAGGTATTTTACCTAACAGTGCAGCTAGGGGACTGTACCACTTATCACCACCTACAAGAATGCAGCCGTGAATAGCCATTGATGCTCGCATTTGTTTACTACAGATGTAATGACAAAGGCTTGGAACAAACACAATTTGTGGGTAATAAACATCGTAGGCCCCCAAGTAGAGAGCAGTCCTGCACATGAATGATCAAAGGTCAGTTTTAGGAGATCAGTTTTAGGACAACATGAATAAACAAGCTATTTAGATAAATTCCTCTACATTCCTTTGTATCTACTCCTCACCCTTTGCCCTAGGGTAAGGACAGCTGCCTTCAGCTCATTCTTCCCCGAAGCTTTGCAAAACCTCCCGGCCTTCCAAGAAGGTTTGTGTCTTTCCCTGTAACTTTTTCTTACAAATTTTTCCACCACCCTGACCAATCTTCAGCCACCCTCTCTGGGAACGTTTTGTGGCCCTTATTCCAAATTTGTCTAACAACCTCCCCATCCTGCAATATGCTCACAAGAAAAAGAAATGGGTTATCAAATGTGAATATATCCTAAAACATGAAAGATTGTATAAATTGGGAGCGGTTCTCTGTCTTCCCAGGCCCTCCAACAGGAAGTAATAAGGGCACTCCATAATTCTTGTCACTTTGGGAGAGACCATCTCCATCAGCTGTGCAAAATATTTTTGTCAAGTTTGTAAAGCCTATCCATCTCGTGTCTGTAATAATCCTGGAGGCCCTAAGCCACTCTAGTTAATTAATTCAGCCTGTTCAGCAACAAGAAACCTAGCTAACAGGAAGACTGGCAGATAGACTTCACTTAATTGTCAGCCTGTCGAGGCTATAACTACCTTCTGATCTTTGGGGACACCTTTACTGGCTGGGTTGAAGAATCTCATAGTAGAATAGAAAAAATTCAAGTAATTTCCAAGGCCCTTCTCAAATAAATTATCTCTTGATTTGGGCATCCACGGTCTTCACAAAGTAACAAAGGTTCATATTTTATTTTACACACTACCCAGTTAGTGGCAAAAGCCCTAGGGATAAAATACTTTTTACAGTCCTCCTGAAGGCCATAACCTTCTGGGAATGTAGAAAGAACTAATCGAGCTATTAAAAGCACCCTGAGCAAATGATGCCAGGAAAACCTCTTTACCATGGCTAGAACTTCTGCCCATGGCATTTTGCAGATCAGAACAGCCCCTCAATTACATCTATGCCTTAGTTTTATTGAAATCCTATATGAGAGATCCTTTCTACTTGCAAACTTAACATTACACCAACAGGTTACCAAATTAACCCAGTACCTAAAATCCCTGACTCAATTTCAAGAGGCCATCCGGAGTTTGCCTGCCTAAGTGACACTTGCAACAACCAACAACCGTTTTACCCCGCAGGATCAGCAGTCCTCATTAAAATCTGGAGAGATGGGTCTTTTGGATCGCAACTAACCTCTTTACAAAAGAACCCCTTTACTGTCATACTTTCTACTCCAATAGCTATCAAAGTTTCTGGCATCTCTAGTTGGATAAATCACTTTTGAATAAAACCCTGGAAAGACTTTAAGGAACCAGATGTGGAACCAGAACTCAGCTACTGTTGTGAGCCACTGGAGGACTTAAAATTTCTCTTTGAATGAGAGGATAAGTAATGTTCTCCCTCTTTTTACCTTAAAGTAGGGCAATCCCAATATTGGCAATCTTATTTGCAGGGGCACTGTTTATTCTTTCTTTAACCCTATCTTGTGCAGCACCAGGAGTTCCAATAAGAGCTTGCTTTATCTAATATCAATTTTTTAGCCTAATGATTTATTTTACTTTTGGTTGCTTTAGTGCGTCAGCAATGTTAGTAATATTTTGATGTTTATATTACAAGTCATAATACTCTGCAGATTTACTAATATGCCTTTGTTACCATAAACCAACACCCCCTCCAGGGAAGAGTTAACTGTGACCCTCCTCAATTTAAACCTCAAAGCCATAATCTGAATAGTGGTCTCTATCTCTAATACTCTTTGGATTAACAGTCTTTTTTTTTTTTTTTTTTTTTTGAGATGGAGTCTCGCTCTGTGGCCCAGGCTGGAGTGCAGTGGCGCTATCTCGGCTCACTGCAAGCTCCGCCTCCCAGGTTCATGCCATTCTCCTGCCTCAGCCTCCCAAGTAGCTGGGACTACAGGCAGTCTTCTTAACAAGCATATCAATTTGGCCCTAATCTACTTGCCTTGGAACTATGCAGCCTAATGCTCTATGATCATTACTCACACTTCTGGCTAAAAGCACCCTTATAAGCTCTAATTGCCCACAACCTTTTAGAACTCTGCAGGCAGCTCCACAAGCACTAATGTCTGCCAATTCCTCCTATGCCTCAACCCAGCTGTGCATGAATTCCATTCAGGGTAAAAATGGCCTACTTGGCCACAATACAAGAATGGGCAACTACTCAAGCCCAACTTAGTTTCACTTACCATTGGGACCTCTTCATACAAAACCTTCCCCCTGCTAACATACTATTTCTAACCCAAGCTAAAGAGGCCTTTGAAGATTTTCTTAAGCCCAACCCCATTGTTTTAAGCCCCTTGTTCTCCCCTGTAACCCTCATTGGCCAGGCATCTCTATGCATCTATGCTACCATCAATTCCAGAACTCTTATGGGTGGGTGCTCTTGACCCAGCATAATGCAACACATCCAGCACCACTATTAATACCCCACAAGCTTTTTTAACTTTCATTAAATATTCCCGATACCAAATGAGATTCTCTACTTATCACCCCCAATATTTTAACTCCTGAACCATGTATCCAAAATGATGCCACTGAATTCTACCTCAATCACTCTTCTTGCAGTCAATCCAACCCATGGTATCAACCAAGCCAGTATGAATTATGCAATAGGTTTCAAGTCTTTTATTCCTTTCAGAAAACCCTTCTCCCAGATACTACTAGACACATGATTTTGTAGAAAAATAGACTCATTCTCTTATTCAAACTAATCACCCATGTCTAACTCTCTAGACAGCAGCAACTTTAGTGGCAGAATATCAGATACTGGGCAGCCAAAATGGACACTTGTCAATGTTTGGAGCTGACCTCAACTCTTTCTGCATTCATTCTTGTTTATGGAGTGCAGAACTTTACTTCCTATGGAAGATGCAGGCTCATCTCTGCCTCTCTGCAAATTGGACCAGAACATACACTCTGGCTTACCTCACCCCTAAAATTTCCATTGTTCTGGGTGATGCTTCTCTGCTGTTACCCTTATTTACCACCTCACACCAGATCAGCTCAGAAGTTTATCTAATTTCCTTCCACAATGAGCTTGTCATCACAAGTGCCACCACAGGAATAGCTGTCATTGTTATTGCCTCCTCAACTTTCCACAACCCATCTCTGGAACTGACTCATAAAATAGAAACCACTGCTCAAACTCTAACAGGGTTACAGCAACAGGTTTATTATCTTATGACTGTAGTTCTCCAGAAATTGTAGAGGTCTTGACACACTGACTGCAGCTCAGGAATAAATTCGCCTTATGCTAGGAGAAAAATGCTGTTTCTGGGTTAACAGATTAAGGCAAGTCCAGAATCATGTGAGAGATTTTATACACCAGGCCTCTTCCCTTCAGAAACATGCCACTTAGGTCTAGTTCTCCTGGGGTGCCACCTGGTCCCAGACCTCATGACATCTCATTTTGTTGGGATCCCTGGCCTTTGTCTTCCTTTTTCTCCTTTTTGGGCCTTGCTCACTAAATCTACTAACCAGATTTGTTCCTTCTCACCTAGAAACTCTCAGAGTTCAAATGGTCCTCTAACAGGAATATTAACCTACTTTTTTCCCTGCTGGAAAACTGTGTCCCTACACATTTTCTCTGGAGACTGCAAGTCAAACCTGAGAGAACATGGAGGATATCTTTCCCTGACAAAGGACAAAACAATGAGACACTGATGAGTTCTTTATCTCATGTCAGCAGGAAGCAGTTACGGAAGACCCACAGTGCCCCTAAACTCAAAGATTTTTAGGGTCTCAATCTGTTGAGGGGAGAATGTTAGAGTAGGCAGTTAGACATGAGCAGAAAAAAAAAGCCCCTGAGGGAGGAAAATCTCATGCTCCAAAGACAACCCGAAACATGTATGCTAAATTGAGCAGAGAGGACGGGAAATACCTGTGAAGAAAGAATACCCTGAAACACCCCTTAAGACACCCAGTAATTGCTCATACTGTGGTTAAACTGTCAGAATATAGCTAGTACATGCTGACATGTATACATCTTTGCATACACAGATACCTGAAAATGGGATTGCTGGATTGTATGATAATTTCATTTTTTTTTTTTTTTGAGACAAGATCTGTTTTTGTCACCCAGGCTGGAGTGCAGTGGTGCAATAATGGCTCACTGCAGCCTTGACATCCTGGGCTCAAACAATCCTCCCATCTCAGCCAGCCAAGTAGCTGGGACTACAGGTACATGTCACTACACCTGGCTAATTTTTGTATTTTTTGTAGAGGTGGGGTCTCCCTATTTTTCCCAGGCTGGACTCAAACTTCTGAGCTCAGATAATTCTCTCACCTCAGCCTCCCAAAGTGTTAGAATTATAGGCATGATCCACCACACCCAGCCATATTTGATTTTTAATATCTTGGGAAACCTCTATCCTAATTTTCTTGGAGGCTGCATTATTCTCTTCTACCAACAGTGCATGGGGGTTCCAAATGCTCTGCATCCTTGACAACATTGATTCCTTTTGTGTGTTGAATAGTGGCCATGCTAATGGGTGAGAGGTAAGAGCTCACTGGGATTTTGCTTTGCATTTCTCCCAAAAAAATAATTTTGATGATCCTTTCAAATGCCTCTTGGCCATTTGCATAGCCTTTTTAAAGAAATGTCTTTGGAGACCTTGGTTCATTTTATTAAAAATCAAGATATTCACTATTGGTTGTTGTGTTTTAGAAGTCATTTATACATAAGGGATGTTAATTCCTGTCGAATAGATTACTTGCAATTTCTTCCCCATCTCCTGGTTGGCATTTGTACTCCACTAAGCGTTTCCCTTGATATGCAGAAGGTTTTGAAAGTTTGATATAGTACCATTTTTTATTCTTTTCTTGTTACTTCTGCTTTTAATGTAATACTCAAAAAATTTGTGAAAATTAATGTTATTATGCTCCTCCCTATTTTTCTGAACGTTGAAGAGATATATGTCTCACATTTAGGTATTTGGTCTGTGTAAAATATTTTCTTTGCATGCTATCAAAGGGAAAGGTCCAAGTTCATTATCTTCTATTTAGGTGTTGAATTTTTTGACACCATTTGTTGGAGAGTCTGACCTTTTCTTCACTGTTTGGTCATGATAACCTAGTAAAAAATTATTTGATAATATTCCCAAAAGTTTATTTCTTGGTTCTCTGTTCTGTTCCATCAACCATTTGTTTGTCTTTATGCCAATATCACAATGGTTTTATTTTTGTAGCTTTGGAATCAGTTTTGACATCATGAGGTGTGGTACCTCTAACTTTGTTTTTTTCTAAAGCTGTGTTGGCTATTCATGGTCCCTTGTGATTACATATGAATTTTAGGATTTTATCAAATATCTCTGTAAGAGAAGTAACATTGGAATTTTAATAAGGCTGACATGGAATTTGTGCATCACTGAGTAGTATTGACAGCTTAACAATACTAAGTCTCCTGACTGAGAAATGTATGTGTATGTTTATGTCTGTGTTTGTGAATGTTTGGAATTGCATCAGAGATCATGTAAGGTGAAGAGAAAGAGTACAAAGTGTTTCTATGGCCTGTCTCTGGACTCCTGCACATTCCGAACCATGGAAGGTAGGCAAACCACATGATCTCCAGCTGTTTTATCTTTTTAGATGTATCATTGTCAAGTTGGTATGGCAATAAAAATGTCTTTCAAAAGTTGAAAACAAATGTCCGTCTTTGGCCCAATCTCACACACAAATACCCAGAAAGTTGGAAGTTAAGGAAGGTAAATTCTCAGTGGTGGAATTGTAGGTTATTTTAATTCACTTTATTGAATTGCTTTTTATTTTCTAATGTTTGGCATTGTGTCATTTAATTAAAATAAAACATCATATATGTTTTATCCTTGCCTTTATTTGTATATCCATGTAAAATGAAGAAAGAAAGAACAAAAGAAAGGGAGAGAAAAAGAAACAAAATGTAAGAATTTAAAAAATGAAAGGAAGAAAGGAAGCAGAGAAAAAAATAAAATTTTAAAAGTGCTATAAATTAGAGCCAAGAAAGCATCTGGATAACGTAATCACTGTTTTGCTATACAAGGCCCAAGCCAGCAGGGCCTCCTGGGAGAGACAGAGATATTGGAGACTGCAAATAACTCCTAAACAATTTCCATTTTTATCGCTTTTCATTCATTGTGTAAGTTACCTACACTTTTTTTGTCAGCTGAAACTAATTCCAGTTGTCTAACAATATTTTACTTTGTTATTATAATCCAGGTTCAAAAAATAAGAATAAAAGTGTTTTCTAGGCTGGTTGCTTATTTGTAAATTAGTCTAGGCAGAATGATCAGTCTAGAAAAGAATCCTTTATTAGCATTCTGAACAGGGATCCTGGCCAAGAGGAGGAATTCTCCAGAAAGGAGCCAGGGATCTCAGTATAAGAAAAACTCTCGGTCGGGTTCAGTGACAATCACAAGCAATTTCACTCTGACCAGATTAGACTCTGGCTGGCAGTGTGGAAAAAGCCCAACTTTGGGAGAATCAAACCAGGACCTTCCAGGTATTCATTCATTTACCAAGAAAGCATTGATGATGTAAAGTGATGTGCATCACACTGTGTTTAGGGCAATCAAAGTTAAATAAAAATGCATAAGGCATATCCACCTTTCTGGAAACACACTCTAGTTGGGTGCATCTGAATGCCTACATTTGGTGTTGCTATTCTGGGGAATGTGATGATATTATTGTGGTTTTAGTAGCATTTCCTAATGAGTAATAATATTGAAACATTTTACATGCCACTTAGAATTTGTCTATTCAAATGCTTTATTCGTGTTGCATTGGTAAATTATTGTATTAACTCATAAGAGTTCTCTTAATATATTTATTCCTAGACCCAAATCAGATTTAAAACTTAAAATGTTTTGCCATTAAATATTTTGTCTTTTGTATTCATTATGATTCTGTTCAAAAAGCAAATGTTTTTCTGTTTCATGAAGTAGTATTCTTTATTTTTCTCTTGTTTTGAGACAGGGTCTCTGTCACCCAGTCTGGAGTGCAGTGGCACAATTGTGGCACACTGCAGCCTCAATCTCCTCTCCTGAGGAGCTGGGACTACAGGCCTGTGCCCCAGTGCCCAGCTTTTTTTTTTTTTTTTTTTTTTTTTTTCGTAGACATGAAGTCTCACTATGTTGCCCAGGGTGGTCTCAAACTCCTGGGATTGTGTAATTCTCCCACCTCAGCCTCTCCAAGAGCTAGGATTACAGGCATAAGCCATTGATCCTGGCCTAAGTTTTTCTTATTCTTGATTTTGCTTTTGTGTAATACCTAAGATATTTTTTGCCTAATCCAACATTATAAAAATTTACTCTAATTTTTGTCCAGTGAATATGATAATTTTAACTTTTAAAATTAGAGATATAATCAATTTTTAATATTTTATTTTGTGTGGTTTGAGTTAGGTGGTTCAGCTTTATTTGTTTGCATGTTGACAACTGATTTCTCAGTATCATTTGTTGAAGAAACTTCTGCTATTAAAATTTCTTGGCATCTTTGACAAAATTAATTTTACCACAAAGTAATATATTTATTAATATACCACAAATTCTATTCCTTTAATCTATAAAAATCTATTTTTTTCACTGTATTTCCAACTCTTAAGTCCAGGGGTACATATGCAGGATGTGTGGGCTTGTTACTTGGGTAAATGTGTGCCATGGTGGTTTGCTGCACAGATCATACAGTCACCCAGGTATTAAGCCCAGCATCTGCTAGCTATTCTTCCTGATCCTCTACTTCCTCTCACCTTCCATACTCAGGCCCCAGTGTGTGTTTTTCCCCCCATGTGTACATGTGTTCTCATTAATTAGCTCCCACCTATAAGTGAGAACATGCAGTATTTGGTTTTCAGTTCCTGCGTTAATTTGCTAAAAATAATGGCTTCTAGATCTATCCATGTCACTGCAAAGGACATGATCTCGTTCCTTTTTATGGATGCATAGAATTTCATGGTGTTTATGTATCACATTTTCTTTATCTAGCCTGTCATTGATGGGCATTTAGATTCATCCCATGTCTTTGCTATTATGAGTGGTGCTGCAATGAACATACACGTGTATGTGCCTTTATAATGAAACAATTTATAATCCTTTAGGTGTATACCCAGTTATGGAATTGCTGGGTCAAATGGTATTTCTTCCTCTAGGTCTCTGAGGAATTGCCACACTGTCTTCCACAATGGTTGAACTAATTTACACTCTCACCAATGGTGTAAGAGCATTCCTTTTTTCCCACAACCTTACCAGCATCTGTTGTTTTGTGACTTTTTTGTTATAGCCATTCTGACTTGTGTGAGATGATATCTCATTGTAGTTTTGATTTTGATTTATATTTATTTATTTATTTATTTATTTATTTATTTATTTATTTATTTTTGAGACAGAGACTCATTCTGTTGCCAAGGCTGGAGTGCAGTGGCATGATCTCGGTTTACTGCAACCTCCACCGCCTGGGTATAAGCGATTCTTCTGCCTTAGCCTTCTGAGTAGCTGGGATCACAACAACCACCAACATGCCTGGCTAATTTTTTGTATTTTTAGTAGAAATGGGGTTTCACCATGTGGCCAGGCTGGTGTTGAACTCTTCACCTCAAGTGATCCGCCCACCTCAGCCTCCCAAAATGCTGAGATTACAGGTGTGAGCCACTGCGTTTGGCTTGCTTTTTTCTAATGATCAGTGATGTTGAGCTTTTTTTCATATGTTGGTTGGCCACATGTATGTCTTCTTCTGAGAAGTGTCTGTTAATATCCTTTGCCCACTTTCAAATGGGGATGTTTGTTTTCTTCTTGTAAATTTGTTCAAGCTTTTTATAGGTGCTGGATATTTGACCTTTGTCAGATGCATAGATTGCAATTTTTTTCTATTTTGTAGGTTGTCTGTTTACTCTGTTGACAGTTTCTTTTTCTGTGCAGAAGCTCTTTAGTTTAATTAGATCTCATTTTTAAATTTTTGCTTTTCTTGAAATGGCTTTTTGCATCTTTGTCATGAAATCTTTGCCCATGCCTATGTCCTGAATGATACTGCCTTGGTTTTCTTCTAGGGTTTTTATAGTTTTTGGTTTTACATTTAAGTCTTTAATCCATTCTGAGTTGATTTTTGTATATGGTGTAAGAAAGGGATTCAGTTTCAGTTTTCTGCATATGGCTAGCCAGTTCTCCCAACACCATTTATTAAACAGGACATTCTTTTCCCATTGCTTGTTTTTGTCAGATTTGTTGAAGACCAGGTGGTTGTAGGTGTGCAGTCTTATTTATGGGTTCTCTATTCTGTTCCATTGGTCTATCTGTCCGTTCTTGTACCAGTACCATGCTATTTTGGTTTCTGTAGCCCTGGAGTATAGTTTCAAGTCAGGTAGCCTGATGCCTCCAGCTTTGTTCTTTTTGCTTAGAATTGCCTTGGCTATTTGGACTCTTTTTTGGTTCCATATGAATTTTAAAATAGTTTTTTTCTAGTTCTGTGCAGAATGTCAATGGTAGTTTAATGGGAATAGCATTGAATTGAATCTATAAATTTCTTTGGGTAGTATGGCCATTTTCATGATATTGATTCTTCCTAGGTATGGGCATGGAATGTATTTCCATTTGTTTGTGTCACCTCTGATTTATTTGAACCATGGCCTTTAGTTCTTCTTGAAGAGGTCCTTCACTTCCCTTGTTAGCTGTATTACTAGGTATTGTATTCTTTTTGTGGCAGTTATGAATGGGAGTTCATTATTGATTTGGCTCTCAACTGGCCTGTTTTTGGTACATAGGAATGCTAGAGATTTTTTTTTTCATTGTTTTTGTATCCTGAGACACTGCTGAAGTTGCTTGTCAGCTTAAGAAGCTTTTGGGCTGAGACAGTGGGGTTTTCTAGATATAGGATCATGTCATCTGCAGAGAAGATAGTTTAATTTCCTCTCTTTTTATGTGACTACACTTTATTTCTTTCTCTTGCCTGATTGCCGTGGCCACAACTTCCAATACTGTGTTGAATAAAAGTGGTGAGAGTGGGCATCCTTATCTTGTGCTGATTTTCAAGGCAAATGCTTCCAGCTTTTGCCCATTCAGTATAATGTTGGCTGTGGGTTTGTCATAGGTGCCTCTTATTATTTTGAGGTACATTCCTTCAATACTTAGTTTATTGAGAGTTTTTAACATGAAGGATGTTGAATTTTATCAAAGGCCTCTTCTGCATCTATTGAGAAATATCATGTGGTTTTTGTCCTTAGTTGTGTTTATGTGATGAACCACATATATCGATTTGTGTATGTTCAACCAACCTTGCATCCCAGGGATGAAACCTACTTGGTCATGGTGGATAAGCTTTTCAATGGGCTGCTGGGTTGAGTTTGCCAGTATTTTGTTGAGGATTTTTGCATCCATGTTTATCAATAATATTGGCCTGAAGTTTTCTTTTTTTGTTGTTGTATCTCTGCCAGGTTTTGGTATCAAAATAATGCTGGCCTCATAGAATGCCTTAGGGAGGAGTCTGTCATTTTCATTTTTTCTGGCATAGTTTCAGTAAGAACGCTACCAGCTCTTCTTTGTACCTCTGGTAGAATTCAGCTTTGAATCTGTCAGGTCCTGGGCTTTTTTTGGTCAGTAGACTCTCTATTACTGTCTCAAATTCAGAACTTGTAATTGGCCTATTTAGGGGTTCAATTTCTTCCTAGTTCAGTCTTGGGAGGGTTGTGTGTCCAGGAATGTGTTTATTTATTCTAGATCTTCTAGTTTATATGTGTAGAAGTATTTATAATATTCTCTGATTGTTGTTTGTATTTCTGTGGAGTCAGTAGTAATATCTCTTTTATTATTTCTGATTGTGTTTATTTGAATCTTCCCTCTTCTTTAGTAGTCTAGCTAGAAGTCTATTTTATTAATTTTTTCAAAAAAGCTCCTGGATTTGTTGACATTTTGAAGGGTTTTTTTGTGTCTCTATTATGTTCTGTTCAGCTCTGATCTTGGTTATTTTTTGTCTTATGCTAACTTTGGGGTTTGTTTGCTCTTGGTTCTCTAGTTCTTTTAGTTGTAATGTTAGGTTGATGACTTGAGATCTTTTTAGCTTTTTAATATGGACATCTAGTGCTGTAAGTTTTTCTCTTAACACTGCTTTAGCTGCATCTCAGAGATTCTGGTACATTGTCTCTTTGTTCTCATTAGTTTAAAAGAACTTCTTGATATTTGCCTTAATGTCATTATTTACCCATGAATCCTTAAGGAGCAGGTTGTTCAATTTCCATGTAGTTGCATGGTTTTGAGTGAATTTCTTATCCTTGAGTTCTACTTTGCTTACACTGTGATTTGAGACACTGTTTGTTATGATTTTAGTTTTTTGCACTTGCTGAGGCATGTTTTAATACTGATTATATGGTCAATTTTAGAGTAAGTGATATGTGGTGATGAGAACAATGCATATTCTGTTATTTTTGGGTGGAGAGTTCTGTAGATAATCTATCAGTTCCACTTAATTTAGGGCTGAGTTCACATCCTGAAATCTTTGTTAATTTTCTATCTTGATGTCTAATATTATCAATGGCTTGTTAAAGTACCCCACTACTATTATGTGGGAGTCTAAGTCTCTTTGAAGGTTGCTAAGAACTTACTTTATGAATCAGGGTGCTCCTGTGTTGGGTACATATATATTTAGGATAGTTCACTCTTTTTGTTGAATTGAAACCTTTACCCTTATGTAATGCCTTTCTTTGTCGTTTTGATGTTTGTTGGTTTAAAGTCTGTTTTATCAGAAACTAGGATTGCAACCTCTGCTTTTTTCTGTTATCTATTTGCTTGGTAAATTTTCATCCATCCCTTTATTTTGAGCCTATGTGTGTCTTTGCTTGTGAGATGGGTCTTTTGAAGACAGCGTACCAATGGTTCTTTGTACTTTATTCAGCTTGCCATGCTGTGTCTTTTAACTGGGGCACTTAACCTATTCGTATTTAAGGTTAGTATTGTTCTGTGTGATTTTGATCCTGTCATCATGATGCTAGCTGGTTATTTTATAGACTTGTTTATGTGGTTGCTTCATAGTGTCACTGGCTGACACTATGAAGTGTAGTGGCTGGTAATGGTAACTTTCCATATTTAGTGCTTCCTTCAGGAGATCTTGTCTGGCAAGTCTGCTGGTAATAAATTCCCTCAGTATTTGCTTGTCTGAAAAAATTTTATTTCTCCTTCACTTATGAAGCTTAACTTAGCCAGATATGAAATTCTGGGTTGGAATTTCTTTTCTTTAAGAATGTTGAATATTGGCCCCCAATCTCTTCTGGCTTGTAGGGTTTCCACTGAGAGGTCTGCTGTTAGTCTGATGGGCTTCTGTTTGTAGGTGGCCTGACCATTCTCTCTGGCTGCCTTAACATTTTTTCTTTCATTTTGACCTTGGAGAATCTGGTGATTATATGACTTGGGAATGGTCTTTTCATGGAGTATCTTACTGGGGTTCTCTGCATTTCCTGAATTTGAATGTTGGCCTGTCTAGCTAGGTTGAGGAAGTTCTCCTGGATGATATCCTGAAATATGTTCATACGTCTCAGAGGTTTTGTTCATTCCTTTTCATTTTTTTCTCTATTCATGTCTGCCTGTCTTATTTCAGAAAGGACAGTCTTCAAGCTCTGTGATGTTTTTCCTCCACTTGGTCTATTGTGCTATTAATACTTGTGATTACATTGTGAAGGTCTTGTAGTGTGTTTTTTCAACTTTATCAGGTCATTTATGTTTCTATGTATACTGGCTATTTTGGCTGTCAGCTCCTGCATTGTTTTAACTTGATTCTTAGCTCACTGGGTTACAATGTGCCCCTTTAGCTCAGCAAAGCTCATTTGTATTCACATCCTGAAGCCTACTTCTATCATTTCAGCCATTTCAGCCTCAGCCCAGTTCTGAACTCTTGTTGGAGAGGTGTTGCAGTCATTTGGAGAACATGGTGCACCCTTACTTTTTGAGTTTTCATCATGTTTGTGCCACTTCTTATCTTTGTGGGCTTATCTATTTTCAATCTTTCAGGTTGCTGACCTTTGGATGGGGTTATTGTGGGGGTTTTTTGTTGTCGTTTGTCTGTTTGTTTTTCTTTTAATCATCTGGTTGCTCTTTTGTAGGGCTACTGTGGTTTGCTGGGGGTCCACTCCAGGCTTGGTTTTTTTGTTTTTTTGTTTTTTGGGGTTTTTTTTGTTTTTGTTTTTGTTTTTTGTTGAGACGGAGTCTCGCTCTGTAGCCCAAGCTGGAGTGCAGTGGTGTGATCTCGGCTCACTGCAACCTCCACCTCCAGGGTTCAAACGATTCTTCTGCCTCAGCCTCCCGAGTAGCTGGGACTACAGGTGTGCACCACCACGCCCAGCTAATTTTTGTATTTTTAGTAGAGACAGGGTTTCACCATATTGGCCAGACTGGTCTCGAACTCCTGACCTCAAGATCCACCCACCTTAGCCTCTCAAAGCACTGGGATCACAGGCATGAGCCATGTGAGCCACTGTGCCTGGCAGTCACCTTGGTTTTTTAAGTACCTGGAAGTATCACCAGTTAAGGTTGCAATACAGCAAGGATGGCAGCATGCACATTCCTCTGGGGTCTCCATCCCAGGGGGTACTGACCTGTTGACTGCCTGAACACAACTGTAGGAGGTGGCTGGAGACCATGGTTTGGAGGTCTCACCCAATCAGGGGAAAGGGGATGAGCAACCAATTAAAGGAGGAGTCTGGCTGTGTTTTGGTAGAGCAACTGTACTGTGTTGGGGGGATTTGTTCAGCCCCCAATTGGCTTGGGCTCTCCAAGGCCCACAGGCTGCACTGGCTGAGATGCCCAAACAGCAAAGATGGTGACCCACTCTGCCTCCTGGGCACCCCCATCCCAGGGAGAAATTAGAACTCTGTTGGCCTTAGAACATGGGCATGGGTGGCAGGAAGCCCTGGCTGGGAGTACCTGCCCAGCAAGGAAAAATGGATTGGGGTCCCATTTAAAGAAACAGTTATGCCATGCCTCGACAAAACAGCCATTCCATGCTGGGGAACCACCTTTGTCCCAGTCAGCTTGGACTCATAAGCTGGAATGGCTGAGTCACACAAACAGCTAAGGTAGCAGCCCATCTTCCCCTTTCTGAGCACTCTATCTTAGGGAGAAATCAGAACTCTGTTCATAGAATATGGGTGGGGCTGGCTGGAGGCCCCTGCTGGGAAGACTCATCCAGCGAGGATAATGGATTGGGTTTTTATTTGAAGAAGCAGCCTGGCCATATCTTGGTAAAACAGCTGTGCTGTGCTGTGCTGTGGGGTCCCTTCCTCATTCGGATTGTTTGGATTCTCCAAAGCCAACGTCCAAGCAGCAAAGATAGTGGCCTGGCCCTCCCCCAGGGGCTCTGACCCATCTCAGTCAGGTGCTAGGCTGTTGCTGGTGGCTGGAATTCCAAGCCAGTGGGTCTTATCATATGAGGTGCAGTGGAAGTGGGGCCCACAGACTGTTGCTGCTCATCCCCCTGGATTCAGCCTCTTCCTGGAGGCATGCACTGACCTCCCACCTTGTCTGAGTTGCAGTCACCTTTGTTGGAAATCCCAGGACTGAAGTGTGTAAAGCTCCTGGGTCTCTGTGTGTGTCTAAGCAGCTGCTCTACTGAGACTCCACACAACTCTGTGTGTCAGGCCCAAGGCCCTGGTCAAGTGGGCTCACAAGGGGCTCTCCTAATACAAGGGTTGCAAAGATTTGTGGGAGAAGTGTGGTTTCCTAGGGTTGCAAATTCACTCACCCCTATTCTTGGCTGGGGCTGGGCGTTTTGTTGGCTCTGTGTCACTCCCAGATAGGTCCTCAAAATCTATCCTTATAGTAGTACCCTATTGTTTGGTTATGATAACATTTTAGTAAGAACTGATATCAGAAGTAAATTTTGTTTTTATTTTCAAAGTCTCATGTGTGTTTGATTTTTTTTTTTTGCACATCCATATAGAATTTAGAAAGAGCAGCTTGTCAATTTACATTGAAAATAATTTACTTTGAAATTTACATTGAATCTGTAGATTATTTTTTTTTTTTTTTTTTGAGATGGAGTTTTGTTCTTGTCACCCAGGCTGGAGTGCAATGGTGCAATCTCGGCCCACTGCAACCTCTGCCTCCTGGGTTCAAGCAATTCTCCTGCCTCAACCTCCCGAGAAGCTGGGATTACAGGCATGTGCTACCATGCCCGGCTACTGTAAATGTTTTCATTGGGTATTTTGATCATAACGTTTCTTATTGATAACCTTGAATATTAGATATATCTTTCCTTATACAGTTTTAAAAATTTCTTTCAGCATTTTAAATAATTTTCACTGTAAAGTATGTGTACTTGCTTTTAAAAATATGTTCCCAAATGGTTTTTCCAATGTTATTATTAAATTTTTTCTTGACTTAATTTTTAGTATGTCGATTACTGTTATATAAAAGTATTATTTCATCTTGTATATTAATCTCGTATTTTGTGACATTAATAAACTTTATTAGTTCAAGTAAGTTTTTGATAAATTTATAATAGTTTTTTATACAACACTATGGCAAGGAAATAGTATTCTACTTCTTTTCTAATCTGAAGGTTTTATTTATTTTTCTAGTATAGTTTTCTGGCTAGTACTTCCAGTACAGTGTTAAACAGAGTGGAAGAAATGTACATTCTTGTTCCATTTTTTGAACTTACACATAAAGTCTGCAATTATCCACCAGTAAGTGTACTATTAGCTGTTGATTTTTTATACATGCTTTCTAGCAGGTCTTAGAAGTTCCATTCTAGTAGTTTTCTGAGTGTTTTATCATAAATAGGTGCTGGATTTGTCAAACTTTTGCATCTATTTAAGTTGTCACTTTTTTCTATTGTTCAAGTAACATTTTGTAATATGTTGATTTTTAAAATATTAAGCCAACACTGCATTTGTGAAAAACTATTACTTGGTCATTGTATGTAATCAGTTTTACATATTGCTAAATTTAGTTTGCTAACATTTCTGATAATTTCATCAGGAATTCTATATTTATATAGGATTTTGGTCCACAGTCTTCTTTATTTGTGATCCTTTTGTCTGCTTTTAGTATCACAGTACTCCTGGCTAATAGATAAACAGAAAAATCTTACCTGTTCTAGGCCGGGTGCGGTGGCTCACACCTGTAATCCCAATACTTTGGGAGGCCGAGGCAGGCAGATCACGAGGTCAGGAGACCGAGACCATCCTGGCTAACACAGTGAAACCCCGCCTGTACTAAAAATACAAAAAATTAGCCAGGCGTGGTGATGGGCGCCTGTAGTCCCAGCTACTCAGGAGGCTGAGGCAGGAGAATGGTGTGGACCCGGGAAGTGGAGCTTGCAGTGAGCTGAGATCATGCCACTGCACTCCAGCCTGGGTGAGAGAGCAAAACTCCATCTCAAAAAAAAAAAAAAAAAGAAGTTTTAAGTCAATATAATGAGGAAAATAGTAAATATATTAATAATGTGGAAGAAACAAGAAGCTATAAGGTGACAAATCTTATTTGGAAAAAGTCAAATATAAAGTAAACAATTAAAGATTAATCAGTCTATTTAATTTACAACATTTGAGTGAAACATTGAATTAGTCTGAGCTAACGAGAAGATTAGGGAACCTAGAATACTGAGCAGAATTAGTGTAAAAGCAGAAAAGGAGAAGAAGTTATATAACCACAAATATACATTTATGAAAAGTAGAATGAGAGGAAATAAAACAAATCTATTTTTTTCAACTGAGCGTGGTGGCTCATGCTTGTAATCCCAGCACTTGGGGAGGCTGGGGCGGGCAGATCACAAGGTCAGGAGTTTGAGACCAGACTGACTAACATAGGGAAACCCCGTCTCTACTAAAAATACAAAAATTAGCTGGGCGTGGTTGTGGGTGACTGTAATCCTAGCTACTTGGGAGGCTGAGGAAGGAGAATCACTTGGACCCAGGAGGCAGAGGTTGCAGTGAGCTGAGATCGTGCCACTGCACTCCAGCCTGGTGACAGAGCAAGACTCCATCTCAAAAAATATATATATATTTTTTTCTACAGAATATATTTTCAAAAGTGAAGTCAATATTTAGAGTTGGTATCTTCTAAGTTTCTAAAATCAAAAACCAGACATAAGTCTTTTTTTTTTTTTTTTTTTTGAGATGGAGTCTCACTCTAGTCACCCCAGGCTGGAGTGCGGTGGTGTCATCTCGGCTCACTGCAACCTCCGCTTCCGGGGTTCAAGCAATTCTCCTGTCTCAGCCTCCTGAGCAGCTGGGACTACAGGCACACACCACGACACCTGGCTAATTTTTGTATTTGTTTTAGTAGAGACGGGGTTTTACCATATTGGTCAGGCTGGTCTTGAACTCCTGACCTTAGGTGATCCACCTGCCTCAGCTCCCCGAAGTGTTGGGATTTCAGGCATGAGTCACCGCACCCAGCCTAAGTCTTTAATAGAAGAAACACAGTGGGTCAAAAAATAAGGAAATTAAATACCAAAAATAGCCAAGCCACCTAACATCAAAGAGGAGAACAAATCACTATAAATCAGTGAGAGAAAAAATATATACTTTACAAGGATGGAAGTAAAATGTCCACAACTTGTGTAGAACCAAAACCAGAAAAATAAATATAAATGGAAATGTGAGAAATTATTCTTAAAGCTGGAAATGGACACTTACCAGCAATACCTTCATCAAAATGGGTAAGTTAAAATATTTTGAAAAGAAAAATATTAATTTGGTCATCAACAGCGTTACGGGTGGGTCTTTGTTCTTAGAGCTCCCAAGATGGTGGCAGGCTGCTCCCAAGATGGGGCGGGCCGCTCCCAAGATGGTGGCAAGACTTTTATTCTCTGACCTGGGGTTCTTGGCCTCATGGATTCCAAGGAATGGAACCTTGGGCCATGCAGTCAGTGTTATAGCTCTATTAGAAGCCCTGGGTCACGGAAGAGAACCGTGGAACCCAGGGACTAGTGTTCAGCTCAATTAGGATGAACCCAGGCACTTAGCCACACAGGAACAATGGTGAGCCTCTAGCACAGTCAGGAGTGGCAATGGGCACCTCACTGGATCAGAAGTGCAGTGGACACCCTGCTGGATCCAGAAGGTTGGAAGTCAGTGGTGGGTCTGCGATGGTGGTGATCAGCAGTGGTGGATGGCAAGCGATAGCTCAGCTCGAGCCGGAACAAACGCAGACCAGAAGAGTGTGCAGTTGCAAATTTAATAGAGTGAAAACAGAGCTCCCATACAGTGGGAGGGGACCCAAAGGGGGTTGCCACTCCCTGCTTGAATGCCTGGGTTTATATCCCAATCATTGTCCCTCCCCCTGTGCTCTCAGTTGATACATGATTTGACTATTTCTTTACCTCTTGCTTTTAGCTTAATTTGTATTTTAGTGAACCCTCTTTACTACCTGATTGGTGGGGTGTGAGCTGAGTTACAAGCCCCGTGTTTAAAGGTGGGTGCGGTCACCTTCCCCAGCTAGGCTTAGGAATTCTTAGTCAGCCCAGGAAATCCAGCTAGTCCTGTCTCTCAGTCCCCCCTCTCAACAGGAAAACCCAAGTGCTGTTGGTGAGGTTGGCTGGACAACTCTTAACTGCTATCTGCTGAACTGGGGCATAGTAGGGGTCATGCAGTTGAGATTTCCTCGGGAGGGGTGCCTTCAATGTCATCAACATCAGAGCAGGGGCTAGCAGGCCAGTCCATGGGTCCACAGTAGATCTTAGTCACGGACTGCATCTGGGGCTCCATTTGAAGAATGATTTGTAGTTTTACAGCTTCGATTCTGGAAGAGACAAACTTAACAAGGGGGTTAAAGATACAGAGATTGAAATGTATGACCTGCAGTGCAGGGTATTATTTCTTCAGCACACTTCACAGGCCCTGACTATCTGCTTGATAGCTTTTAAAAGGCCTGGTCCAGTAAATAATGATTTGGCCATCTGATGGGTGCTATCAATGCCTAAGTGAAAGGTTTGGTGAAGAATTTTAAGTAATTTCCATTGGTTAGCTGCAGGCAAAAGTATTTTCCTTCTTCAGTGGCTAGCCATCCTGAGGGGAGGAAACTATGTCCTTGTGAGGTTCCCCATTCTATTTCTTCTGCTGAGTACTGGGGCTTGGTTTCCCAGAGGGGATTACACCTTACTAGGGGTCCTTCTATAAGTATTTCTAATGGAGGGTTCCACCTTGCGGCTCTTTTCGCTTCAATATCTGCTTGGCAATTCCCTTCTATTTCCCTTTCCTTTCCTTTCCTTTCTGGTGACCCCGGCAGTGTTAGATTGCCACCTCTTTAGGTTTCTGTACAGCCAATAATAATCTCCTAATGGCTTCCTGGTGTTTGTTAGGTGTTCCCTCAGAAGTTAGGAATTCCCTTTCTCTCCATATTGCTGTGTGGGCATGGAGGACTAGGTAAGCATACTTACAGTCTGTATATAGATTTACCCTTTTTCCTTCTCCTAATTCTAGTGTATAATGGCCCCGGCTTTTGCTAGGATGTCTCTCCCTAAGAAAGGAGTGGGGCTTTCAGGCATAATTAGAAAGGCATGTGAAAAGAGTAAAGTTCCTCAGTCACAACTTAGTGGCTCAGAGAAGTATCTAGTGACTGTCTGTCCTAGGAACCCTTGGATAGTGACAGATCTGGAGGACAGTTGTCCGGGAGAGGAGAGTAAGACTGAGAAGGCTGCACCAGTGTCCAGGAGGCAGTTAACCTCCTGGTCCTCAATGGTCAAGCATACCCGGGGCCCAGTGAGGGTGATGGCATGGGCTGGCACTTGCCCCAGGCACCCTCAGTCCTGCTGCTGGATCATCTGGTTAGTGGCTTCTGACTAAGAGAACCTTCATCCCCTGGGGCAGTGGGCCTTACAGTGATTCCCTTGACATAAGGGCATGGACAAGGGGGTGGATTATTTCTATTCAGACAATCTTTTTTAAAGTGTCCTTGTAGACCGCACTGGAAGCAGCCCCTATTAGGCATTTGATTTGCCCAGCCTTTCCCTGTTCCAGAGCCTCCAAAGTCCACTTGCCTGAAGGCCATGACTAAGGTGGCCTTTTTCTTATCCCATTTATCCCATTCTGCCTGCTCCTCTTGATCTCTATTATAAAAAACCAAGGCTGCCAAGTTCAATAGGGTTTCTAAGTTTTGCTCCGGGCCTAAGGCGGGCTCTTGAAGTATTTTTCTAATGTCTGCAGCTGACTGAATGATAAACTTATCCTTTAAGATAGTTGGCCCTCAATAGAGTCAGGTGACAGAAAGGTATGCTTCCTCAATGCCTCCCTTAGTCTCTCCAGAAAGGCAGTAGGATTTTCTTCCTTTCCCTGTGTTACAGTGGACATCATTGAATAATTTATAGACTTCTTCCTAGTTTTCCTTAGTCTCCTATCACAAAAATTAGTAAATGTCTGTGGCACCAATCTCCATGTTCTGATTCTGCATCCCAATGAGGGTCTACACTGGGACCTGCCTGCTTACCTGTGGGGAATTGTTCTTTTTCCTCTGTTGTTATCCTATCTTTGACCTGACTGAGATATCAGAGATCGCCAAACTCTCAGGCTACAGTTATGGTGGCACTTCTCTCATTTGGGGTTAGTGTCTGATCTAGCAGTAGCATTATATCTCTCCATGTCAGATCAAAGGATTCTCCTAACCTTTGTAAAACATCAATATAGCCGTCAGGGTTATCAGAGAATTTACCTAGGTCTATTTTAATTTGCTTCAAATCTGAGAGGGAAAAAGACAAATGCACTCTGACTGGGCCAAATTCTCCAGAATACATCTTAGGGGCATTTTTGCCTTGGGGGAATGTTTCCCATCTGAAAAAAGAACATAGGGATGCCACTACCCCTAGCCATTTTCCGATGAGCATTAGTCCTAGGGCATCCTTTATGGTCCTAATGCTTATTCCTTTCCAGGGTGTGTAACCACCCATGGACCTCTGCTTATCAAATTAGTTATGCTCACCAATGTAGCAGTCCTGCACCCCTTTTCCTGCCTTTCTTGACCACAAAGAAAGGGGTCCAGGCTGCTGGATTCTAGTGGTCCTTTACCAGAGTGCCCAACATTGCCTTTGTGCTCAGGGGTGAGTCCTAGAGCTGGGCTGGGTTCCTGAGTATTTCATAACAACCCAGCTGCCCCATCAAGATGCATCCCTATAAACAACAGTTCTTATGCAAATTCATTTCAGAGAGGGTGTAGGTAACCTTTTGAGTCAGGATTGAGATAGTTTTTTGATTCTGTAAGTACTTTAAGGCTTGGCTGAGTGCAAACAGCTCACACGTTTGGGCAGACCAATTATTAAGCAATTCTCCTAACTCTGCTTCCATAAGAGACTCCCTGTCAATTACTGCATACACATTGTGGTTTTTTTTCTCAATCACCCGGGAGGAACCATCTGTTGTCCTGTCCTGAAGGGAGTTCCTCCTTAGTCTGGTCGGACCTTTGTATGGTAATTAAGATTTAAATCCCCTGTTAGGAAATCTGCTGGGTTAAGGGAATTTTCAGTGATTAATGTTAAATCACCTTTTTCTAATAGAATAGCCCTATACTTTAAGATTTTTGAGTTAGTGAGCTACGTTTTTGCTTTTTTTTTTTGACTTAGGATAGCTCTGAACTGGTGAGGTGTGCTCACAATGAGGTTTCCTCTAAAAGTTATTTTTTTACTATCTTCTGTTAGCAAAGCAGTTGCCGCTACAGATTGAATGCATTTGGCCCATCCACGGGTTACTGGGTTAAGAATTTTTTATAGGAAGTCTACGGGCTGTCAGTGGTCTCAGTGTTTTCAGGCTACACCCTTGTTTACGCTGACAACAAGGTAGTATTGGAGGGTTATAGGGTCACGGAGAAGACCTTCAATTATCAATTATAGGTTTTAAATTTACCCTGGCTTTTAAAGGAATAGGGCACACTTTTTTCTTTACTACTTCTGTCTTTCTCTTTTTTTCTCTCTTTGACTCCCTCTTTGTCTCTCTGCCTCTTTCCTTTCTCTCTCTGCTTCTCTTTCCTCTCTCTCTCTCCCCTCTCTCTCTCCCTCTCTCTCCCTCTCTTTTTCCTCTCTCTCTCTAACTTACTCAATTCGCCTTCAACCTGATCTATTATTTGCCTTAGACCCAGTTCCAGTTGTTAAAGTACTGGGTTATCACTTCTAAGGCCCTGGCCAAGGAGCCAAGGCTTGGAGATTGTATTGCAGAGGGGTCAGCTGGGTAGAAATTGGGGAAGGAGAGCATCTTACACAATGGGAGGGCAATCTTCCTAGCCATTTACAAACTTGGGGCCCTGGCAAGGGTGGTGGGGAACAGGTCCCACATAACTGCCCATGTCAAGAGCTGTATGCCTAAATTGGGAGGGACACCAGAGACAAGACTCTCTGGGTTCATAGCCTAGGGGCATAAAGACGCAGTGTAGAGCTTCCTTAGATACCTTTGGAGATACAACTTGCTAGAGGAAATGAAAGGCTGAACCATTAGTGCCTAGGAGGCAGGGATCAGAGGAAATAGATACAGAGGTAAGGAGAATTTTGAGGCTACACTTTCAAGAAAGTCGTGGTCAGGACCCAGGAGGTATGGGTCAGAAGGAAAGGTAGGGGTGCATGCATAGGCAACTGTTGAGAAGAGACTTCTGGCTGCACCGTGATCTCAACCAGCTAATGCTGAGAGTTTGGGATGACAGCTTTCTGCCACTAGTCAGCCCTCAGCTTCCCCAGGAAAATTGTGAAAGTGGAAGCTGGTTCCAGGCAGACCAACACTCCCAACCCAGAAGGGTTGGGGGTTGTTAGAAAGCCCTTCCCAGGAAGGCTGACACCTGAGTCTTTAGTCTGGCAGCCACGCTAATCATTTTTAACTGGCTGACAGGTGCCCAGTATTTTCCTCCAATTCTAAGGAAGGATAGGACAGAATAGCAAGTGAAAGTGGTCTGATATTACTCACTGCTTTGGAGAATCCCCATATGAGGCCACTAAATGTTATGGGCGGGTCTTTGTTCTTAGAGCTCCCAAGATGGGGGCAGCCCATCCCCATCTTGGGAGTGGCCCGCCACATCTTGGGAGCTCTAAGAACAAAGACCTGCCCATAACAGTAGGAGCTTTTTAAGCATGTACTTCAAGAAAAAAGAAACATTTTTGTGTTTAAAGTTAAAAATAAAAATGAAAGAGTGAGAGACTTGATTTGGGAGTTGACATGTCCTTTACTCAGAGGTATCAGGACCTGGGAGCCTTTCACCCACATAAAACACTCTAGAGTTTACAAAACATTCCTATATTCCATTGCTTCTTTGATCTTTATACACTGTGAGGTGGTGCAAAATAGAGGCTTGAGCCCCATTTTTCATATAAAAAAAGATGGGGCTAAGAAAGACAAAGATAACACACAAAGCTTGGGTCAGAACTGGAACTGGAACACAGGACTCTCAAACCAGTGCTTTTCCTGTCACTAAATCACATGTAGGGCTAAGAATACATTAAGACTGCAAAAGATAGAGAATTGCTCAATGCATTCCACCAAGATTAGACCTGACCCACTCCAGAAAGCTAAGCCACTCTGGGGCCCTGGGGTGGAAAACTCAAGGAAGAGAATGATGCCTACATTTGCACATCTGAGCTCCAATCCAAGTGCTGCTACTCAGCTACAGAGCCTCACTTTCTCAGCCTCACCTTTTTCTGCTATAAAATGGAACTATGGAAGGCACCAAAAATCTCAGCATAAGGGCAGAACTGCACTCTAAATGCAGGAGTACCTGGCAGGTGGAAAGCACTCACTGACTTTTAGTTTAAGCACATGAGTAATATGTTGTGTTTCATTGTGTCTCTTCCATGGTGTTTCATTCATGGCTCCAGATCCTGGGGGCTTCTGATCAACCCTCCTGCTAAGTGATGGATGACTAGATGAATGAATGGGTGGATGAAAGTATGGATGGAAACATGGATGGATGGATGAATGCTCAGGAGAGCAGAAAGAAGTAAATGGAGTCAAAATGAGAATGAGGAGATGACTGAAGGATAAAGAGTTGATTTATGAGATAGAGGCATGGTCTCCAACCCTCCTATCCCCACACAGCCTCACCAACACCTGCCTTGGGGTAGCAGTGGCACTTGCTTCAGATGATGTCCCCAGGCACCATGACATAGCTGCAGAAGATGCCATAGACCTGAGGCTGATCATGGCTCATGAGAAACGTGCTAAGAGCCAGCAGAAAAAACCCAGCAGCACAATAAAGTTGATGTTGAAGCTCTTCTCATCTGCCATGGCTGCCTGGCCAGGTCATAGACTATGCACTCCTGGCAGAGGGGGTCCACGTCATCCAGCATAAACACCCAGACAGGCTCACAGGGAGGCATGAAGCCCTGTGATTGCTGCCAATTGAGGCTTAAAGTTAAAAGGAGAACAAGACCCCCTCAGGTCCAGACCCAGTGCCTGGGCCCACAAGTTCAGGTGGCAAGAGGGAGCGCACTTCAGTGAAAAATTGCACCCACCCACTCAACTTCATTCCTCACCATCCTGCCTTCCCTGCAGGCTAAGCAGTCCTGCAGGGCACCTATGAATCTGAATGAGAGAGTATTCAGGAAAGAGGGAAGGGAAAGTTACCAGGACTGGGCCCCAGCCAAGGATTTGACATCACCTTATTTGCCTACTATAGGGATGAACTAGGTGGACAGGTGGCCATATTATTACACTATATTAATACATATACACCTTTCAGCCCTGGGAAGCAGCATACAAGTCTGCAGGGAAAAGATGTTAGAATGCTGCTGGAGGATTCCGGGATCTCACAGGCTGGATTTCAGAGTCCTGAATTTTAGACTTTTCAAGGACATGTGCCCATCTGGGGTTCAGGCATAATAGTCTATATTAACTGATGGTGACTGTGTGCATGTCACCATAACATGTTACATTATTAACTCACTTAAGGGACTCCATGAGGCAGGTACTGCTATCTTCACTTTACAGAGGACATTGAGCACAGGCAAGTAACTTGCCCATGGTCACAAACCTGGAAATAGCAGAGCAGCTGGGATATGCACCCAGAGTCTGTGTACTTAGCCACAGTGCAGTCCTGCTTAACTGCAGAACAAAATTATGTGTGTGAGCTCTGATGGCAAGGCAAGCTGGCTGGGTTTAGATCCTGGCTCCTCTACTCTGGGGCAGAATGGTTGATCAAGTTACCTACTGTGCTTCATTTTCCTCCTCTGTAAAAGGGGCATAATAACTGTGCCTCCTAGGTTTGGAGCTGTCTTTGAGCCTAGCCTTTCTTTGTTCCCCTGTACCCTTCACATTCTGTGCACCATCCAGGCCTGCTTTTAATGAGCTTCTCCCATTCCCCACCATGACTCTGGTAAATTAATATCTGTGCAGCATGTGAATGACTGATAGCAACTAACTCAATTTCCTTGCATCCTAACCCAGAGAGATGCCTTCCTAAGAATGGTATTCTAATTTAGGATTTTAGTCCTGGGGACACCATGACTCTGGTAAATTAATATCTGTGCAGCGTGTGAATGACTGATAGCAACTAACTCAATTTCCTTGCATCCTAACCCAGAGAGATGCCTTCCTAAGAATGGTATTCTAATTTAGGATTTTAGTCCTGGGGACAGGCTGATGAGAGAGATAAGATTCCTTTACAGGATTACAGGAAAATAAGAACTATCAGTATCTCTAAAACAGAATGTTCACTTGGAGTGTTGATGGGGTTAAATGGCTGATGCAGGATAAAAGGCTTTCATTTGGCTCAGTGACTTGCTGGGTTTGGGGATTTTTCTCTTCTTGGTCATCACCTCCTGCCTTTTGCCCACCCCATGATGGTGCTTGTTCCCCTAACGCCACACCTGTGCTCACACCAAGCCTTCTGCCTGGTAGTCCTACCTACAGACCTGTTTTGTTTTTTCTTTTTCTAGACAATTAAGCTCAGAGTGATCTTTAACATGCCAGTCAATATTAATAAAACACAAGTCAAAGACAAGAGCAAAGATATTTTAGATCAAAATTAGTGAGAAAACAATGGAAAAATTGTATTTCTTTTTGCAAAATCTGTTTGCCAGTATGACTAGTCAAATGGCTAATCACAGATACAATGTATTTTGTGAAAAACTTAGAATGTCAGAAATAATTCTGGCATTTCAAACAGCTGTGTAGAGGATTACCAAGATCAGTTTATATACACAAACACTGCAGACAAACCTGGCAAAATATTGAACATCAGACTAACAGTACAATCGGATACAAAACTGGGGAGGAAGGAGGAGGTTTTTTTTTTTGTTTGTTTGTTTGTTTATTTGTTTGTTTTTGAGACAGAGTCACGCACTGTAGCCCAGGCTGGAGTACAGTGGTGTGATCTTGGCTCACTGCAACCTCTGCCTCCTAAGTCCTGATTCAGGCAATTTTTGTGCCTCAGCCTCCCAAGTAGCTGGGATTACAGGCATGTGCCACCATGTCCAGCTAATTTTTGTATTTTTAGTAGAGACAGGGTTTCACCATGTTGGCCAGGCTGGTCTTGAACTCATGACCTCATGATCCACCCACCTCAGCCTCCCAAAGTGCTGGCATTACAGGCATGAGTCACCGTGCCTGGCTGGTTTTTTGTTTTGTTTTGTTTTTGTTTTTTTTAGAGTCAGACTAGTACAATACCAGAAAAAATTACCAAACTCAGTAAATATTATTTGGCATTAATACAAAATTCCAAAGGTGAGGGGAAGGTGCATTTTTTTTTAATGCACCAGGTTTAAAGTTCAAAGGATAAAAGGCAAATAGTTGTTTTCATCAAGAGCAGCTGTACATTTCACATAATTTTTTCAAAAGGAAAGGCTATTAACAACAGTGATTATTTAATGCTGCAAGTTTACAGCAAAGACAAAACTAAATAGCAAATTCACAAGGCAATACTTCCACAGAACTATCATCCCATGTCTCATGCAATGCCTAAAAAGTGCTCTTAATTGGATATACAAGTATAATTAACGTTAAAAAAGAAGAAATATAAATTTGACACGCAGATACATTAAAGGCTGAGTAGTAATGAGTGGTTTTAATATTTGCCTTGTCGAGAGGAGAATATGTTTGTCATCAAGCACTTGAATCCTTTCCCCAGGTCACTACAGGAAAAGATATCTTCATTAAAGTGCAACAGCACACTGAGAGCAACACACCACCACAGCAGTTAATTTTGGAAAGGCCACTGTAAGCTCCACTAGTGACTGACATTTTACAGATGACAGATTGGTGAGTACACAAAAGCCTGAAAAAGCTATGGTCAAAATACAGCTTTCAATTGTAATTCACAAATAAAAGTCCTAATCAGTAAAACTACTGACACCAATAGAGAGAGTAATTGCAAATTGAATTCTAGCAGTGATTTCAACCTAGCTTGCTTTTATCACAGTGTTATTTTGGTGGGGTGGTTAGGTAGGAAATGAGTAGCTTAGTATACTGGAAGGCTGATAGAGCACTTAATTTTCTTTCTAATAAGTCAAGATGTTGTGTTCCTCTGGGTGGTGGACCTACTGGCCTCTGATCAGTGAAAAGTGCTCCTTCCTCAGCTGCAGCCTTCGATATCTGTGCTTTCATGATTTATTTAGGTAAAAGTGTATTTTCGGACTTCTCAACATTCAGTTCTATACATAACTGTTCTCCTCTCTCTAGAAGCAAGCAGCAACATTGAATGCTTTATCAGGGCAATTGCTGAAGGTTTCTCTCTGGATCTGGATGAATCATAAATTTGGGCAACTCTGTAAATTCTTGGAAAAGCCTATGTGGTATCTGAGGTAATCTTTTCTACCTGATTCCATGCCACTGGTCTCCATTCCTGGGAAGAGATTCAGCACCAGCAGCACATACCACTGTGAGGGCAAGTACAAAATACCTGCTTTTAGTAGATGATATAGTTCTTCTGTAAAACTTCATTTCCAAAAAAAGGACTATCATCCTGTTAAATCTGTGGACTAGAGATCCTTGTTACATGCCCAGGATTACCTATTTTAAGTATAACTTTGTTGGATGCCTAGTGACATGCTTTGGCTGTGTCTCCACCCAAACCTCATCTTGAATTATAGCTCCTATAATTCCCATACGTTGTGAGAGGGACCTGGTGGGAGATAATTGAATCATGGGGGCAGTTTCCCCAATATTGTTCTCCTGGCAGTGAATAAGTCTCAATAGTTCTGATGGTTTTATACAGGGAAACCTGTTTCACTTGCTTCTCTCATTCTCTCATATCTGCTGCCAAGTAAGATGTGCCTTTTGCCTTCTGACATGATTGAGAGGCCTCCCCAGCAATGTGGAATGTGAGTCCATTAAACATCTTTTTCTTTATGCATTACCCTGTCTTGGGTATCTCTTTACTAGCAGTGTAAAAATGGACTAATACACTAAATTGGTACAGGTAGAGTCAAGTGCTCCTGTAAAGATACCCAAAAATGTGGAAGCAACTTTGGAACTGGGTAACAGGCAGAGGTTGGAACAGTTTGGAGGGCTTGGAAGAAGACAGGAAAATGTGGGAAAGTTTGGAACTTCCTAGAGACTAGTTGAATGGCCTTGAGCAAAATGCTGATGATGATATGAACAATGAAATCCAGACTGAGGTGGTCTCGGACAGAGATGAGGAACTTGTTGAGAACTGGAGTAAAGGTGACTCTTGTTATGTTTTAGCAAAGAGACTGGTGAGTTTTGGGCCCTGTCCTAGAGATTTGTGAAACTTTGAACTTGAGGGAGATGATTTAGGGTATCTTGTGGAAGAAATTTTTAAGCACCAAGCATTCAAAATGTGACTTGGGTGCTGTTAAAAGCATTTAGTTAAAAAAAAAAGACAAGAGAACATAAAAGTTCAAAAAATTTGCAGCCTGACAATGTGATAGAAAAGAAAAACCCATTTTCTGAGGAGAAATTCAAACCAGCTGCAAAAATTTATATAAGTAGAGTAGCCAAATGTTAATCACCAAGACAATGGGGAAAATGTCTCCAGAACATGTCAGAGGTCTTCATGGCAGCCCCTCCCATCACAGGCCAGAAGGCCTAGGAGGACAAAATGGTTTAGTGGGCCAGGCCCAGAGCCCTCCTGCTTTGTGCATCCTAAGGACTTGGTGCCTTGTGTCCCAGCCACTATGGCTGTGGCTAAAAGGGGCCAAGGTACAACTTGGGTTGTGGCTTCAGAGGGTGCAAGCTCCAAGCCTTGGCAGCTTCCACATGGTGTTGAGCCTGCAGCTGCACAGAAGTCAAGAATTGAGGTTTAGGAACCTCCATCTAGATTTCAGATGATGTATGGAAACGCCTAGATGTCCAGGGAGAAGTTTGCTGCAGGGGCGGGGCCCTCATGGAGAAACTCTGCTAGGGCAGTGTGGAAGGGAAATGTAGGGTCAGAGCCCATACACAGAATCCCTACTGGGGCACCACCTAGTGGAGCTGTGAGAAGAGGGCTATCGTCCTCCAGACCCCAGAATGGTAGATCCACCAACAGCTTGCACCATGCACCTGGAAAAGCCGCAGACACTCAATGCCAGCATGAGAACGTAGCCAGGAGGGAGGCTGTACCCTGCAAAGCCACAGGGGTGGAGCTGCCCGAGACCATAGGAACCCACCTCTTGCATCAGCATGACCTGGATGTAAGACATGGAGTCAAAGAAGACTATTTTGGAGCTTTAAGATTTGACCCACTGGATTTTGGACTTGCATGGGGCTTGTAGCCCCTATTTTGGGGCCAGTTTCTCCCATTTGGACCAGCTGTATTTACCCAATGCCTGTACCCCCACTGTGTCTAGGAAGTAACTAACTTGCTTTTGATTTCACAGGCTCTTAGGCAGAAGGGACTTGCCTTGTCTCAGATGAGACTTTAGACTGTGTGTTTTTTGCTTTTGTTTTTGTTTTTGTTTTTTGTTTTTTTTGAGACTGAGTTTCACTCTTGTTGCCCAGGCTGGAGTGCAATGGCATGATCTCGGCTCACCACAACCTCTGCCTCCTGGGTTCAAACGAGTCTTCTACCTCAGCCTCCTGAGTAGCTGGGATTACAGGCATGTGCCACCGTGCCTGGCTAATTTTGTATTTTTAGTAGAGATGGGGTTTTTCCATGTTGGTCACGCTGGTCTCAAACTCCCAACCTCAAGTGATCTGCCTGCCTTCACCTCCCAAGGTGCTGGGATTACAGGCATGAGCCACCACACCCAGCCTGGACTGTGGTCTTTTGAGTTAATGCTGAAATAAGTTAAGACTTTAAGGGACTGTTGGGAAGGCATGTGGGGTTTTGAAATGTGAGGACATAAGATTTGGGAGGGGCCAGAGTTGGAATGATATGATTTGGCTGTTTCCCCACCCAAATCTCATATTGAACTGTAGTTCACATGATTCTCATGTGTTGTGAGAGGGACCTGGGGGTAGTTAATTGAATCATGGCGGCAGTTTCCCCAATACTTTTCTGTTAGTGAATAAGTCCTCCTGAGAGATCTGATGGTTTTATAAGGGGAAACCCTTTTCACTGGGTTCCCTCATTCTCTCTTGTCTGCTGCCATGTAAGATGTGCCTTTTGTCTTCTGCCATGTTTGTGAGGCCTCCCCAGCCATGTGGAACTGTGAGTCCATTAAACCTCTTTTTCTTTATACATCACCCAGTCTCAGGTATGTCTTTATCAGGAGCCTGAAAATGGACCAATACCCCCATTCATCTTCATCCCCTTCTTCAGAGGCTGCATTGGGGATTGAGGTTTGAGACATGGAAATATTACCGGTTTCATGTCCATGTGAATCAAAGACATTGAATGAATATACCTCAAGCACCAGCCAACTTGCAGAAGGAGATCCTTCACCTCTGCTTGTTAAAAGTAACTCATGATTCTGTAATTTGTATTTGTAGCATCAACTGACTTTCCACCATCACAATATCCATTCTGTGTAAGCATATGAGCATCTGCCCAAGCAGACAAGTAAGTGCCAAACTACGCAAATGCTGTCCAAGCACTGTGTGAGCATAAACTTTTCTGAAAGCATTCTGCTCATGAACAGAGCCAGCCAGTGACTTTTCTGATCACTTAATGCACTTATCCAGCCTCTCCACAGGCAGCCCATGGGGTCTCCCGGGAGTGTTGGCATTGGGGCGGCCTTGGTGCTGTCCCAAGCCCCATTCCCTAGCTTGTGCAGTGCCATGAGGTTGGACTCCTGGGTGCGTCCTGGGCTCTGGCCCACCCGCGATGCCATCTGCCTGTGTGGCCAGACCCAGCTCCACCCTGCGGGGCTCCGCAGCTCGGGGTCACCCAGGGGTGTGGTCCCAGCTTTGCCCTCAATGCCCATGCTGTCCGCCCCGGCCCTGGCTTGGCTGACAGTGGCCAGTCCAGGTGGGGCTTGGGCTAGGGGCACGGCCCTCCCACCTTTCCGGAATCCAAGTCCTCGCCGCCACTGCCAGGTCCTGCCAATACCCCTGGTGGCCCTGGCAACACCCCAGTTGCAGCATCGCCATCGCAGGGCAGACCCCGGCCAACCTCAAAGCGACTGTGCAGTGGGGCCAATGAGGACTAGGGCTGTGCAGCACAGCCAGGGTGGGGGTGGCGGGCCACCAGGAGCTGCTTGGAACCAAGGATCCTGGGGCCATCCCACCCCGCACAGCTCTGGGTGAGCTTGGGGAGGGAGACACACTCTCATCCTACCTCGCCCCACCCGACAGCGCTCCGAGTCCTGAGTCCCCTCACCCCCATTCTACAGACACAAAGCTGAGGCCAAAGACAGGACGCTCACTTCCTGAGTATTTGCTGCCTGCTGCGTGGACACCACCAACCTATTGTTTACAGCAGTCAGAGACCCGCCCCCCAGACCCCCAGGACCCCCAGGACCCCACTCCCTGGCAAGGAGGGTGTCCTCAGCAATGGTGACCCACACCAAAGCGCTCCCCATCCAGGGTCACTGCCCCAGCCGGTGTGAGGCCTGTAGGGCACTGGGGATGCGCGACTGACTCCCCTAAACCTGCTTTTCCCACGTCAGGGAGGGCTGCACACCCAACTCAGCTCTGTGAGGACGGACTGATGTTGGCATGCAGGCTGTGGCCGTGAAGGGAGGGTTTGTGGAGGGGCGATTTGTGAGCCTGGAGGAAGTATGGGCCGTGTGTGTGTGTGTGTAACTGTGTGTGTGACTCTGTGAGTGTATGACTGTGTGTGACTGTGTGTGTGACTGTGTGTGTGTGGGTGACTGTGTGTGAGATTGTGTGTGACTGTGTGTGACGATGTATGTGTGTGATCCTGTGTGTGACTGTGTGTATGTATGAACTGTGTGTATGTGTGACTGTGTTTTTTTGACTCTGCGTCAGTGACTGTGTATGACTGTGTGTGACTGTGTGACTGTGTGTGGGTATGAGTGTGTGTGTGAGTTCATGTGTGAGTGAGTGACTGCATGAGTGCGTGTGTGTGACTCTGTGGGTGGTGTGGGAGACTGTGTGGCTATGTGTGTGACAGCATATGTGTCTCTGTGTGTGTGTCTGTGAGACTGAGAGACTGTGTGTGAGACTGTGTGTATGTGACTTTGTGTGTGTGTGTGAGTGTGAGTGTGCATGTGTGTAAGAATCCTTCCATGGGAAGGCATCAGAGGTGTCTTAGAGTGGCAGTGGACAGCAGCATCCATGCAGAAGGGGCAGCTTGTGGACAGAGTCACAGGCTGGTTAACTGGTGACAAATTCCTGAAGGTCCCTGACAAATTCAAGAAGAGCCTGTTCCCAGATCAGTGGGGTCTGGGTTTTGTGTTCACCTTTTCCCACTGCTCCAATGAGGCAGGACAGTGGGGCCAGATTGCATTCAACCATGGTCAAGGGCTCCCCTACAAGGTGGGGAGGACTAACTCCCTTCCCAGCCCAGGGACACAGAAGGTTAGAGCAGCCTGTCCAGTGGGAATTTGAGCTCAGACAAGGGAAGCCACTGTCTCAGAGTCACAGAGCAGGTCAGTGGCAGGCCCAGGTCCTGGATCCTCAAGCTCTTTGTCTCTGAAGAAATATTCCACCCCAGAGCATGAGAGTTATCTGAGCACTGACTCCCTGGCAGATGAGGTCATTTTGCCTGTTCTCTCTTTTCACCTTCATTGTGTGTGTGGTTTGTGTAAATATCCCCATCATATGGTGGAAAACTTAGGCTCAGAGAGGGGCAAAGGCCTGTGCAAGGCTACAGAGCTCAGAAGTGGCTAAGCAGAAACAAGGACCAGACAGAATTTCCCTTGACTTTGCTGTGGTCCATCTGGAGGTGGGGCAATTTACTGGGGGACAAGAGGCCATCAGCAGCCCTCTTGGTGGCCATGTGGGCTCAGGGGAGATGTGCATGTAGATGCTGGAGGCCATGATGTTTTCACCCTCGCTCATTTCTAAAGGGGCAAGAATCTTTGCATGGCACAGACCCCTCATTTGCCAAAATGACCCTCCCCTCCCTGCCTCTGGCCCCAGAGGTGAGTCACAGGTGGGTGAGGGTGGGGTCAGGCAAGGGCAAGGTGATGTTGCTAGCACACCCTTCAGGCCCTGCTTCAACCCACGACCCTTGGTCTAGACAGGACACTGGGTTTTTCAGGCAAAACCCAGATACATTGTATCAAAATTTGGATTTCAAATAATATTTTCAGGTGATTCACATGCACACTGATAATTTTAACTGGCAGTAATTCTATAAATGAAAGGGAAAAGAATATATAGATATATTGATTGTCAAAAATGTACAGTAAAGACTATGTTTCAATGCATATACATCTTATCTTACAAAAATAACTAAAAACAACAATAAAGAGGGGATAGGGAATGAGTTGAAGTAGAAATTAAACAGAAATAGGGCATAATTAGTAGATGTTGAGGCTGAGCATCATCTTATACTGAAGGGGTGGCCTGCCCCTCCACACCTGTGGGTGTTTCTGGTCAGGTGGGATGAGAGACTGAGAAAAGAAAGAGACACAGAGACAAAGTATAGAGAAAGAAAAGTGGGCTCAGGGGACTGGCACTCAGCATACGGAGGACCAAGGCCAGCACAAGTCTCTGAGTTCCCTCAGTATTTATTGATCATTATCTCTACCATCTTGGAGGGGGATGTGGCAGGACAATAGGGTAATAGTTGGGAGAGGGTCAGCAGGAAAACATGTGAACAAATGTCTCTGTATCATAAACAAGGTTAAGAAAAAGGTGCTGTGCTTTGATGTGCACATACGTAAACATCTCTGTGCATTAAAGAGCAGTATTGCCACCAGCATGTCTCACCTCCAGCCCTAAGGCGGTTTTCTCCTATCTCAGTATATGGAATATACAATTGGGTTTTACACTGAAACATTCCATTGCCCAGGGACAAGCAGGAGATAGATGCCTTCTTCTTATCTCAACTGCAAAGAGGCCTTCCTCTTTTACTAATCCTCCTCAGCACAGACCCTTTATGGGTGTTGGGCTGGTGGATGGTCAGGTCTTTCCCTTCCCATGAGGCCATATCTCAGGCTATCACATGGGGAGAAACCTTGGACGATACCTAGCTTTCCTAGGCAGAGGTCCCTGCAGCCTTCCACAGTGTTTTGTGTCCCTGGGTACTTGAGATTAGGGAGTGGTGATGACTTTAAACAAGCATGCTGCCTTCAAGCATTTGTTTAACAAAGCACATCCTGCGTAGCCCTCAATCCATTAAACCTTGAGTTGACACAGCACATGTTTCTGCAAGCACAGGGTTGGGGGTAGGGTTACAGATTAACAGCATCTCAAGGCAGAAGAATTTTTCTTAGTACAGAACAAAATGGAGTCTCTTATGTCTACTTCTTTCTACATAGACACAGTAACAGTCTGATCTCTCTTTTTTTCCCCCATATTATACTATTTTGGTTATTGTGTATAAGTTAAAATATTCTCTAATAAAACACTTGTATAAAAAGAAAAACTATAGCATTAGCTCTTAAGATCATGATTAGGTTTGGGGAGGAGGAAAAAAGGAAGTGGTTTGTGGGCAAAAACAGGGGTAGTTCTATTCTATAGTTATGCAATGTATTAGTTTTGTTACAACTTATTGAGCATTACATTAATATTTTATTGTGCATATATTTCTGTATGCGTGTTATACATCAATAAAATTTTAAATATTATTTAATCCTAACTTAATATTTCAGAATAATAGCAATGCTTGGTATTGTTTTGTTTGAAAGTGGGGCATTTACACTCAGGCATCATGAGATGGATACTAATATTCCAAGGTATTTACTCATGTCCTGACCCTTGGGCGTCCCCCTCAGTCTTTCATTTTTTATTTCAATTGAGTAAGTAACATGGTTTTAGTTTTGGGGAATGTAAATTTCTTACAGCAAAGTCCTTCCTCCACAACAATATTCACATAGCACAGTGGGCTGCACACAGTGTGCACTCAGTATGTGTGGAACTGGTTTGAATCAGGAACAAAACAAGTAGCAGAGGTCAGTTTTGCAAAGGATAGAATATGGGTAATACGAGTAAGACTGAAAGGCCACAACTCAACAGCAAACACGTTTTACATTAATTTGAGAAATATTTTCAACTGGTTCTCTGAAAGATGTTGGTTTACAGCAGACATTTTGGAGTATGGTTGCATATTGTAATCACCGGGAGAGCTTTAAATCACACTGCTGCCTGGGTCTCACTCTAGAGATTCTGGCTTAATTATTCCCTTGCAACTTGGGTTTGGGAACATTAAACAACACCACCCACATGCACAGCAGTTTATTCTAATGTGCACCCAAGGGTGAGAAGCATTGATTCAGGGTCAGGAATGCATTGGTTGTGTGTGATTTCTATGTGTGCTCTAGGCATTTGCCATATAGCTGCTCCTAGATGGGGGTCTTAGAAAACATCTTGGCCCTTCAAAACATACTCTGCTGGTTGGCTAAATTGCAACAGGGAAAAATATCAGCAGCTCTATCTCTATGTCACTTGCCTTCAGAGCAAAAGTTTTTTCAGGCACAGTAAGTTGATTTAGTCTGTATTAAAAATCACAGGCTGGGCGCGGTGGCTCACGCCTGTAATCCCAGCACTTTGGGAGGCCGAGGCGGGTGGATCACGAGGTCAGGCAGTCGAGACCATCCTGGCTAACACGGTGAAACCCCGTCTCTACTAAAAATACAAAAAAAAAATTAGCCGGGTGTGGTAGCGGGTGCCTATAGTCCCAGCTACTAGGGAGGCTGAGGCAGGAGAATGGCCTGAACCCAGGAGGCGGAGCTTGCAGTGAGCCAAGACAGCGCCACTGCAGTCCAGCCTTGGCGAAAGAGCGAGACTCCGTCTCAAAAAAAAAATAATAATAAAATAAAATAAATCACAAGTATCCTACCAATACAGAATAATGACACAAAGGGTTTGCAGATATGTGGAGTGCATTATAGGTGTTTTCATATTTATCCTATGATAAGAAATTAAAATGTAATGTTGGGCATTAATTTCCTACACTCAATGCTTAGCCATTTCCTCAAATCATTTCCAGTTTTTCCAAGAGACTTCAGAAGCATTCCCTGGAGTGAATTATTTCCAATGGTGAAGAGTACTGGATGGATGGAATGAGATTCTCAAAAAAAAATCTTGCTTCTATTTCAGAAATGTAACTCTTTAGCCCCTTGAAGGACCAGGAAACCTGGCTGAGTAGTGTGGTCTATGGAGGTGCATGGGCTTCAGAGACAACGTTGATCCTGAGTCCAAGCCAGCTGCTTAGTAGATGTGGGAGAGTTTTATACTTACCTGCAAGAAAAGACAAAACAAAATTGATTGCAAAAACAGAAATTAAAAAAATTTTTCTTATTGTATTCATATTCTTGGAAATGGCTTTTATAGTGGTTCCCATCAACAGACAGATTCTGTTTCCCAAACCTTGAATCTTCCTTATTTGCACAGGCCGAAGCTGTGCATATGACAGTGTGCCAGTTTGGGGCCCAGGCTCAAAAGGTCTTAAATGCTTCTGTTATCTTTTTCAGAATTTTTCCATGTCCATGAAAACAAGCCCATTTTAGCTTTCTGTAGGATAAAATAGCATGCTGAGAAAAGCCAAAGTGCGCCAGTTTACAGACAGCTCACTCCCAGAAGCAGAGCCACCTAATTCACCAGCAGCTGACCACTCACACCTGAAGGAGCCAAACTGAGCCCAGAAGAATGGCCCAGCTAAGCCCAGCCTAAATTTCTAACCAGCTCAACCCCCGAGAGAGAAGGCAGTCGAGGCTGGTTAGGAAAATAGGGACGGAGGGTCTCGGGAGAGGAAAAGCACCTGTGGGACTGCACCTGCCCCGCCCCTGTAGCTAGTGGGAAGAAATGTGGTTAAGAACTTCCTCTTATGCCAGGATGTTGCTCAGATGGGACTATCCCAGCTTAGACATAGGCAAAATAAATCAACCTAAATTTCCTTGTCTTCACCCAGCTCATTGTAAAGTCATTAACATGGTATTAGCATTGTGGTTTTAGCTTCTCCCCTGTAAGTTTCCCTTAGGCACTCATGGGTAATAACCAAAATGGAGTCACTGTGGTCAACCCCAGGCATGCGCAGATGCAACACCCTTGGTGGGGAACTTGACCCGTCCCATTTGGGTAGAACCCACAGAAGACTTCCTCGTTCTTGCCACATAAAAGACCCAGAACTCAGCCCCATTTCTGGCAACCTGCTTTCAGGTCCCCTCTTGCTGCTGAGAGCTTTCCTTTTGCTTAATAAATCCTACTCTGCTTTCTCACTCTCTGGTGTCCATGTGCCTCATTTTTCCAGGTCATGGGACGAGAGCCTGAACCTGGCTGAACTGAGGAGACCACCACACCAGCACCAAAGAGCAACTAGGAGACCGTGATATTCACGTGGACACTCTCAGCTTGCAGCCTCTGCTCTCTCTAGGGGCACTGTCCCACCCACCCTTGAGCCTGAGAAGAAAAGTTGGTAGAGAGGTTGTTCCCTCACTTCCAACAGAAAAGAGGTGTCCAGGCCCTCAATTCCCTGAGGTTAGAGCCCTCATGGCTGCACTCAATGTGGTGGCCACCTGCCATATGTAGCTACTGAGTACCTGGAATGTGGCTGGTTTGAAGTAATATGTGCTGCAAACAAAAAATGCACAGTGAGTTTAGAAGAATTAGACCAGAAATATACTTTATTTCTAATTATATATTGATCATGTATTAAAACAATAATATTTTGGATACAATAGGTTACAATTATCATAAACAATTTCACTTGTTTATTTTTATTAGTTTGGATGTGGCCAATGAAAAATTGTAAATTCACAAATAGCCAACATTTTATTTTTTAGAGACTTGCTTCTCTCTTCAAATCTCAGGTGTCCTACTCAAAAGACCAGAGGCCAGAAAGGTTATGAGATCTAAAATTTTAAAATAATTGTGATTATATTGTTTCCGTTTGTGAACAAGTGTGTCTGTGTGTGCGTGCGCGTGCGTGCACAATTTATAAACGGACGTAACCTCACACAACAGAAGTTTAAAAATGAACCCCCAACAGAGCCAGGCCTAGCACAGAAAGCCCTGCCTGAAAGTACCTGGAGACACGAGTCTGTCAGTCTTGCCTCATTAAGTGTATGGTCGAATTTCTGTCACTCGAATTCTGTCACTCAAAGCTTGAGGGCGTAGAGCTAGTAGTTGTATCCAATGAGGGCGCTGGACTGAGAACTGCCCAATCAGGCAAAGGAGGGGGCGGCATCCGGGATCTGGCGCCGCTTTTGCGTCAGGCTTCTGCCTGAGCTCGGTTAGGGCCTCACCGACCTGCTTCCACCCCTCAGGGAGGCCTCAGTGATTCGGCCACAGCCTCAGCCTCCGTCGCTCTGTGACCTGCGGGTATTGGATGATTCGTAGCTAAGACTCTACGACATCCCTGAAGCCGGGAAATGGTGAGTGTGCCGGGCAGGGCGTCCGGAGGCGACGTGGCGGGGAGGCCTTATCGGAACCAGCGGGAAATGGCGGCAGCGGTACCCAGTCTGCGAACGGAGTCCCCGCTGCCGCCGCTCAGCCCTCGGTCCTCAGTCCCCTCCGGTGAGGGACCCGCGCTCCTGTCGGGGGACCCGCGCTCCTGTCGGGGTCCCCGCAAGGCTGCTCTGGCCCAGCCTGCAGCCCTCCTTGTGCAGTTTTGCGCCCGCAGCCCCGCACCTTCCCCGGGCTGTGGGGTGAGGAGTAGCTCATCTGGAAGACGCCTGCGTCGCGTGCGCGATGCCGGAGTGGGAGCAGCTGTGGTCCGGGGGGGTCCTATCCCTACTTGACCCTGTTCGGAATGAGATCGAGGCCCCATCAAAACATAAGAGTTCATGTGAGCAAATGGGGACTCATTAACGGGACAGCGCAGGCCTTGGCTCATGGTTTGAGGACTGCCAGCGGGTCTTGAAGGAAAGGCTTTTGTGAGGTGTGTGAGGAAGCAAAGCAAATCACCCGCCCTCTCTAACTTGCCCACCAGTCCCCTTGCCCTGTGCGCCTCCTCCTCGTGGCTGTTCCTGAGTAGCATCTTTTAGAATACGCTAGTGTGTGCGCGCACAGCGCTTCGCTGAGTTCTGTGAGTAGTTCTGCCACATTATTGAACTTGAGGAGGGTGTGGGCGCCCCTGGTTTGTAGACAGGTGTTCAGAAATGAAGACGGGTGTCCAGAGGCAGGGACTGGCGTCTGCAGGAGGGCAGCTGTAGGAAGAGCGCTGAGCTTGTGGGGTCAGCACTGACTCTGGGTAGTGTCATTAGTGAGTTGCTGGACACCCCGTTGGGGTTGGAGCATTGACTGGTGTTGAGGAAACTCCGCAAGTTTTTTTGTCAGAAGAAAGACATGGCTGAGCCTGGGCTGGGGGGAGTCGCAGGTGTCCGCGGGAGACCTGACCGGGTTCTGCACATGCACTGTCCTGCTGCGCACTGTCCTGTTCCTCCAGGTCTCCTCCCGGGTAGAGAGGGCACTGAGAACTTGGAGGAAAGGAGTTCTGAGAAACATCCCTTCCCCGCACCCTGCTGCCGGCTGCCACCCAATGCTAACCCGCTCCTGAGCACGCCCACTGGGCATTCGCATGGCCACACGCGTCCTAGGACAGGGTTCTACCCTCAGGAATTGTGGCCATGGCAGCTTTGCTCCTACAGTTTTCTCCTAAGAATACACACAGTGCCCAGAAGACTCCACGCTCATCTCAACCCCAGATCTGCAGCAGGAATCTGTTTTCTTCACCTACCCAGGCTTCTGGACCACCTGATCCTAATCTCCTCTGCCTTTATGGACTCAGGAATCAGTCAGAGCGTAGTCTTGCCTGGGCCTGTACCTGTAGCACAAACCAGTCCTTTCATCAATCCTGCCCTGCCCCCACCCAAGGCTCTTGATAGCTCCTTTCTCTCTTATGCTCTTTTCTTACCCACAAATCCTCTTTCCTGTGCACACAGTTTGCTCAAGTGCATCCCTCATGTGCTACAAGAATTCAGATGTTAGTGAGTTCAAGACCATGCCTTTAGACTTGCCTGTTGTAGGACCAAATACAAATTAGAAGAGGCTTAATGCTTTCTCTTTAGAATGAGGGAAGAATTTTTGCTCTTCTCCCTTTTCTTAAAGCATTTAGTTTGAAAACTTTTATATTTAAACATTTTCTCTGCTTCTTTGAAAAATATGTAAATCATTTTTGTCAGTTAACTAGGTCATTTGTCTTTTTTGACTCAAAACTGTCTTTAGGACCTGGGAACTATTGCTAGGAAATGCGAATAGCAAGAATATACACCCTATGCCACAGTTTCTGTAGGCGAGTAGGAGGCTGCCTTCAGCAGGTACCTGGCTCCACATTTCAAAACTATGTCCTATCATGAAGATATGGGAAGTGTTTGTTTTTTTGTTGTTGTTTGTTTTTAATATTACCAATTAGAAAACCCAGATGACCTCCCAAATTAGTTGACGTTATTATAAACTGTGTATGACAAATGGTGCTGTCATGTCTTGTACTTGAGTACTAACGGTGACGTTCTTTCTGTATTTGCAATCTATTAGTAGATTGCCTGTGATGTACATCATATTTTGGTTTAATTAAATAACAAATCATTATCTTGCTCTAATATTATTTTGGAGAGTATTTTAGGATTGGAGATGATTTTGCTTTTAGTTATATTTTCCAAACACTGTCCAGAATTACCAGATGGTATACACAAAGTGCCCACCAGGCTTCCCTTTAGAGAAAACCTTCCTTCTAAGGATTCCAGCCACAATCCACAATTTTGTGGCAAAGTGCAGCAAAGTGCTCCACAAATCTGCAAACAAAAAGGTTTCTCTATTTGGGATCTACAGTCATTTCTAGAGCAGTTAGACTATATTTCTACAAAAATAACTTTTCAGGACAGCCATCAGTTATTCCACTTCCGTGTGTGCTCCTGGCATCTTCAGATCTGACACTGGTTCAGACATCATGGGGCCCATACACCCAACCAGGATCACACATGTGCATTGATTAAACCTGATAACTTCAATTCTGTCCCTTCTCCCCTTGCCCAAATGCCCACAAATGTCCATAGCTCACCAGCCCTCCAGGACCTAAATGTGCAGTTCCAAATTCTGAATTTATGTCCTGGGATTTGAGAGAAAAACAGCACTTTTATCTGAGAAATACAAGTTCTTTTAATTATCAGACCCAGAGACTTGTTAAAATGAGACCACAGTCCTACTGTTCCCCTCTTTGAACTATTTGTTTTTTGAAATTCCTTGCTATTGCCATCAGTGGCTATAAAGTAACCTAATAATACCACAATGGACACTATAACCCACACTCTGTGGCTTAACATATATAGCCAGCCACTAACCAATTTTAATTCTATAAATCAATAGGAATGTCTAACAACTTTGTATCAGTCTCCTCTCTGCCTTCTTTTTTGCCTTTAAAAATACACTTGTAACTGCTTCTAATTGGAGTGTATATTCAGGGCAGCTATATACCCCAAGGTTGCAATCTTCAAGCTTTGGCCCAAATAAACTCTCTACTTATTTACCCCAGCTTTTTCCTTTTAGGTCGAAATATTCTTCAGAATGTGTTGAAGGAGCCTCCATGAGAGGCTCTCTCTGGTTTTACTCTGTTTGCTGTAATCCCCAAGAATGCAGAGGCGCATTGATCCCACCTAGCATCTGCACATAAAAGCTGGCTTCTGCCTAGGAGTCACAAGACAGGGCCAGATTTTGGGTTGAAGACATACAGAAAACTCACAGAAGGCATTTTCTGCATCATGAAAAGTCAACATAGTCTTCTTAAACCCCACTTTCAGAGTGGAGTCTTTGAGTTTTCCAGGTCTTGTCACCTGTGTGAGAGGCTTCTGGTGTGAACAGAATCCTGTGGCAGAATCTGTAGGTGTTAACACGCACCTTAGCAGTGAGAGGTCAGGGCCACAAAATATACAGAGCCATAATCACAACCATAATCACAAGTATGCCATCCTGTATACTGGGGTACTGGAGTACTTTCATCTTTCCTCTTGTCTCAGAGTTAGCTGATCAGGGACAGTGCACATCACATCTGGATCCAGGATCTGCAGCTCTACCAGGGCAGTTCTGTTTTCTGTTTGCACTCCACAAAGTCAGCCTCAGTCTCTCCTGCCTGGATCACTATGGGGGGCTTCAGCCCAGGGTCACTGAGGACACTCTCACCAGCATCAGTGAGTTATTTGAGACATTTGAGGATGTCCAAAGCAGACTGGGGTCAGTCTGACAAGAAAGTCTAATTCTGGTTCCATTTCAGAGAAAGAGAAATGACTTATCAAGGGTTTGTTCCTCCCCTCACAGAAAGAATCTCATTGGTTCATAACCAGATAAGAGTTGTTCCAGTTTTCTGGTTCTGGAGACTCAAACTGATTAATAAGCTAATTGCTTCTATTTTATATGGTCATTAGAAAAAGAGACGAAGCAGTTGTGGTCCCTCCCATCAAGGAACTTGCAGTCCAGAGCACATGAATAAATGGTTGAATTCAGCATCATGTGTTCAGTACAGAGACAGAAACTGCATAGGAAGCTTAAGCTTCATTTGCATTACTTCCCTTTTGTTATTTTGTAAGTTTTGATCCCTCCACCTGAAGGGCTATTCTGGACAGAAGAGAAGTTGTTATTATTTGTATTGTTTTTAGCTTGCTAAGAATAAGTATTTAGCTTCTAATATAATTGGTCTAGAAAAACATAAGGGTTTTGGTTAAATTCCTTCTTATTGTATGTTGTAATATAGACAGGGAAGTGTCTAAAATAGATTAAAATTACACAAACTCTGGGAATAAAATCTCTCTTGGGCAGGCTTAGGAAAAACAAAACTGAAAATATTTAGTGGCCTAGAGAGCAGAAGCCTAGGACCCACCTTCTATCCCAACCCTGCCCAGATCCACCCTCTGCTGAATCTTGTCCAGGTCTAATCCACACTGAAATCTCTCACAGAACTGCTTAGAGGAGATAAGAGTTTGGGGTGGCTACTCCTACTGCCTCTCCAGAGCTGGTGCTCCCAATTTCCTGAAACACAAAAGCAGATAAATGGGGAAAATCCTAGGAATTACGGGACACTTAGTACCCATCTCCCAGGATGTTATGAGAATTAACACACATACTGTGAGCCTCCCAGCAGAGTGCTCTGTGACATACTTCTGCACACATAGTACATGCTCCATAAAGATCACATTAATGCATGTGCACATGTTTTTCAAATGCAGACTTACTCAGACGTTTCCACCATCTCCAGCCTCTGTAACCTTTGAAGGGCCTGCAGAGAATGCCATGTTTCAGGATGACGATTGGTGGTCTTCAGATGAAAAGTATTTGTGTTGGGGTAAGGGACCCTGTGTGCTGTGCCTGCTTACTCTAGCTGAGTGGTACTATAATGGATCTAGGGGGAGGAATATCAGCATTAATAGGAGACTTGCTATAAGAAGCTATATAATTCATGGACCCTTTTCAAACCTGCAGAATTTTGTCACAGTGAGGCCTAGAATAGCAAATAATTTATACGCACATTGAAGCTTGAAAGCCAGTGCTTAGCTAAGTGACTCTCAGCTGAGTCTTCTAATAGTATCACATGGACTGTTTGAAGAGAAACAGTCACTTGTTCCCTCCCCACAGATCCTGTCTATTGTTCTGGGTGGAAACATCCCTGTTTTTTAAACTAAAACATGATTCTACAGTGAGGGCAGGGTCAAGCATGAGGGCTTCCAGATACTTTAATGAGTGGTGAGTTTACCCTTTGTTCCAGGAAGTCACAGGGTCTACTCTGCTTGGTTTTGGTAGCAGCAGGTCAGTGTAGCCCATATTTCCATTGCAGCAACAGTAATTGCTCGCGTGCCATCATTTTTCCTAAGAGTTATAGAATACTTTAGAGAACATGACTGTGTTGAAAGTTATTTTATCAGATAATTACAGTCAGAACTAGCTCCCTTAACTCATTTCTCCTGTAGTCAATTTAAGAACTCTGTCACTGGCCGGGTGTGGTGGCTCATGCCTGTAATCCCAGCACTTTGGGAGGCTGAGGAGGATGGATCACGAGGTCAGGAGATCGAGACCATTCTGGCTAACACAGTGAAACCCCATCTCTACTAAAAATACAAAAAAAAAAAAAAATTAGCCAGGCATGGTGGCAGGCAACTGTAGTCCCAGCTACTTGGGAGGCAGAGGCAGGAGAATGGCATGAACCTGAGAGGCAGAGCTTGCAGTGAGCTGAGATGGCACCACTGCACTCCAGCCTGGGTGACAGAGCAAGACTCTGTCTCAAAAAAAAGAACTCTGTCACTTGATAAATATGTGTTTTCAGGAACTCTTAACATTCAGGGATGTGGCCATAGAATTCTCCCCAGAAGAGTGGAAATGTCTGGATCCTGCCCAGCAGAATGTATATAGAGATGTGATGTTGGAGAACTATAGAAACCTGGTCTCCCTGGGTGAGGATAACTTTCATGTGTAATTCCTAATATTCCCTCAGAGTTTTATTTTTTTTCCTTTGTAGAATGTTTCTTGGGAGCTTCTGCTTTGCGTGAATTAATTTCACCTTGTTTCTTCATGAAAAAATTGGGAGTCTGCTGGTGTAAAAAAAATCTTTAAGATGTTTCATCTTTACCTAAACCTTCTCTTTTATTGAGGGAATTTTTGTCCTTCACTCTAGATTAGTGGTAATTTTATAAATTCAGTGTTGTAAAATATCGTTTTCCACATCTTAAAATCCAATTTGTACCAATTTACCAATTTTTTTTATTCAGTAGTACTGGGTAGTGGAACTTAGAACCCACAGATTTGAAACACTTAAATATTCTAAAGAGCCTATCAGGAAACAATTTTTGGATTAATTTTTTAGAATCTTCCATAATTTCTCTTTTCTTCTTAGCATAGTACTAGGTTGGTAATTGGAGAATCTTCAGCAGTAGTCACGTTATTTTATCTTATTTTTTAAATAAAACAGGTGTTGCTCTCTTTAACTCAGACCTGATCACCTGTTTGGAGCAAAGAAAAGAGCCCTTTAATGGGAAGACACATGAGACAGTAGCCAAAGCCCCAGGTAGGTGAGAGTGAATGAAGGAGAGGACACAGGCAAGGGGACCAAAGGTGATGAAGGAAGTCAGGCCTTAAAATGTACTTTGGAAAGCACTTCTTCAATGCAAATAATTTCTGAAAAGGCTGCATTTTTTCTCATGTTCACAAATAGGGGCATCTTCAGCCCCATGCTGTTAAATCTTCTAAAAATTCTCTTTTTTCTTTTTTTTGAGATGGAGTCTTGCTCTGTCACCCAGACTGGAGTACAGTGGTGTGATCTCAGCTCACTGCAGCCTGTGCCTCCCAGGTTCCAGCAATTCTCCTGCCTCAGCCTCCTGGGTGACTGGGATTACAGGCATCTGCCAATACACCTAGCTAATTTTTGTATTTTTAGTAGAGACAGGGTTTTGCCATGTTGGCCAGGCTGGTCTCAAACTCCTGACTTTAGGTGATCCACCTGCCTCGGCCTCCCAAAATGCAGGGATTACAGGCATGAGCCACTACACCCAGCCCTCTTTTTTCTTTAGAGATCTCCCTTCAAGTTTACAGGGATAGCCAATGTCTACTTTATCACTTATAAGGGGCTGCATGATCTCACTGCTGTTCCATTGCTTTTGGAAATATAGGAATAATTGTGTTATTGAGGAGCTCTATGTTAACGTATTTTTTTCAAATATTGATTTTGTATCATGCCTAAATATGTAAGGCAAGTAGTGGACATATTGGAATTTGGTTCAGAAATCCCAGGAACACTAGGGACAGATGTTGCACCTTTTCTGCTTAGTGATTTTTAATCCTGTTGCAAATGTAATTCTACAAAAATTCTTTCTTAGCAATTTTATAAGAATGATAAGCATTTTCCTAAATATGAAAAATGTATTGTTGATTGTACTTCAAAATGTTATTGATTTAGTATAAACTGAGATTTGTAATTTAAACTCTAGATGTGTAAATTTTCAAATTATAATATAGTTTAAAGCATGGTTTTCCAACCTTTTGGCTTCCCTGGGCCACATTGGAAGCAGAATTATCTTGGGCCACACATAAAATACACTAACACTAATGATAACTGATGAACTTTAAAAAAAATTTCATAAATAATTTTTATGATAGCTACTGCAACAGATAAGTGAAATGTTCTTACATTCATAGCATTGGGCACCACTTGATTAAAGTATCTACTCACCTTCAAGATTTCTTAAATGCACTGTCATTAACTAGCTTAGAACACTGCTAAGTGTATATTATTATTTCTTAATAACTATTATCTTATACTTTTAGTAAGAAGCCTACTGGGGGCCAGGCGCAGTCGCTCACGCCTGTAATCCCAGCACTTTGGGAGGCTGAAGTGGGTGGATCACCTGAGGTCAGGAGTTCAAGACCAGCCTGGCCAACATGGCAAAACCCCATCTCTACTAAAATTGCAAAAATTAGCTGGGCGTGGTGGCAGGCACCTGTAATCCCAGCTACTCGGGAGGCTGAGGTGGGAGAATCGCTGAACCCGGGAGGCCGAGGTTGCAGTGAGCCGAGATGGCGCCATTGCACTCCAGCCTGGGCAACAGAGTGAGACTCCGTCTCAAAAAAAAAAAAAAAAAAAAAAAAAGAAGCCTACTGGGGTTTCATCATTGAGATCTATTGATATCTATATAAAAATGTGGGTCTCACACATACACCCACCCATATAAGTTATATATGTGTATTGTAAATTCTCACTTAACATTGTTGATAGTTTCATGGAAACTGTAAGTGAAGCAATATATTGTTTAAGAAAACTAATTTTGGCTCAGCACGGTGGCTCACACCTGTAATCCCAGAACTTTGGGAGACCGAGGTGGGTGGATCATGAGGTTAGGAGTTTGAGACCAGCGTGGCCAACATGGTGAAACCCCATCTGTACTAAAGATACAAAAAATTAGCCGGGTGTGGTGGCATGCACCTGTAATCCCAGCTACTCAGGAGGCTGAGGCAGGAGAATCGCTTAAACCCAGAGGCAGAATTACTATAGTTGAATTGATAGAAACAAGGTTATGTTTGAATGTCATATACCGACATTGTTTTATTTAAAGACGCAGTTTTCAAGAACCTATTTTGAACATTGAGTACTTACTGTACATCTGTGTTTGTGTGACATGGATTTTTCTGATAAATAAAAATGGTATAACTATATATTTAATGTATACAATGTAATGATTTGATACGCATGTACACTGTGAAACAAAATACAGTCAAGTTGATGAGCACATCTAGTACCTCAATTTTTTTTGGAGTAAGAACACTTAAGATCTACTGTAGTAGCAAATTGTAAGCATACATTACAGTATTACTAACTATAAACACAATGCTATTTGGCTAATCTAATGCTAATTTACATTAGATTTCTCAGACTTACTCAACTTATAACTAAAAATTTGTACTCTTTGAACATCTCCTCATATTTCTACCCTCAGGCACTAGCAACCACCATTTTATACTCTGCTTCTATGAGTGTACTTTTTTAGATTTCTCATCTAACTTAAAACAAGGAGTTTCTTTGTCTTTCTGTGTTTGGCTTATTTCATTTAGCATAACGTCCTCCAGGTCTATCCATGTTGTAAATGGCTACATTTCCTTCTCTTCTGGCGGAATAGTATTCTACTGTCTGTATATAGACACACACATACTATATTTTGGCTATTGTAAACAATACTACAGTGAACATAGGGCTGAAGATCTTTCTTCAAGGTACAAATTTTATTTCCTTTGGTAGGATGCCCAGAAGTGGTATTGCTGGGTTGTATGATATTTCCATTTTTATTTTTTACTGTTTTTTATGACGACTTTATTTATTTACATCTCACCAACAGCATACCGATTTCCCTTATATGTATGGTTTGTCTATTTTTGAATGGGTTATTATTATTGTTTTGCTTTGAATTGCAGAAGTGTCTTATACATTTTGGATATGAACTTCTTATTAGATATATGGCTTGCAAATAATTTCCTATGTTGTAGGGTTTAAAAAATTTTTTTTCTTTGCTGTGTGTAAGCTGTTCAATTTGATGCAGTCCCATTTGTTTGTATTTTTTGTTGCTGTGCTTTTGATGTCATATCAAAAAAGCTATTGCCAAGACCAATATTAACAAGGTTTTTTTTTTTATATATGTTTTCTTGAGGAGTTTTAAGGTTTTATGTCTTACATTTAAGTGTTTCATTTTGAGTTAATTTCGGGGTATGGTATAAGAAAATATTCTACTTTTATTCTTTCACTTGTGGATACCCAGTTTTTCTGGTACCATGTATCAACAAGACTGTATTTTCTGCATTGTATATTCTTGGTGGCCTTTTCAAAGATTAGTTTACCTTGTATTCTGGTTTTGTTTCTGGGCTCCCTATTCTGTTCCATTGGCTTTTGTATCTGTTTTTATGCACATACAATACTCTTGATTACTATAACCTTTAAATAAAATTTGAAATTAAAGAGTATGATGCCCCAGCATTGTTCTTTCTCAAGATTGCTCAGGTTATTTAAAGTTCTTTAAGCTTACACTTAAATTTTACAATTGTGTTTTCTATTACTGTGAAAAATGCCCCTAAAACTTTGATAGGGATCACATCGAATCTAGAGATCATTTTGGATAATATGATACTTTGACAGTGTTAGTTATCCTAATGGAATATATTTCCTTTATTTGTGTCTACTTCAATTTGTCATCAATCTTATTGTATTTAATGTATAATTTTTTTACTTCATTGGTTAAATTTATTTTAATTAAATTTCTTATTTTTATACTATTGCAAATAGAAATTGTTTCTTTTTTTGGAAAGTTTGTTGCTACTGTATGGAAATGCAACAAATATTTGTATGTTGGGCCAGGTGCAGTGTCTCATTTCTGTAATCCCTACACTTTCAGAGTCCAAGGCAGGTGGATGACTTGAGGACAGGAGTTTGAGATGAGTCTGGGCAACACAGTGAGACCATGTCTCAAAAAAAAAAAAAAAAACCCACAAGTATTTGTATGTTGATTATGTATCCTGATACTTTAATGAATGCATTTATTAGTTCAAACAATTTTTCTTGTTTTACTCTAGGGTTTTATATATATATGCATGATCATATTATCTACAAACAGTAACATTTTTACTTCTTTTCCAAGCTGTAGAGCTTTGTTGCCCTTTTCCTCGCCCAATTGTTCTGAAAGAAACTTCCAGTAACATGTTAAGATAGAAGCTGTGGCCCTGCAGACAGGCCTGCATATCTTGGCCTCAGCTGTAGTCTCTGAAGCAGCCCTGTGTCTGTACATTTGAAGGATCTAACAATGATTACAGTTTCTATAAACTATTTTTGACAGGTAAAGATCTCCCATTTGTTTGGTCCACAGGCTGATGAGATTACCTCTGGGGTTGCAGAGAAGAAGGATTGTAGCTGGGTCACAAGGGTGCTGCTGGGTCTGCTGTGGGGTCTGCCTTTGATCGTTGTGTTACCAGATATTTGGACAGTCATGGATTCTTTCTGGGCCATGGAAACATTAAATATCCTTGAGGACATTATATGGCAGGCAGCAGGGTAGGGTTTGAAGTTTGTCTGCATATGATGGGCCAAATATCAGGTGTATGAATGGGTTTGGCTTCTACTGACTACCTGGGAACAGTTTTCACAAGTCTCTATGTGGGTCCCTGAGTGTGTACAACTGGCCACAGACAGTGACTGTGAGGGCTAGAACTGAGTCACAGGGCTGCTTCAGGGAGCACAGCTGAGGCCAAGATATACAAGCCTGCCTCCAGGGTTATGGCTGGGTGTGTCTCCCTGCAGGTCTCTTAATGAGAAGGACCACTTGTGGACTGTAGCTGAGAGGAGTTTGAGAAAGGTTGCAGAACTGCTTCATAATCTTCAGTAACACCAGGCTCAATGTGCCATTTCCTTGTCTGTAGCCATGTCTGTGGGCCCTTGAGTTAGCCACCTGGGTGAGGGCCTGCTTTTTCTAAATAACCCTCCTTGATCTCTGGCTCCACTGAGGTTTCACAACCCTAACCATAGGCAAGCATGTTTCTACTTCTGTTTCCTAGTTTACTACTCAAAATATTGTATAAAAGTGGAATCATACACTGTCACTTTGTCGGTGTCTTATTTCACTTTAAATAATGGCTTTAAGATTTATTCTTATTGTAGCATCTCACAAGATATTTTCATTGAGGGCTAAAGAATATTTCATTGTATGTATAAACCACATCTTTTTAAATCATTCATCCATTGAAGAATGTTTGAGTTTTTTCAGTTTTTGGCTTTTGTAAATGATATGGTTTGGATCTGCATTTTCATTCAAATCTCATGTCAAATTGCCATCCCTAATGTTGGAAGTGGGGCCTGGTGGGAGGTGGTTGGGTCATAGGGTTGGCTTCTCACGAATGGTTTAGCTTAGCCCCTTTGGTACTGTCTTTGACATAGTGAGTGAGTTCTGAGATCTCATTTTTCAAAAGTATGTGGCACCTCTTCTCTCAATCTCTCTAACTCCTGCTCCCACCATGTAAGATGACTCACCGTCCCTTTGCTTTCTGCTATGATTGGAAGCTTTTTGAGGTCTCCCAAGAAGCAGAAGCTGCTGCACTTTCTGTACAGGCTGCAGAACCATGACCCAGTGAAACTTCCTTTTTAAAATAAATTACCCAGGCTCAGGCATTTCTTTATAGCAATGCAGGAATAAACTAATACAGTGAATATTGCTGCAGTAAACATGGATATGCAAATATTTCTTTCAGGTATACTTTGCATATTTTGAATAGATGCTCAGAAGTGGGGCTGGGCACCATGGCTCACCCCTGTAATCCCAGCACTTTGGGAGGCCAAGGCAGGTGGATCACTTAATGTCAGGAGTTCAAGACCAGCCTGGCCAACATGGTGAAACCCTGTCTCTACTAAAAATACAAAAATTAGCCAGGTGTGGTGGTGTGCACCTGTAATCCCAGCTACTTGGGAGGCTGAGCCACAAGAATCACTTGAACCCAGGAGGCGAAGGTTGCAGTGAGCTGAGATCATGCCACTGCACTCCAGCCTGGGCAACAGTGCAAGTCTCTGTCTCAAAAAAAAAAAAAAAAGGAGTGGGATTACTGGGTCATATAATAATTTCATTTTTAATTTCTGGAGGAACCTTTATACATTTTTCAGATGGTTGTATCATGTTTATTTCCACCAACAGTACACAAGGGTTTCAATTCCTCCATGACAAATGACAACATTTGTCATTGTTTGCTTGATATTGGCCATACTAATTAATGCACAATAATACCTCATTGTGGTTTTGCTTTACATTTTGCTAAAGATTGGAAATATTTTTCAATAATTGTTTGCTGTGTGCATTTCCTCTTTGGAGAACCATTTTTATCTTGTTCATTTGTTAATGATGTTACTTACTATTTGTTGATTTTCTTGAAGTTGTTTATTCTGGATGTTAGCTTCTGTCAAATATATGCTTTTTAATTTGTTTTCTTAGGTGGGACTCTTACGAAATGTTTATTTTAATATGCAAAGATAAATTTAATGTAGTCCCATTTTTCTGAGTTTTTTAATTTGTTGCTCAGATATTTGATGTTGTATGCAAGGAAACATTGCTGAGACCAAGGTCATAATCTTACTGTATTTTCTTCTAGAGATTGTATAGGTATATTTCCGACATTCAAATATTTAACTCATTCAAGACAGCTTTTGTATATGGTTTGCGGGTAGGACCCAACCTCAGTTTTTCCCATGTAGTTACAGAGTTTTCCAACACCATTTATTGAAGAGACTGTCTTTTTCTTGTTGTGCGGTCACAGCAACCTTGTTGAAGATCATTTGAGCATATACACAAACATGGTTTGGCTTTAAGTTCTGGGTTCTGTTCCATCACTATTTGTCTTCTTTCAAGTACCACACTGTTTTTATTTATGTAGCTTTGTAATCTGTTCTAAACAAAGGAAGCGTTGTGCCTCTAACTTTGTTCTTGTTTTCTAAGAATGTTCAGGCTAACAGTGGTCCTTTGATGTTCCATGTAAATGTAAGAATTTTAAAAAAGATTTCTTTAAAAAGTATCATTTGGATTTTCATCAGGATTACATTGAATTTGAATATCACTGTGGGTAGTATTGTCATTTAAAAATATTAAATCTTCTGACAAAGAAGAGTATGTTCAAGAGTCTGTTAAGTTTCACATATTTTTGGATTTGGCAATTTTGCTTCTGCTTTTGATTTCTAGTTTGATTCCATGTGGTATGAAAGGATGCATTGTGTAATTCAATCTTTAATGCGTACCAGGCTTAATAATTTGATGACAAAATAATGTGTACAACAAACCTTCATGACACAAGTTTACCTATATAACAAACCTGCACATGTATCTAGGTCTTAAAGTTTTAAAACGTAAGAGTTATTTTGTGTTCTAACAGGTTGTCTGTGAAACAACAACTACTCATTTTCTTCTCCACTTAGCCCTGACACAGTTTAGTCTACTTTCTGTTTCTAGCAGTTTAACTACTTTAGGTACCTTACATAAGTGGAATTATATAGTATTTATCTTTTTGTGCCTAGCTTCTTGCACATAAATAAAGTCTCAAAAATGCATCCTTAGGCCGGGCACGGTGGCTCATGCCTGTAATCCCAGCACTTTAGGAGGCCTGGGTGGGCAGATCACCTGAGGTCAAGAGTTTGAGACCAGCCTGGCCAACGTGGTGAAACCCTGTCTCTACTTAAAATACAAAAATTAGCCGGGTGTGGTTGCAGGCACCTGTAATCCCAGCTACTTGGGAGGCTGAGGCAGGAGAATTACTTGAACCTGGGAGGCAGAGCTTGCAGTGAGCCGAGATCATGCCACTGCACTCCAGCCTGGGTAACAGAGCGAGACTCTGTCTCAAAAAAAAAAACAAAAAAGAAAACTTGGTTCTTCCCACATATTTGCTTTTGTAGATGATGCTACAATGAATATGGATGATGGATGTGTAAATTACTCTTCATTTGATAACATATGCAAGGGATTATTTACGTGCTCTATTCTGTTTCACTGGTATTGTCTTTTTTTGATCCAGTTATAAAGTATTTCAATTACCATAACTTTATAATAGGTTTTCAAAATCAGGATGTATGATGCTTCTCATGTTCCTCTTTTTGACAATTTTTGAGCACTTCTGGCCTCTTTAGTTCTCATATGTCTTTAGGATTGCTTCTTTCAGTAATGTAAAATATGCATAGCTGCTGTCATCCAGAGTATACCACCTTTTTCTTCAGCACTCTATGTCAGGGGAGACAAAACCCATCTTTGACAGCACCCCAAAAACCAAAAATGTGGGCACATATTCTGCGTTTATCTTTTCTCTTCTGAGGAAGCATACAGTTGGGAGTTTCTCATTGTTGACCATGCTGTATTGGCAGGAGGTAAGGCTGTGCCGGACATAATAAAATTTTAATAAAATTTTTCTTCTACATGTTTTTGGCATTTTGCTCAAGTGAAGTAGTACACAGTCTTACTTATGTTTTGGAATTCCCACAAAGGCAATGTGATCAATATGATGTTAAGGTCATATACCTATGAAGAAATGAGGACCAGTGATTTTTATTTTTAAGCTTTGCAATTTAAATTGATATTTTTATTATTTTAATTTTTAATTTTTGTGAATACACAGTAGCTATATATATATATATATCTGTGGGTTACATGAGATTTTTTATATGGACAAGAAGTGCATAAAAATCACATCAAGGTAAATAGGTATTCATTATCTCAACTATTTGTCCTTTGTTTTACAATCTGATTTCATTCTTTTATTTTAAAATGTACAATTAAATTGCTTTTGACTATAGTCACTCTGTTGTACTAGCAACTACTAAATCTTACTCTTTCCAATTTTTTTGAACCCATTAACTTTCCTCACTTCCTCCCAGCCCCCTACTATATTTTCCAGCCTCTGTAACAATCGTTCTTCTAGCTTCATGAAATTAATTTTTAGCTCCAGCAAATGCATCAGAACATGCAAAGTTTGCCTTTATATGCCTGGATTATTTCTCTAAACATAATGATCTCTAGTTCCATATATGTTGTTGCAAATGACAGAATCTTATTCTTTTTTATGATTGAAAAGTACTCCATTGGCCAGACGTGGTGGTTCACACCTGTAATCCCAGCACTTTGGGAGGCCGAGGCAGGCGGATCACCTGAGGTCAGGAGTTCCAGACCAGCCTGGCCAACATGGTGAAACCCTGTGTCTACTAAAAACACAAAAACAAGGCCAGGAGCGGTGGCTAGCGCCTGTAATCACAGCACTTTGGGAGGCCGAGGCGGGTGGATCACGAGGTCAGGAGATCAAGACCATCCTGGCTAACACGGTGAAACCCCATCTCTACTAAAAATACAAAAACTTAGCCAGGCGTGGTGGCGGACACCTGTAGTCCCAGCTACTCATGAGGCTGAGGCAGGAGAATGGCGTGAACCCTGGAGGCGGAGCTTGAAGTGAGCCGAGATCGCGCCACTGCACTCCAGCCTGGGCGACAGAGTGAGACTCCGTCTCAAAAAAAAAAAGAAAAGCCAGGTGTGGTGGTGGTCACCTGTAGTCCCTGCTACTTGGGAGGCTGAGACGGGAGAATGGTGTGAACCCAGGAGGCGGAGGCAGAGCTTGCAGTTAGCCAAGATCGTGCCACTGCACTCCAGCCTGGGCAACAGAGGGAGACTCCATCTCAAAGAAAAAAAAAAAAAGTACTCCATTGTGTGTATGTACCACATTTGCTTTATCCATTCATGTGTTGATAGACAGGTTGCTTCTAAATCTTGGATAATGTGAACAATGGCTGCAATAAAAATGGAGGTACAAATATCTCTTTGATGTCCTGATTTCCTTTCTTTTATGTAGCTACTTAGGAGTGGGATTGCTGGATAATATAGTAGCTCTATTTTTCATTTCTTGAGGAACCTCTAAACTCTTCTCCATAGTGGTTGTACTAATTTACATTCCCACCAAGATAGTGCCAGAGTTCACTTTTCTCCACATCCTCATTGGCATTTTTTATTGCCCGACTTGGATAAGAGCCGTTGTAATTGGAGTAAGATAATATCTCATTGTCATTTGGTTTGCATTTATCTGATGATAAATGATGTTGAGCACCTCATCATATGCCTTTTTGTCATTTGTATGCCCTCTTTTGAGAAATGTCTATTCAAATTTTTGCCCATTTATAATCAGATTATTCAATTTTATCCTATAGAGCTATTTGTGCACTTTACGTATTCTCATTATTTTTTTTCTGATGGGCAGTTTACACATATTTTCTCTCGTTTTATGTGCTCTCTCTTAACTTTGTTAATTGTTTCATTTGTTGTTTAGAAGCTCTTTAACTTGATGTGATTGCATTTCATTTTTGCTTTGGTTGCCTGTACTTGCGGGGTATTATTCAAGACATCTTTCCCCAGTTTCCTGGGCTTCACCTGTAGAGCTTCACCAATGTTTTCTTGTAGGAGTTTCATAGCTTGAGGTCTTAGATTTGTCTCTAATCCATTTTGATTTAATTTTTTTATATGGCAAGAGATGGGGTCTAGTTTCATTCTTCTGAATATGGATATTCAGTTTTTGTAGCACAATTTATTGAAGACTCCTTTTCCCAGTACATATTCTTGACACCTTTGTCAAAAATAAGTTGGTTGTAGATACATGGATATGTCTCTGCATTCTCTCTTCTGTTTCACTGATCAGTTTCATGCTGTTTTAATTACTGTAGCTCTGTAGTATCATTTAAAGTCAAATACTGTGATTCCTCCAGTTTCTTTTTACAATGGCTTTGGGTAGTATTCTGATTCTTTTGTGGTTCTGTCTACATTGTAGGATTGTTTTTTCTATTTCTGTGAAGAATGTCACTGATGTTTTTCTAGAGATTGTATTAAATCCGTAGATTGCTTTGGGTAGTATGGACATTTTAAAAATGTTGATTCTTCCTATTCATGAGCATAACATATTATTCAGTTTTTTGTCTTTTTAAATTTCTTGCATCAGTGTTTTATAGTACTAATTGTAGAGATTTTTCACTTCTTTGCTTAATTCCTACATATTTAATTTTAATTTGTGGCTATTGTAAGTGGGATTATTCTCTTGATTTGCTTTTACATTGTTCACTGTTAGCATACAGACACACTTTTTTTTTAGACGGAGTCTTGCTCTGTCGCCCAGGCTGGAGTGCATTGGTACAATCTCTGCTCACTGCAACTTCTGCCTCCTGGGTTCAAGCAATTCTTCTGCCTCAGCCTCCCACATAGCTGGGACTACAGGCATGAGCCACCACACCTGGCTAATTTTTGTAGTTTTTTTTTTAGCGGAGACGGGGTTTCACCATGTTGGCCAGGCTGGTCTCAAACTCCTGACCTCAGGTGATCCACCTGCCTCAGCCTCCCAAAGTGCTGGGATTACAGGCGTGAGCCACCGCGTCTGACTGAGTTTTAATCTTATATCTTGACTAACCAATTCTAGTAGTGTTTTAGTGAATTATGTTTTTCCAACTACAAGACCACATCATCTGCAAACAAAGATAATTTGACTTCTTCCTTTCCAATTTGGATGCCTTTTTTTTTCTCTTTCTCATTGCTCTAGCTAACACTTCTAGTACTATGTTGAATAACAGTGGTGAAAGTGTGTATCCTTTGTGCCTCTTCTTTTATCTTCTTCAGATGCAGACATCTTATGAGAATGTTTTTGGGTTTAGGTTCCCAACTTTACAAGGTAATTTGTCCTTAGCCATCCTGTTGTCTTTTCCTGGTCCTAGGCTTCAGAACTGTCTGGGGAAGATCCCAGATGCCCACGGTAGCAATGTCTCTTGGAGTGGTTAGGGCATAACAGTTACTGCAGCATCTCATCATAGTGGACGGCCTGAGGTGTGGGGTGGACCCTCTCGGAAGCAGCTGGGTGCCCTGGTACTCAGAGCACTCTTGTGGTTTACACTTCATTCAAAAAGCCACATCCTTGTGGCATTAAGATTTTCTTTTTTTTTTTTTTTTTTTTTTTTTTTGAGACAGAGTCTTGCTCTGTTGCCCAGGCTGGAGTGCAGTGGGACAATTTCGGCTCACTGCAACGTCCACCTCCTGGGTTCAAACGATTGCCCTGCCTCAGCCTCCCAAGTAGCTGGGACTACAGACATGCGCCACCATGCCCGGCTAATTTTTTGTATTTTAGTAGAGACAGGGTTTCACCATGTTGGCCAGGATGGTCTCGATCTCCTGACCTCATGATCCACCCACCGCGGCCTCCCAAAGTGCTGGGATTACAGGCGTGAGCCACCGTGCCTGTCCAAGATTTTCTTTCTCCCAATCCAGTTTCCATTTTTTGGAGACACATTGCTCTTCAGCCAATGGAAGTCTGATATTGAGGGGAAAGGCAGAAATAATTTCTATCATCTGGATTTTTTCAGAATTGTGAAAGGAGAAAAAGATAGTATCCCCAAAGACAATGAAAGTCCATTCTAGCAAGATGGTGCATGGATGACCTGCAAAAATAAATAAATAAATAAATAATAGGCACTCCAGGCACACAGAGGCACAAAGTGCAGAGGCTCTTGGTCATTGAGTATTTCAAAGAGAAAGATGAAGGTAGGAGGACGTACATCATAAGACATTCAGCCCGATTTGACACTTGAGTCAGACATATCATTATTCCAGCCAGTACTGCCACTCCTTGGGTTTGTCATCTTGAAAAAATGTTTACTTATTTCAACTTCCACTTTTAGTAACTGTACAATGCATTTTATTAGTAGTGCTTGAAAAATAGGAATGTGAATTTTAAAAATGTCTAGTGACATATTTTATTTCTTAAAAATTCTTTCATTTTTCCCTTGAGAGTGTGTAATAAGTTTTTGGGATCTGTACATTTTGGGAATGGTTTCATACAGAACCTCAGGGCTTAGTTATGGGAATATTACTGGATAAACAAAAGTAGGAAACAGTTCTCTTCCTTTATGGCTGTGGAGAAGTGAATACATTTTTAGAAGAAATTTTGGTAGATAAATTGGTGATTTACAGAGATGTGCCAAAATATCAGTTTTTCTGCATGGTAGAGAATTTGTGATAATGAATAAGTCTGCTCTGTATCTTGTTATCTGGATGTCTGAATTTAGTGTTAAATTTTATGGAATAGGACTTGACATTTCTTAATGTTCATGTATGATTACCTATTTGTTATTATGGAAATAATACCTAAATGACATATTTATTGTCTGAAATAGATATTTTGGCTTTTCTTGTTGAAGTATAAGATGTAAGTGCCTTACAATCTCCTTTCCTCCTATAAACATAAGCAATGAGTTGGAGGAATTTTGCTGGACTCTTTAAACACTGAGTTCTTTTATATAAAACTAAGTGAATAATCTTGACTGGGAATCAGAGACCTAAGCCTGTTGACTGCAAGGTAAGGCCAATCTTGACCCTGCCAAAGGAGGTCATCAATAGCCCAGTAGTTTCTTCCTGGGAACCTTTTCTGCAGGTGTCCCAGCCTGGCTCAAATTAGACATGAAAGGGGTCTTTATACTGAGAAGCTACAGAGCCCTGGAAAGCTGAGGATCCACAGGCAGATGCAGAGAGAGTTGGGAAGGGAGGAGGGTTGTGATGTCCTCTGAGAGGGTGTAATTGTTATTGTCATCGGGCTGTTTCTAGATATCATCAAATAAATTCTGATGTAGGTAAGAAGTGACTTTATTTTAAGGAGTATTGCAATGGAAAAAGCACCAAGCATAAGATCTGCAAGCACCTCCAAAATGAGACAGATAAAGGCTATTTTTCATATGGAGGAGCAAACAAGATTAGAAAGAAGATGGCAGAGGGCAGAATGGAGAACAGCAAAATCAGATTCAAGATTAGAGAATGTTTCACCCTGAAGTCAGCCTGTTCTTGGGAGAGGTATCAAGAGGGTTGTATGCTGGCTCAGACTGAAGGTGGAGCATAGTCCAGTGGCCTGGGGGAAGGAGAAAAAATTGAGCAGTTTGGTTAACAAGTATTCTGTTTGAACACTGAAGACAAAAATATTTAATTGTTTATGAGGGAAAAATGAGAATGTAGAATCTGTGAATTTGTGATATGTAAAGAGGGAGCATCATAAAAGTCATAATGAAGAGGGCATTTCTTTGCAGTAAGCTTTTCTTGCAGAACACAAAGGATTTGAGAGATGTTAGTCTAACTACCATGATTCACTGCCCGCCTCATGTTTTCCCTGCTTTCCTTTGTCCTATACATTTTTTCCTTTTGGCTTTTACAGGGTTGTATTCAATATAATAACCTGGTAAACATAGGTAAAGTGTTTTTGCCAAATTCTGTGAGTAGTTTTTTTCAAATCCTTTAACTTGAGGGAGGGAGTTATGGAAGCCCATGATTTATAGACAGTTGCTCTGAAGTATAGGTGGGTTCCCCTGGGGCTTGTGACTGGCAGGTGGAGTGGAAGCAGTGTTGTGGGACTAAGCCCTGAGCCAGTGGGGTCTATGCTGACCCTGGTGTTGTCAGAATTGAGTTGTTGGACACCCAGTTGGTGTTGGAGGATTGGTTGGTGTTCAGCAAACTCCATATATTTGGTGTTAGAATAAAGATATCAGGGCACGTGTGATAGCTCACGCCTCTAATCCTAGCACTTTGGGAGGCCACAGAGGGCAGATTGCTTGAGCTCAGGAGTTCAGTGCCAGCCTGGGCAACATGGTGAAATCCCATCTCTACCAAAAATCCAAAAACATTAGCTGGGCACGGTGACACATACCTATATTCCCAGTTCCCTGGGGGTGTGCTGAGGCAGGAGGATCGCTTGAACCCTGGGTGCTTGATGCTGCCATGAGCCAAGATCATACCACTGCACTCCAGCCTTTGTGACAAAGTAAGACCCTTTCTCAAAAAAATTAAGATATCATAGCAGTCTTGGTTGGAGGGAGACACTGGGTCTGTTGTAGAATGGAGAGGCTTTTTTGTTTTGTTGTTGTTGTTGTTGTTTGCACACAAGTTGTCACACAGTGAATTCTCCTGTGATTCTAGGTCTCCTCCAGGGGTCGCAGGGGACTGAGGACTTAAAAGGAAGGAGTTCTGAGGGCAGACTCTTCTCTCCCCCTGCTGCTACAATGTGATTTCTGCACATTCACACACATACATGCTAAGCAATGGTATGGCCATGCTTCTTTCATGACAAATCTTCACTCAGGAATTGTGCTGAGAAAACCTCTGTTTCTAGAGTTTTCCACTAATAGGCCACATAAGTATCCAGAAGATTCATGGCTTCTTTCTATCTCCCAGATCTTGAATCTGCACCAGTAACCTCTTTCCTGCAGTAGCCTAGGCTTCTGGATCACCTGACCATCTTATCTCCCTGCATGCACACATTTATAAGTCAGAGCTGTCCTGCCTGGGCCAGTATCTGTAGCACTAACCAGTTCTTTCACCAACTGTGCACCAACCCTCACCCATGGGTTCTTGATAGCACCTTTTCTATTCTGCATTTTTCCCCCACAAACCCTCTTTCCTGTGAAGACAGTATGCCCACGGTTACCCTGCAGGCGCCTAAATTCAGACCATGCTGGAAATCAGATGTCCATGAGTTCGAAGCAGAGTTTTCAGATGTGGTTATTGTAAATATAAGTGCAAAATAGAAATGAGACTTAGTCCTCCAACTGGAAAATAAAGGAAGAGCATTTACTCTGCTCCCTTTTCTAAAAACCTTTGATTTAGAAACTTTTTATATGTAGATTACTTCTCTGCCATTTATCTTTTTTGTTGTCTTTTAAGTATCTAATTTATCTCTATTGGAGGTCTAATTTTTATTATTTTACTATGCTAACGTTGGGATTAGTTATTTTTCAAGTGTTTTGAGGATTAAAGTTTCATTATTTGAGATCTTTTTTCTTAATATAAAAATATATTACTATAAAATTCTTAGAACATCTTTTGTTACATTTCAGTTTTGATATGTTCTGTTTCTATTTTCAGTTTTCTCAAGATACTTTGTGATTTTTCTTTCTTTTTCTTCTTTACCCAGTGGTTGTTCAGAAGCATGTTGTTTAATATACACATATTTGTAAGTTTTTTACTTTTCCTTATATTGATTTCTAGTTTTATAAAATTGTGATTTAAAAAACATGATATGATTTCAATCTTTTTAAAAATGAAAAGACTTGTTTGTTTTTGTTGTGGGCCAGATTTATGATGTGTCCTGGAGAATGTTCCATGTGTGTTTGAGAAGAATATAAATTATACTGTTGGATGAAATGTTCTATACACGTCTGTTAGGTGCAGTTTTATAGTGCAATGCAAGTACATTGTTTTTTCACTAGCTTTCTGTCTGACTCATGTATTAAGTAGGGCAGTAAAGTCCCCTATTATATCTGTCTGTTTCTTTCTCCAGTTTTGTTAATATATGTTTATATATTTATGTGCTCCAATGTTTGGTACATATATATATTTAATTATGTTTTGACAAATTAGGCTCATCACAATACAATAAAATTCTTTTTTTCTGATAGATTTTTTTCTAGAAGTCTATTTAGTGTGATGTAATTATAGCCACTCCTACACTCTTTTAGTTATTATTGGCATAGAATATTCTTTTTCATCCTTGTACCATTAACCTATGTACGTCCTTAAACCTAAAATAAGTCTCTTGTGCACAGCATATTGTTGACTTTTTAAATCTATTCAGACATTTTGTGAATGTTTCCTTTTTTTTTTTTTTTTTTTTGCTTCAATAACAGAATATCCCAGAGTTCGTAATTCATAAAGAATAGAATTTACTTAGCTCAGACTCCTGGATGCCAAGAAGTCCAAGAGCATGTCATTCCCATCTGATGAGAATCACATTTCCACATCACAACATGACCAAAGGGTTGAGGATGACAGAAGGTGTACACCAGTGCTCACTTTTATAATAGACCCACTCTCATGATGACTAATACACTGTGGTAATACTGATACTAATCCTTTCATGACAGTAGAGTGCTCATGACCTAATAACTCTTAAGGGCCTCATTTCTTAATTTTCTCACAATGTCAGTTAAATTTTAACATGAATTTTGGAGGGGACGCTCAAACTATAGCAATGTGTTTTTATTGGATAACTAAATCTTTATATATTTAAATGAATTACTGATTGATAAGAACTTACTGCCATTTTCTTACTGTTTTCTGACCATTTAGTAGTTTGTTTTTTCATTGTTTCATGCTGTCTTCCCCTGTATTTTCTTGAATTTTTGTTGTTTTTGTTGTTATATGCATTCTTTTTCTTTTGTGTGTAACCACTACAGTTTTTTTTGTAATTTCCAGGAAGCTTATGTAAAACATCTCATAGTTATAAAATCTAATTTCAGATAAGAATTTAGCTTTTGGTTTGTATAGATAGGGTCTTGCTTTGTTACCCAGTGTAGTGCAGTGGTACATTCATAGCTCAGTGCAGACTTGACCTCCCCAGGCTCAAGCAATCCTCAGCCTCCCAAGTAGCTGGGACTACAAGCACATGCCACCATGTCTGGCTAATTTTTTTAGTATTTTTTGTAGAGACAGGGTTTTGCCAAGTTGCTCAGGCTGGTGTTGAACTCCCGGGCTCAAGCAGTCCACCTGCCTTGGACTCCCAAAGTGCTAGTATTACAGGCATGAGCCATCAGGCCCAGCTGCTTCTTTTTTTAAAAGACTAAATAGCTTTCTGAGATCTTTATTTAATTTTATTTATGTACTTATTTAAGAGACAGGGTCCTGCTATATTGACCAGACTAGTTTTGAACTCCTGGCCTCAAGCAAAAGTTAGCTTCTATGTATAGAAAAATTAAACAATTTTACTCCCTTCAACATAGTATTTATGTCACACTCTACATCTTTTTATATCGTATACCCTTTAACAAATTATTGAAGCTATATGTAGTCTTAATAATTTTTTCTTGTAGCTTTTATACCAGAGTTAAATGTGATTAATTCATTCACCATAATTAGTTTTATAGCCTTCTAAATTCGACTATGTATATATGATTTTCAGTAAGATTTATAATTTTGTTGTAAGTTTGGATTCCATTACAACTTAAATTCTCATTAGCATTTGTTGTAAGTCAGGTCTAGTGATTAAAACTTTCAACTTTTTTTTAATCTGAGAAGATTTTGATACTTCATTTCTAAAGAACAGCTCTGTCAGGTATCGTCTTCTTAGTTGTCAAGGTTTTTTCTTTTTCTTCCTTCATTTGCATTTTAAATATATGGTTTCACTCCTGTGTGGCTTGCATGGTTTTTGCTGGGCAATCTGCTGATAACCTTATAGGAGTTCCCTTGAATGTGAAGAATCTCTTTTCTCTTGCTTTTTTTTTTTTTTTTTTACTTTTTACTCTTTATTTTAGGTTTTGCAGGCAAACCCCAGGTAAAGGGTTTTCTTTTTTTAATTTTAATTTTTGTGAGTATGTAGGACATGTATATATTTGTGTGGCACATGAGATGTCTTGATCCAGGCATGTAATGTGTAACAATCACATAATCAAAAATGGGGTATATCCATCCCCTCAAGCATTTATAATTTGGGTTATAAACAATCCAATTATGCTCTTTTAGTTATTTTAAAATGTGCAACTAAATTATTATACTCATACTGGGTATTACTCATTCTTTCTTTTTTTTTTCTTTTTTGTTTGTCTTTGAATTTTGGCAGTTTAATTATAATGTGTTCTGGACAATTTCTGTTAGATTCTTCTTGCTATAGACATTTTGAGCTTTTAAATTTAATATCTATATTCCTTCCAAGATTGGGAAGAATTTAAGACATTATATCTTTAAACAATTTAAAAATTTTTTTCTTTCTCATGAACCTCCTAAAATTGTACATCCTTACCATTGATTATGAAATATGGGGGACAAATGCTTTATTCACTCGCATTCTTTTTTTAAATTCTAACTAGGAACTTTCAAATAACTTTTACATTTGCTGATTTTTTTTTTCCTGTATAACGGAGTCTCCTGTTAAAGCTTTCTCTTAAATATTTTAGATCTCCTATTGTGTACTTCAGCTCCAGCATATCTAACTGGTTCTGTTTTAATGGTTTCTCTTTATTATAATTGTGATTCTGTTCATACGTTGTTGCAAAAAAAATTTAGTAATGTGTGGTTTTTTTGCATCTCATTGAGATTCTTTAAGATAATTATTTTGAATTCTTAGCCATTTTTTAGATCTGTGTTTTACTGTAAGTGGTTACTAGAGAATTTTTAGTTTCTTTTGGTGGTGTTACATTTGCCTGATCTTTCATGGTCTGTGATGCCTTGTTTTTATGTCCTTGCATCTGAAGGAGTAAATATCTCTTGCAGTCATTATAGATTAGTTTGGGGTGGTAAATATTTTCTCCTATTGGATCTCTGTGCTGATGAGATTTCCAGTGAGTTTGCAGTAAGGTGCATTGGATCTGGATCACAGTGAAGTTCATGCTTGGCAGACCTGTTATTAGGGCATCAGACTGTTGTGGATTCTGTCTATTTTCTAGGAAGACTGAACTTTCTTCAGGATCTTGATCAGTAAGACTGGTGCTGAGAAAAAAAAGTCTCCAGTTGTATATGCAGATGACAGAGCTGATATAATCCATGTGAGCAGGTATGGCTTCTGCTGTGTGGCTCTTGCTGGGTTTTTAGAAATCTTCTAACCCAGTCATTGGACAGATTCCTAGATGAGAAGTACTGACCCTTGGTCACAGCTGAGAGGGTGTGGAACTGATTCATAGGGCTGCTTCAGGATACACAGCTGAGACCAAAGTCTTCAGGTTTGTTTCTGGGTTCACGGCATTTCTCCCTCCAGATTCCTGGGTGGGCAGGACTGCTCCCAGACTTTAGTTGACAGGGACTGGAGGTAGGTTTTGGGACTGGAGGTAGGTTTTGGGACTGGAGCTGGGTTTTAGGACTGCTTCAAGATTCACAGTGGGAATAAAGTCAGCCAGCATGCCTACAGGGGCACATATAGGTGTGTTTTTTGGCAGGTCCCAGGTTAGGAAAAACTGCTTCTGGACTTTGGTTTCATGGACTGGGAGCCAGATGATAGTGCCACATCAAGATCCACCATTAAATAAATATCGGCAAGCCTACATCCAGGGGCACAGATGGATGTTTCTGTCGGTTCCTGCATGTGCAGGATTTCTTCCACATCATGATAGATGTGTGCAAGGGGCTAATTAGGAGACTACAGAGAGGAGCAACATCTAAAGTCCTTTCACCTGAGACACAGGACATTATGAATCCTCCTTGGTGTCTTGGCAGATGGTGCTAGTGGCATAAACAAAACCAAATGGCCTACAGCTATACTTACAATGAGAATTAATCATATTTTATTTTGTAGCTGGGACTATGATGGGCAAGCATGCCACTCAAGCAAGGGCATGCCCTCTCAATACAGCCCTCCTGTCTTGGGTTTACACCTTTTGACATGGATTCCAAAGTTCCTATAAAGGTTCATTTGCCAGGGCATAACTGCTGCATTTTTTTATAACCATATAAGATTTAGGTAGAGAACCTCCTATTCTGCCATCTTGCTATGTCACTCCCCTTGTATGTTTTACTTTGATTGTTCTGTGTCAAATATTTTTTATTTCAAATTCAAAATGTCTGAAATAAAATGCTTAAATTTTCAAATTGTGGAATAAGTAAATGTATTGAAATGCCTCATTCTCATCAGAGCATTTTATTAATTATTGAGATTATTTTCTTTTATTGCTGTACCTTGAATGCCAAAGATTCAAAATGCCAGCTCTTCATAAGTACATAGTCACAGTTGAAAACTGTAAAGGATTGTTTTTATGATACATCTATATGATATTCAATATTTTAAAGGTCAGAAATTTTTATTCTTGTTTTCAACCCCATTTTAGTGGTTTGTTTTTAATCTTTATATTTGTATGGTAACTTTAAACCCTGTACCTTGGCCAGGGGCAGTGTCTCATGCCTGTAATCCCAGCACTTTGGGAACTCAAGGCGGGCAGATCATAAGGCCAGGAGTTCAAGACCAGCCTGACCAATGTGGAGAAACCCTGTCTCTACTAAAAACACAAAATTAGCCAGGCGTAGTGACGCATGCCTGTAATCCCAGCTACTTGGGAGGCTGAGGCAGGAGAATCACTTGAACCCAGGAGGCGGAGGTTTCAGTGAGCCAAGATTGCAACATTGCCCACCAGCCTGGGCAACAAGTGTGAAACAATGTCTCAAAACAACAACAACAACAACAACCTCTCTACCTCTTATGACCATGTGGTGTTTAATTCAAATAAATATCATTGGGTTTCACTTCGAGCAAATTAAAAAACATATATATAAATCAGACATTTCTCTTGCCAAGAAAGTTATCTATGTGGTATTTGCCTGTATATATATTGCCCCTACGTTGTTTATAAATTATTTATCAGCCAGGCACAGTGGCTCACGCCTGTAATCCCAGCACTTTCGGAGGCCGAGGCGGGCGGATCACAAGGTCAGGAGATCGAGACCATCCTGGCTAACATGGGGAAACCCCATTTCTACTAAAAATACAAAAACAAAATTGGGCCAGGCGTGGTGGTGGTTGCCTGTAGTCCCAGCTACTCAGGAGGCTGAGGCGGGAGAATGGCGTGAACCCGGGAGGTGGAGCTTGCAGTGAGCCGAGATCGCACCACTGCACTCCAGCCTGGGTGACAGAGCAAGACTCCATCTCAAAAAAATAAATAAATAAATAAAGTATTTATTTACTTGGGTGTTCATCATTGTTTTCTTGTGTGGGTGAGTAGTCAGTGTAAAATTACCATCTATTATTTTATTATGTTATTCTGTGAGAGAAACACTTTTCTTACTTGAAGGTGATTTTTAAAGACTGTAACCTTTTTAGGTAGATCTAAATATTTAATTGTGATGAAAAACATGAAAATGCCAGGGAAAAGAAAGAGAGATCAGACTGTTACTGTGTCTATGTAGAAAAGGAAAACATAACAAACTCCATTTTGATCTGTCTTTTGAACAATTGTTTTGCCTTGAGATGCTGTTAATCTGTAACTTTAGCCCCAACCCTGTGCTCACAGAAACATGTGCTGTATGGAATCAAGGTTTAAGGGATCTAGGGCTGTGAAGGCCATGCCTTGTTAACAATATGTTTACAGGCAGTATGCTTGGTAAAAGTCATCACCATTCTCCATTCTCAATTAACCAGGGGCACAATGCACTGCGGTAAGCCGCAAGGACATCTGCCCAAGAAAGCCTGGGTATTGTTCAAGGTTTCCCCCAACTGAGACAGCCTGAGATATGGCCTCGTGGGAAGGGAAAGACCTGACCATCCCCCAGCCTGACACCCATAAAGGGTCTGTGCTGAGGACGATTAGTAAAAGAGGAAGGCCTCTTGCAGTTGAGATAAGAGGAAGGCCTCTGTCTCCTGCATGCCCCTGGGAACGCAATGTCTCAGTGTAAAACCCGATCATACATTTATTCTATTCTGAGATAGGAGAAAACCGCCCTGTGGCTGGAGGCAAGATATGCTGGTGGCAATGCTGCTCTGTTACTCTTTGCTACACTGAGATGTTTGGGTGGAGAGAAACATAAATCTGGCCTACGTGCACATCCAGGCATAGTACCTTCCCTTGAACTTATTTGTGACACAGATCCCTTTGCTCACATGTTTTCTTGCTGACCTTCTCCCCACTGTCACCCTGTTTTCCTGCCACATTCCCCTTGCTGAGATAGTGAAAATAGTAATTAATAAACAAACACTGAGGAAACTCAGAGACTGGTGCCGGTGCAGGTCCTCCGTATGTTGAGCACCGGTCTCCTGGGCCCACTGTTCTTTCTCTATACTTTGTGTCTGTGTCTTATTTCTTTTCTCAGTCTCTCATACCACCTGATGAGAAATACCCACAGGTGTGGAGGGGCAGGCCACGCCTTCATCTGCCACCCAACGTGGGTGCCTTTCTCTAGGGTGAAGGTACGCTAAGAACATGAGCAGTGAGGACAAGTCGACGAGAGATTCCTGAGTACATCCACGGTCAGCCTTGCGGTAAGCTTGTGCGCTCAAAGGAACCCAGGGTAACGATGGGACAAACTGAAAGTAAATATGCCTCTTATCTCAGCTTCAGCAACCCACGGCGGTGGCGCTTAATCCTACAGCACCACCTAGTGGACAATGTAGCACACTGTATGAAATCATTGATTAAGCCAGAAAACAGGGAGATCTTGAGGCATGGCAGTTCCCAGTAATTTTACAACCGGTACCAGCCGGGGAAGAGACAAGTAGGAGTGCCTACCCAAGCTGAGGCTAGATATGAATCTTTCACCTTGAAAATGTTAAAAGATATGAAGAAAGGAGTTATAAACAATATGGACCCAACTCCCCTTACATGAGAACATTATTAGATTCCATTGTTCATGGAAATAGACTTATTCCTTATGATTGGGAAATTTTGGCTAAATCTTCCCTTTCACCCTCTCATTTACAGTTTAAAACCTGGTGGATTGATGGAATGGAGTACAAGAACAGGTACGAAAAAATCAGGCTACAAATCCCACTGTTAATATAGATGTAGACCAATTGTTAGGAACAGGTCCAAAGTGGAGCACCATTAACCAAAAATCAGTAATGCAGAATGAGGCTATTGAACAAGTAAGGGCTATTTGCCTCAGGGCCTGGGAAAAAATTCAGGACCCAGGAACAGCCTGCCCTTCTTTTAATTCAATTAGACAAGGCTCTAAAGAGCCATATCCTGACTTTGTGGCAAGATTGCAAGATGCTGCTCAAAAATCTATTACAGATGATAACACCCAAAAAGTTATTGTAGAATTAATGGCCTATCGAATGCAAATCCAGAATGTCAGTTGGCCATAAAGCCATTAAAAGGAAAAGTTCCAGCAGGAATTGATGTAATTATAGAATATGTGAAGGCTTGTGATGGGATTGGAGGAGCTATGCATAAGGCTATGCTAATGGCTCGAGCAATGACGGGGGTCACTTTAGGAGGACAAGTTAGAACATTTGGGGGAAAATATTATAATTGTGTTCAAATTGGTCATCTAAAAAAGAACTGCCCAGTCCTAAATAAACAGAATATAATAAGCTATTACAGCAAAAAATAAAGAGCCACCTGGCCTGTGTCCAAGACGTGGAAAAGAAAAACATTGGGCTAATCAATGTCATTCTAAATTTGATAAAAATCGGCAACCATTGTCGGGAAATGGGAAGAGGGGCCAGTCTCAGGCCCCGCCACAAACTGGTGCATTCCTTATTCAGCTGTTTGTTCCTCAGGGTTTTCAGGGACAACCCCCACAGCAAATACCACCACTTCAGGGAGTCAACCGATTACAACAATACAACAGCTGTCCCCTGCCACAGCAGGCAGCACAGCAGATTTATGTGCCGCTCAAATGGTCTCTTTACTCCCTGGAGAGCCCCAACAAAAGATTCCTCCTACAGGGGCATATGGCCCACTGCCAGAAGGGACAGTAGGCCTTATTTTAGGGAGATCAAGTCTAAATTTGAAGGGAGTCCAAATTCATACTGGGGTAATTGATTCAAATTATAAAGGGGAAATTCAGTTAGTGATCAGCTCCACTGTTCCCTGGAGCGACAATCCAGGTGATGATAGAATTGCTCAAATACTGCTTTTGCCTTATATTCAAATTGGGGAAAAGAAAACAGAACAGGAGGGTTTGGAAGTACCAACCCTGCCGGAAAAGCTGCTTATTGGGATAATCGGGTCTCAGAGGATAGACCCGTGTGTACAGTCACTATTCAGGAAAAGCAGTTTGAAAGATTAGTGGATACCGGGGCTGATGTCTCTATCATTGCCTTAAATAGATGGCCAAAAAATTGGCCTAAACAAAAGCCTGTTACAGGATTTGTCGGTGTGGGCACCGCCTCAGAAGTGTATCAAAGTGCCATGATTTTACATTGTCTAGGACCTGATAATCAAGAAAGTACAGTTCAACCCATGATCACTTCTATTCAAATCAACTTATGGGGCCGAGACTTGTTAGAACAGTGGCATGCAGAGATTACTATCCCAGCCTCCCTATACAGCCCCATGAGTCAAAAAAATCATGAGTAAAATGGGATATCTCCCTAAAAGGGGACTAGGGAAGAATGGAGGCAGCATTAAAGTCCCAACTGAGGTTGAGGGAAATCAAGAAAGAAAAGGAATACGGTATCCTTTTTAGGAGTGGCCACTCTAGAGCCTCCAAAACCCATTCCGTTGACTTGGAAAACAGAAAAACCTGTATGGGTAAATCATTGGCCTCTACCAAAACAAAAGCTGGAGGCTTTACACTTACTCGCAAAGGAACGATTAGAAAAGGGACATAGTGAGCCTTCATTTTCGCCGTGGAATTCTCCTGTTTGTAATTCAGAAAAAATCCGGCAGATGGCGCATGCTGACTGACTTAAGAGCTATTAATGCTGTAATTCAACCCATGGGGGCTCTCCAACCCAGGTTGCCCTATCTGGCCAGGATCACCAAAGATTGGCCTTTAATTATAATTGATCAGAAGGATTGCTTTTTTACCATTTCTCTGGCAAAACAGGATTTTGAAAAATTTGCTTTTACTACACCAGCCATAAATAATAACCAGCCACCAGAATTCAGTGGAAAGTGTTGCCTCAGGGAATGCTTAATAGTCCAACTATTTGTCAGACTTTTGTAGCTGAAGTTCTTCAACAAGTTACAGACAAGTTTTCAGACTGTTATATCATTATGTTGATATTTTGTGTGCTGCAGAAACAAGAGAGAAATTAATTGACTGTTACACATTTCTGCAGAGGTTGCCAACCCAGGACTGACAAGAGCATCTGATAAGATTCAAACCTCTACTCCTTTCCATTACTTAGGGATGCATGTAGAGGAAAAGAAAATTAAACCACAAAAAACAGAAATAAGAAAAGACACATTTAAAACATTAAATGAGTTTCTTTTTCTTTTTCTTTTTTTTTTTTTTTTTTTGAGATGGAGTCTCGTTCTTGTCACCCAGGCTGGAGTGCAATGGCGGGATCTTGGCTCACTGTAAAAACATTAAATGACTTTCAAAAGTTGCTAGGAGATATTAATTAAATTTGGCCAACTCTAGGCGTCCCTACTTATGCCATGTCAAATTTGTTCTCTAAAGAGGGGATCCGAAATTGAATAGTAAAAGAACATTAACTCCAGAAGCAACTTAAAAAATTAAATTAGTTGAAGAAAAAATTCACTGAGCACAAGTTAAATAGAATAGGTCACTTGACCCCACTCCAACTTTTGATTTTTGCTACTGCACATTCTCCAACAGAGAATTTTGAACATCATTATTCAAAATACAGATCAAAATGGGGTTTCTTATGTCTTCCTTTTCTACATAGACACAGTAAACAGTCTGATCTCTCTCTTCCCTACATTAAAGATTTTCAAGCATACAGTCTAGTGGTATTAAGTACGTTTACTTTTTTTTTTTCTGCAATGGATCTCTAGATTAATTTTATCTTACAAAAGTAAAATTTAATACGTTATAAACAATAAACTGCCCTTTTTTTCTTTTTCTTCAGCTCCTGAAGAACACCGTTTTACTTACTGTTTCTATAATTTTGGCTGATTTCCATATTCTTATTAGTGTAATTATATAATGTCTGTTTCTTTTTGACTATTTTATATAATGTAATGTTCTCAGGCTTTGTTTTTGTAAGATGTGTCAGAATATCTTTCTGTTTTAAAATGAAATAATATTTCATTATATGTATATGTCACATTTTAAAAATCTAATACTGATCTCTAAAGGGCCATTTGTATTGTTTCCAGGAATTGTCTTGTGTAAATAATAATGAAGAACATGCATGTGTAAATATCTGTTTAAAGTCCTGCTTTAAATATTCTTGGAATAGTTTGGATATAGTGATGTAGTACTATGGGTATGTCCATATTTTTATTTCCTGAGCCTTTGATGTCATATCCAAAAAGTGACTGCTAAGACCAGTTGCATGAATCCTTCACCATCTGTGTTTTTATTACATTCCACATATGTGTAAGATCATGTGGTATTTGTCTCAGTGTATCTGGTTTAATTTCTGCAACATATGATCCAGCAGTTTGAATTCTTTCTTTCTTACATGGTCATCAGTGTTTTATTGTCTTAGAATCAAAAAAACCATATTAAATTACGATGTTTATTGCTTAAATATATGTCACCCTGTGGTACATTTTTTTCTATAATGGCTGTACTAACTTACAATCTTACCAGCCGCATATGTTAACTTTTCTGTACATTCTCACTAACAATTCTTTTTTGCCTTTCTAATTACAGTCATTCTAACTGCAGTGAAGTCATATCTTATTGTGGCTTTGATTTGCATACCTCTGATAGTGATGTTGAGCATCTTTGCATGTTCTTCTTGGCCTTTTGTATTTCTTGTTTTGAAAAATGTCTCTTAGTCCAGGCAGGGTGGCTCATGCCTGTAATCCCAGCACTTTGGGAGGCAGAGGTAGGCGATCACCTGAGGTCAGGAGTTTGAGACCAGCCTGGCCAACATGGTGAAATCCTGTCTCTACTAGCTAGGCGTGGTGGCAGGCACCGGTAATCCCAGCTACTCAGGAGGCTGAGGCAGGAGAATCGCTTGTACCCAGGAAGCGGAGGTTGCAGTGAGCTATCGGGGGAACCAGCCCCCAATATTTCAATGTAAGTTCTTTTCTATTTTCCCTAATTGTCGGCCGGCCTGAGAAATAAAGGGAAAGAGTATAAAAGGAGAAATTTTAAAGCTGGGTGTCCAGGGGAGACATCACATGTCGGCAGGTTCCGTGATGCCCCCCGAACCGCAAAACCAGCAAGTTTTTATTAGCAATTTTCAAAGGGGAGGGAGTGTATGAATAGGATGTGGGTCACAGAGATCACATGCTTCAAAGGCAATAAAATATCACAAGGCAAATGGGCAGGGCGAGGTCACAAGGTCAGGGCAAAACTAGAATTACTGATGAAGTTTCATGTCCCACTGGGCACACATTGTCATTGATAAACATCTTAACAGGAAACAGGGTTCAAGAGCAGAGAAACAGTCTGACTAGAATTCTCCAGGCTGGATTTTCCTAATCCTAGCAAGCCTGGGGGCGCTGCAGGAGACCAGGTTGTGTTTCATCCCTATCTACAACTGCATAAGGCAGACACTCCCAGAGCGGCCATTTTAGGGGCCTCCCTCTGGGAATGCATTCTTTTCCCAGGGCTGTTAATTATTAATATTCCTTACTAGGGAAAGAGTTCAGCAATATTTCTTTTGCCCGTTTCTGGAAATAAGAGAAATATGACTCTGTCCTGCCTGGCTCCCAGGCAGTCAGACCTAATGGTTATCTCCCTTGTTCCCTGAAGATCGCTGTTATCCTGTTCTTTTTTCAAGGTGCCCAGATTTCATATTGTTTAAACACACATGCTTTACAAACAATTTGTGCAGTTAACGCAATCATCACAGGGTCCTGAGGTGACATACATCCTCAGCTTATGAAGATGACGGGATTAAGAGACTAAAGGCAAGCATAGGAAATTACAGGAGTATTGATTGGGGAAGTGATAAATGTCCATGAAATCTTCAAAATTTATGTTTACAGACTGCAGTAAAGACGGGCATAAGAAATTATAAAAGTATTAATTTGGGGAAGTAATAAATGTCCATGAAATCTTCACAATTTATCTTCTTCTGCGGTGGCTTCAGCTGGTCCCTCCATTCGGGGTGCCTGACTTCCTGCAACAGTGAACCTAGACAGTGCCGTTGCACTCCAGTCTGGGCAACAAGAGTGAAACTCTGTCTCAAAAAAAAAAAAAAAGAAGGAAAGAAAAATGTCTCTTAAGGTCTCTTCCCTATTTTCAAATTATGTGTTATATTTGTTAAGTTTGTTATATATTCTGTAAGTTTACCTCTGTATATTTTGCAAATATTTTCTTTCATTCTATAGATTATCTCTTCGCTCTGTTAATTGTTTTCTTTGCTGTGCAAAACATTCTTAATTTATTGTAATCCCATTTGCATATTTTTGTGTGTGTTTTGAGGTCTTAGTTAAAAATTCTTTTTTCTGCAATATCTGGTAAAACATTCCTCTATGTTTACTTCAAATAGCTTTACAGGTTTAGGTTTCCTATTTAAATCTTTATTTGTGATTGAGTTCTTTATATCATAAGAGGTAGGGGCCTAGTTTCATTTTTTTATTATGTAAATAATCAATTTTTCTAGCACCATTTATTGAAAAGACAGTCTTATTCCAAATGTGCGTTCTTGACATCTTTGTTGAAAATCCCATGGCTCTAGGTTCATGGATTTATTACTGGGCTCACTGGATACTTTGACCTGTTTATCTGTTTTTATATCAGTATCATCCTGTTTTGCTCATTACAGCTTTATAGTATGTTTTGGAGCCAGGTAATGTGATGCTTCCAGCTTTGTTCTTTTGGCTCAGGATTACTTTCACCATTTGTGGGTCTTTCGTTCTTCCTCATAAATTTTAAGCTTGTTTTTTCCATTTCTGTGAAAAAAGTCATTGGTACTTTGGTAGAGATTGCATTGAATCTGTAGATCATCTTGTGTACTATAGCAACTTTTATATTTTTTCAATTCATGAGCAAAAAATATCTTTCAATTTCTCATGTCTTTTTCAGTTTTTTTATCAATGTTATATAATTTTCAGTGTAGAGAGTGTTTACCTTAATTAAGTTTGCTGTTAGACATCTAGATATCTTTATTTTTATTGTGTACGTAGAAGGAGTATTTGGCAAAACTCAACATGCCTTTGTGGTTTAAGAAACTCAACAAATTAAGTATAGATGATATATACCTCAACACAATAGAGGCCATGTATGACAAATCAATGACTGATATCATCCTAAACAGGAAGTAGCAGAGCACTTTTTTTCTGACATCTCAGACAAGACAAAGATGTTTTCATTGTGTATGACAATATTCAACTTTGTACACTGTAAGACTGTGGAGCATGACTTGGCATGGTGGCTCACACTTGTAATCCCAGCACTTTGGGAGGCTGAGGTGGATGGATCACTTGGCATTAGGAGTTCAAACCAGCCTGGCCAACATGGCAAAACCCTCTCTCTACTAAAAATACAAAAATTAGCCAGGTGTGGTGGTTGGCACCTGTAACCCCAGCTAGTCAGGAGGCTGAGGCAGGAGAATCACTTGAACCTGGGAGGCGAAGGTTGCAGTGAGCTAAGATCCTGCCACTGCACTCCAGCCTGGGTGACAGAGCGAGACATCATCTCAAAAAATAAAAATAAAAAATAAAAAGACTGTGGAGCACAAGTCATATATGGATCAGTTATAAGTCTATTTCTGAGTCTCTGTGTTTATCTGTATGCATATTGTTCCTGTAGTGTTATATGAGTTGTATACTTGTTCTGTTTATGTGTGTACAATGGTGGTTTTACCCTGCCTAGGTGAGTAGTCACTGAAATTCTCCTAATTTTACCCTCTATTTATTTGTAAATCTATATTTTTGTGTGTGGGGGAGAAACACTTGTGATGTGAAGATAATTTGAAAAACTGCCATACCTCTGTGTCTATTTTAGATATTAATTGTTGTCAAAAACACAAACTTTACAATCAAATATTTTTAAATATTGAGTTTAGTCATATTAATTATATTGACATTGTTATGTACTATATCTTTAGAATATGTTTATCTTGCAAAGCTAACACTCACTACACATTAAACAACTACCTACATTTTCTACTTTCTGGCCCTTTACAAAAACAATTCTGTTTTCTATTTTAGAGTCAAACTGCTTTAGATATCTCATGTGAGTTGATTCACACAGTTTCTGTGTCTTCGTGGCTGACTTATTTCATGTTGCACAATGTCATCAAGATTTATCTTTATTATACTTTTAGAGTTTTTTTTTGCTTTTTACAAACAGTAGTATTTCATTATTTTAATATTACAAATTTATCCATCTATTTGGTGAGAGAAATTTGCATTGCTTTCATTTATTTGCTTTCAGTAACAATGCTACAATAATTATGAGTGTACAAATTACTCTTCATTTAACCATATGTGTGATGGTGTATATTTTTGCCAGATTTTATTGGTCTAGCTGTTCAGCTTTATATCCATACCACATTGTTTTAATTCGTTTGCTTTGTATGTGTTTTGAAATCATGAGCTGTGAAGCCTCCAATTTTTTTTGTTTTTTTAATTCGTGGGTGCTTTATTGTCCCTTGAAATTCCATATAACTTTGGGGTTGCCACTTCTAGTTCTGCAAGAAATTGATTAGAAATTTGACAGGGATTTCACTTAAACTGTAGATTACATTGAGCAGTCTAGACATCTTCATAATATTTCAAAATTTGAACAAGAGCATGCTGGACTGTATTTTTTAATTTCTATAAATATGTAAATGTTATAGTTTTATTAATTTCTACTCTCACTCCACCTTGGTCATTAAAAGTTATCTGTAAAATTTCTATTTAAAAACAAATTTTAAGACTTTTTGTGGCCTAACAGGTGGTTTACCAAGGAGAACATTGTATGAGCTATTGAGAAGTGTGTATATCCTGCTGTTATTGAGGAGTATTCTCTATGGTTCTCTTAGACATAACTGCCATATAGTGCTTCAAGTCTTCTGTTTCCTTATGAGTATTCTGTCTTTTTTGATTATTCATTACAGAAATTGGGGTATTGAAATATTCTACTATAGGCCGGGCACAGTGGCTCACACCTGTAATCCCAGCACTTTGGGAGGCCAAGGTGGGTGGATCACGAGGCCAGGAGATCGAGACCATCCTGGCTAACATGGTGAAACCCCATCTGTACTAAAAATACAAAACATTAGCCAGGCGTGTCAGCGGGTGCCTGTAGTTCCAGCTACTCAAGAGGCTGAGGTGGGAGAATGGCATGAACCCAGGAGGCGGAGCTTGCAGTGAGCCGAGATCATGACACTGCCTTCCAGCCTGGGCGACAGAGCGAGACTCCATCTCAAAAAACAAAAACAAAAAAATCTACTATAGTTATATTGCTCTCTATGTCTTGCTGTGTCAGTGTTTTATTTTTATATTTGGAACCCTAATGTGACACACACACACACACACACACATATTTATATATGTATACACACATTTGTCGTGGGTTCCCAGTAAATGAAACTTTTTATTGTTGTTTAATGTCCTTCTTGGTCTCTTGTGCTTTTAAAGAATATTTTATGAAATATAACAGTTTTGACTTAAGATGTACTTTGCGTCATATAATCTTGACTTCTTTTTTTGATTATTTGCATGAAATGTTTTCTTTCATCTTGCCTTTTGCAGTCTCCTTAATCATTAGATCTCAAGTGATTCTTGTTGAAAAGCAAGTTGGATCTTGTTTTTTAATTTTTTAAATCCATTTGGTGGCATCTATTTTGAATCGAAAGTTTACTTCACAAATACTTAAATAATTTGCTTAATTAGAAGGGCAGTCATTGTTTAATTGTTTTACTTGATGATTATACCTTTGTCCCTTATTTTCTTTCTCTGTCTTCCTCTGTGTCTTTTTTATTTTTATATTGATAGGATTTCTTATACTTTTGTGTATCTATAGATACTTTGTGGTATCTTGGGGATTACATAAAATTTCATAAAGTTAATATATCTTAAAATGCTAAGAACTTCAGTTGCATTTGAAAATTCTTCCTCATACATTTGCCCTCAACTTTGTTATTGGTGTGATTAATCATATTTTATGTTGCATATTAACAGATTATGATTAAGTTTGATTATTTTTATGCTTTTATCTTTAAAACTTTAGAGATTAAAATGTTTTCTGCAATATTATAATGGTACAGAACCTTATATTTGTGTATGTGCATATCTTTTTCAGAAAGTTACGTATTTTCATATGATCATGTTTTGTTTTCTTGCATTGTTATTTTCAGTGGCAGATACTTCCTTCAGAATTTTTTTGTAAGGCAGATGTGCTTTTTGAGCATTCGGTTATCTTGAAAAGTCTTTACCTTTTTTTCATTTTTAAGACAGTTTTGCTGGTTATATTATTCCCAATTAGAAGCTATTTTTCTTTCAGCACTTTTTATCACAGTTTTCTGGTCTGAAAAAAATTTATCAACAGATTCACTGGTTATCTCTTAAGACCACACTTATGACACATCACTTTTATCTTGCAGCTCCTAAGATTCTCTTCCTGTCTTTGACTTTTGAAACTTTGCTTATATATGTGCCTTGCTATAAATCTGTGTGTGTGTACCCTAGTTGAAGTCTGTTGAGCTTCATTTTTTATATCCTTCTTTTGCTTCTGAAAATTTGTCATTATTTTTGTATTTTTCACCTCCATGATGTCTTTTTTTTGTTTTTAATGTTTTCATTGATTCTCATTTTTCTGATTTTATTTAGTTGTATGTATTTCCATTTAGCTCATTGAGAATTATTCAGGTTAAATTTTAAAAATTTGTACATCTTCATTTTTTATGGTTGTTTTCTGAAAATCTTTAAATTTTTTAATTTGGCCATGTTGCCCTAATATTTTGTATGCATTGTAATATTTGCTTGTTATTTGAAGATTAACAAAAAGCCATTTGTCACAATCTTTACAATGTTGCTTTGTCCTGACATAGTCTGAAACCAATTGTCTTTGATAGAGATTATGGGAGCCTCCCATACATGTTTTAAGGATGTGTCTTGTCTGGAATTTCATGTTTTTCAGTTAAAAGGGTTTGTTCATGTTTCTTCTTAACAGTCTCTAATCACTTGCCCTACCTACTTTCTGTATTTAACACTGCAGTCTGCTCCTGAAACATTTACATTTTGTCTCAGCAATCCCAAGCTGTCCTTTCAAAATATACCACTGTTTCTTTCAGCACTCTGTATTATTGGAGACAGAAACCAGTTTTTGTAAAGACTACCAAAAGCCAGAAGTAATGATGTGTGCGTTAGTATTTTTCTTATTTTTAAAGAAAGAAGCCAGGAATTGGCAGTTTACTCCTAAAGACACAATGCTATACTGGGGAGGAGGAAGGGCTGTGTAAATGTAACAAATTTTCCTTTGCATTCTATGTGGCTCTTGGCATTGTTCTTACCTGAGGCATTACATACAATTAACTCATTTCGAGATTTTGCACAAAAGCATTTTGATGAGTATATGTTTGTTACATGTATATGTCTGTGAAGGAGTTATGGCCTGTGGTATTTTGTTGTGCCATCTTACTAATGTACTTTGTATAAGTATATATATATTAGATTTGTAAAGTAAGTATATTCATATGTAAAGTGTATTCATATGAATCTAGTAAGTGGGATAATTTGTTATTTTTCTTTCAGGTGTGTGTTCTCATTTTACCCAAGATCTTTGGCCAGTGCAGGGCATAGAAGATTCATTCCACAAACTTATACTGAGAAGATATGAGAAATGTGGACAGAAGAATTTACAATTAAGGAAAGGCTCTAAAAGTGTGAATAAGTGTAAGGTGCAGAAAGGAGGTTATAATGGACTTTACCAATGCTTATCAACTACCCAGAGCAAAATAATTCAGTGTAATACATCTGTCAAAGTTTTTCATAAATTTTCAAATTCAAACAACATAAGACATACTGGAGAGAAATCATTTAAATGTAAAAAATGTGGCAGATCATTTCGCAAGTTCCTCCAACTAACTTAACATAAGGGAATACATGCTGGAGAGATACCCTACAAATAAATGTGAAGAATGTGGCAAAGCCTTTAATAGGTCCACAAGCATTACTAAATATAAGAAAATTCATGCTGGAGAGAAACCCCTCATGTGAAGAACGTGTCAGAATCTTTACCTCATCCTCAAGCTTTGACAAACATAAGAGAATTCATACTGGAGAGAAACCCTACACGTGAAGAATGTGGCAAAGCCTTGAGACAATCCACAGTTCTGAATGAACATAAGAAAATTCATACTGGAAAGAAACCCTACAAATGTGAAGAATGTGGCAAAGCTTTTAGACAGTCCAGAAGCCTGAATGAACATAAGAATATGCATACTGGAGAGAAACCCTACACGTGTGAAGAATGTGTCAAGCTTTTAACCAATCCTCAAGCCTTATTATACACAGGAGCATTCATTCTGAACAAAAACTTTACAAATGTGAAGAATGCAGCAAAGCCTTTACTCAATCCTCATCCCTTAATAAACAAGAGAATTCATACTGGTGAGAAACCCTACACATGTGAAGAATGTGGCAAAGCCTTTTATAGGTCCTCACACCTTACTGAACATAAGAATATTCATACTGGAGAGAAATCCTACAAATGTGAAGAATGTGGCAACGCCTTTTATAGATCTTCACACCTTACTAAACATAAGAGAATTCATTCTGGGCAAAAACCCTACAAATGTGAAGAATGTGGCAAAGCCTTTAGACAGTCCTCTGCACTGAATGAACATAAGAAAATTCATACTGCAGAGAAACCCTACAAATGTAAAGAATGTGGCAAAGCCTTTAGATGGTCCAGAAGCCTGAATGAACATACGAATATTCATATTGGAGAGAAACCCTACACATGTGAAGAATGTGGCAAAGATTTTACTTGGTCCTCAACCCTTACTGTACACCAGAGAATTCAGACAGGTGAGAAACATAGTTGATAACATAGTTGAATGACATTTCTAGTAATATGTTTCCTTTGGCTTTAAACAGCAAATAAAGTGAAGAATATTGTTCCATGTTCTTTTCTTTATTTCTTAAAATTTTTGTAGGCACATAGTATATGTACATATTTCTGGCATATATTAGTTATTTGAATACAGGCATACACCATGTAATAATCCATCAGAGTAGGCCAGGCGCAGTGGCTCATGCCTATAATCCCAGCACTTTGGGAGGCCAAGGCAGGCGGATCACAAGTTCAGGAGGTCAAGACCATCCTGGCTAACATGGTGAAACCCCATCTCTACTAAAAATACAAAAAAATAACTGGGCATGGTGGTGAGTGCCTGTAGTCCCAGCTACTCAGGAGGCTGAGGCAGGAGAATGGTGTGAACCCAGGAGGCAGAGCTTGCAGTGAGCCTAGATAGCGCCACTGCACTGCACGCCAGCCTAGGCGACAGAGTGAGACTCCGTCTCCAAAAAAAGAAAAAATCCATCAGAGTAAATGAGATATTCATCACCTTAAGTATTTATTCTTTGTATTACACAAGTCCAGTTATACACTTTATTTTTCAATGTACAATTATTTTTTACTACAGATCGTTTTGTGATTGTAATATATCAAAGTATAATTCATATGTTTCTGAGTCCTGAATGAATACTTAAAAAAAATGTTTCATATTTGTCTTTGAACATGTAGTGTCTTGTCCTGCAAACACATACGGACTTTTCATTTTTATTTACATGAAGTTAAATATATAAATGTATTGCTCTAAAAATAAACCGTTAGGTGTAAGAAAATTACAGAGCAAGCAATAGTGTTTGTGTGAGAGTTTGTACCTATTTTCCAAAGAAAAGATCAATATTGGAACAAAGAAGATTCTTTTATAAGGTGGATAATTTACTAGAAATCTAGAAACCTAAAACATTGTGAAATCAAATCTATATTTCTTTGGATTTAATTACTGTAAAATCTAATTGTTGAGACTCTCCCCATGTAAATTGTTTTCATTTGTTACTCATATTACAGCTATAATTTACTTGTTTCTTCTTTTGTTTTTACTTTATTATTTACGATGTGAGCTGGTGAGAAATTATAAGAATGATTTTTATAAAATTTAGTACACAAATTTTTAGATGCAAGTTCACAATTTGTGTATTGTTATATTTGATCTAGTTAGAAAATTTCATTTTGTGGCTTTAACTGGAGAACTCTATATGAACCGTTTTCTTTAGTTGTTCCTTTCACTTTTTACTTGACATAAATGAGTTTATGTATTGTGTGCCAATTTGTTCAGGTAAGTACTGGGAAATCTTTTAAGTCATGGAGATGTTTTGATATAAAATTGTAGTGAACATAAGAAAGTGCTGTGTGTGTAATAGATGCTCCATAATTAGCCATAAATATTCTTTCTGGAGTCAGTTTGTAGCTGCAAGTAAGAGACAGAAAATGTCTATAGTGAAGAAATGGCATTAATTGTGCATGTGGAGAGGACATCTGTTCCCAGGCTGCAAAACTGACTCATTCTGAATTTAAAGAGGGTTTTTTTTTTAATTTAAAAGTAAACTTTAATGTCAAAAATGCAAACTTAGGGAGGACATAAAGATCACATACAAGGCTGCCACTTCACACTTGGAGGGTTGCACAGCATCTGGGCAAAGGCTCTCCTCACTTCCCAGATGGTGCAGCAGCTGGACAGAGATGCTCCTCACTTCCCAGATGGTGGGGCAGCCAGGAAGAGGCGCTCCTTACTCCCAGATGGTAGGGCCGCCGAGCAGAGGCACTCCTCATTTCTTAGTGCGGCCGCCAGGCAGAGGCACACCTCGTGTCCAAGAAGGTGTGGCAGCCAGGCAGAGGCGCTCCTCACGTCCCAGGCGGTGCAGTGGCCGGGCAAAGGCGCTTCTCATTCCCAGACAGGGCTGGGGGCCAGGGAGAGGCGCTGCTCACTTCCCAGACAGTGGGGCAGCTGGGCAGAGGTGCTTCTCACTTCCCAGAAAGTTGGGCAGCTGGGCAGAGGCGCTCCTTAAAGAGGATTTGTTTTATGTTTATCCTCAGCTATGTATGCCTCACAGCTCTTCTCCTTGTGTTATGGCTACGGTTTTCTCACTGTTCTCTTCATGCCATGTAATTTCACATGGACTTTCCAGGTTCTGATAGGTTCGACTTTTTTTAATATGGTAAATTGTTCCTAATTGGGACTGTTTGAGGTTATTTATAGCTTCTCAATGCAGCATTTAGATTGCTTGAGAAGTCTTTTAGTGTTCACAGGTAAGAGAAGTCAGCATTGTTTTTCTGCTTATGAAAGAAAATTTTTGAGATTCTAAAACTGTCTTAAGCATAACACTAAGACTAGGTAAAGCATTAATATGAGTGGGTTGCATATTGTCAGCACCATATGAAGAAAATATCAGAATTTTGAAATTTCTTCAGAGAAAATGTATCTTAGAGGTAAATTTTTTAGGAGACTTAATGGTAGAGAAGAATTTTACATTTAATATTCTATGACATACTTATAGCAAAACTTTTTTCATGCAGAATTTTCTATTTTTGAATGTGAATCTTAAGTGTTGGAAAATAATAGAATGGTCTCTGTAGATTCAAAATTTGGAATGATCTTTTTTGTCCAGATTGATACTGCAATCCTGAGGAATTTCTCTTATGATTTTTTATTTTAGTGGATGCAGTTCATGGTCTACAGTTTTCATTCTTAGTCATCTAACTAACTTTAACCAAGTCCTTGGTAACCTTCTCTGGAAAAATTTTGGAGAGTATCATTTTCTCAGTGATTTTTAATGCAAATTTACTTACTTTGGTCACAGAATGGACAATTATGGGACCTTTAGCAAGTTACCCTTTTAATGTCTTCCCTATAATTACCATCAGCATTAGAAACTCCAGGTGCTTCAAACTTAAAGCAAAAGCCCTAGAGTACATCATCTTGTCTTATATAGTGTTCTGGGTCTCAGAGTACATCATCTTGTCTTATATAGTGTTCTGGGTCTCAAACATGCTGGCAAATATTAGAGTTTCTGTGGTTATTATATTACAAAAACAGCACAAAAACTATTTTTGATAATACTCAAAGACAGACCAGCATTTGAAACATTATTCTTCTGTGATGGCTTTTAAAATGCATTTTTAATTGACAGATAAAGTATGTATTTATCTTGTAGAACATGGTGTTTTGAAGTATATATATGCTGTCAAAGGCTTACTTCTAGGTAATTCACATAGTAATTATTTTTGTGATGAGAGCACATAACATTGACTGTCTTAGCATTTTTCAAAAATACAATTCATTATTATAGTCACCATGCTGTAAAATCGATTTCTTGAACTTATTCCACCTGGACATCTGTAATTATGTATTATTTTACAGACATCCCTCCAAATGCTTTTTTTTCTAAATAACCAAGTATCTGGTAAGCAGCATTCTGTTGTCTGGTTTATTTTCATTTAGCATACTGTCCTCCAAATTTGTTCATATTGTTTTAAGTGACAAGATTTCCTTACTTTTAATCCTGAATTGTATTTCCTTGTGTATACCATATTTTGAAAAAATGAATTGAAATATGCATCAATTTATTGAACAAATCATGTAATGAAAAGATACTTCGGTGTTAAAGCATGTATTAATGAAATCCAGCTTTTACACATTTTATTTTTTTGAGATGGAATCTCGCTGTCACCCAGTCTGGAGTGCAATGGTGCAATCTTGGCTCACTACAACCTCTGCCTCCCGGGTTCAAGCAATTCTCCTGCCTCAGCCTCCTGAGTAGCTGGGACTACAGGCATGAGCTACCATACCCGGCTAATTTTTGTATTTTTAGAAGAGACAGGGTTTCACCATATTGGCTAGGCTGGTCTCGAACTCCTGACCTCATGATCTGCCCACCTTAGTCTCCCAAACTGTTAGGACTACAGGCATGAGCCACCACACCCGGCCTACACATTTTATTAATAGTTAATTTGTACTAAACACTACCCATAACACTGTGTTAATAAATTTAATTTTCACAGTAATTCCATAGCATAGGCATTATTATTATCCTTATTTTAAAGAGAAAGAAATAGAGCCACAGAGAAAAATTACTTGCTCACAACAGTGGAGCCAGTTTTAAAACACAGGGAACTTTGACTCCAGAGAAAACACTCTTTGTTAAACACCCTCTTCAAACAGAAAATAAGTGATTATCTTCAACACCCATTCTTAGTAAATATTTAACAAAATTAAATCAACTGATACATTTTTTGTTATATGTGTGTGCAAATGTGTGGGCGGCAAGCCACCCAGGTGCAGAGGCAAGAGACCGAGGACACGAGCTGTTCCAGTATAACAAAATGTAAAACAACAATAGTTACGCCAGACATAGATCTTAGATATGATTATATATGAATATAATTAATCAGCAGTACTTATTCTTTATTCCAATATTATAATAATCCTCGCTCTATAATCATAACCTAGGAAAAACCAGGCCATACAGAGATAGGAGCTGAGGGGACATAGTGAGGAGTGACCAGAAGACAAGAGTGCAAGCCTTCTGTTATGCCCAGAAAAGGCCACCAGAGGGCTCCTTGGTCTAGCGGTAACGCCAGCGTCTGGGAAGACGCCCGTTTCCAGGCGGACTGTGGTCCAGCGGTAGCGTGTCAAGGAAAAACACCCACTACTTAGCAGACCGGGAAGGGGAATCTCCCTTTCCCCAGGGGAGTTTAGAGAAGACTCTACTCCTCCACCTCTTGTGGAGGGCCTGACATTAGTCAGGCTCGCCTGCAGTTATCCAGAGGCCTAACCGTTTCCCTGTGATGCTGTGCTTCAGTGGTCATGCTCCTAGTCCGCCTTCATGTTCCATCCTGTACACCTGGCTCTGCCTTCTAGATAGCAGTAGCAAAATTAGTGAAAGTACTAAAAGTCTCTGATATGCAGAAATAATGGCATAAGCTGACTCTCTCTCCCTCTCTCTCTGCCTCGGCTGCCAGGCAGGGAAGGGCCCCCTGTCCAGTGGACACGTGACCCACGTGACCTTACCTATCATTAGAGATGACTCACACTCTTTACCCTGCCCCTTTTGCTTTGTATCCAAAAAACAGCAGCACAGCCAGACATTCGGGGCCACTACGGGTCTCCATGACTTGGTGGTAGGGGTCCCCCAGGCCCAGCTGCCTTCTTTTATCTCTTTGTCTTGTGTCTTTGTTTCTACACTCTCTCATCTCCACACATGGGGAGAGACCCACCGACCCTGTGGGGCTGGTCCCTACACAAATGTATAAATTATGATACATAAAGGAGAAATACTTCCTCTAACGAAACTATATAAACTCTAGAAATTGCTCTTTGCTACTGACATGTACTTGGGAACAACCTTTCTTTCAACTGTCCTTGCCACCCCTCCAGCACTTCAGAATATTTATAGCATGATTTTTACGTAAACCTGTAGTCAGCAAATGCTGTAATTAATCAAATATTTACTACAAAGGCAAGCAGTACACTATGATTTTATTACTTTCTTGATACAAATTTTGAGTTAATTATTTCACTCTATATTAGTATCCTTTGTGCCTTTTTCTCAGTTTTGCCTAATACTAGCAATTATCTTACTTTTAAACTATTTGTTTATAAAACTTTATCTCTGGGAACCTCAGCTCAGCAGAGTGCATAGCCCTGACCAGAGCCCTAGAACTAGAAAAGAACCAAGGAGTTAGGTACTTTTTATACAGATTCCAAATATGCCATTTTAGTATTCCACAATTATGCCACCATTTGGAAAGAAAGGATTGTTGACAGCAAAAGATACCCCTACTAAATATGGGTCACAGATATTTTACCCTACCCTAGGCTATCCACCTACCACAGAAAGCTGCAGTTCATTGCTGGGGCTACCAGAAATGCCAAGATGAGATTACCTAGAGAAACAGGAGGGTCGGCCAAGCAGCAACGGCCACCACCCTTTCCGGGGAACTCCTTATGGCCCTTATCCCAACTTTGCCTAACAACCTGCCCACCCTGCAATGGGGTATCAAATGTGAATATACTCTAGGACTGAAAGATTGTATAAATTGGGAGAGGTTCTTTATTTCCCCCAGGTTCTCCAGCAGAAAGCAATAAGGGCACTCCATAATTCTTGTTTCTGTAGGAGAGGCCATCTCCATCAGCTATAACCAAAAAAAAAACAAAAAACTCCTCTTTTTGACAAGTTTGTAAAGCCTGTCCATCTGGGTCTATAATAATCCTCCAGGCCCTATGCCACTCCTCTTTATTCAGCCAGTTCAGCAACAAGAAACCTACCCAGTGGGAAGAATGGTAGGTAGACTTTAATTAATTGCCAGCCTATCGAGGCTAGAAATATCTCCTGATCCTTGGGAATGCCTTTACTGCCTGGGTTGAAGCCTCTCATACTAGAATAGAAAAGATTCAGGTAGTTGTCAAGATCATTCTGAAAGAAATTATCTCTTTGAGCCTCCACAGTCTTCACAAAGTAACAATGGCCTATATTTTATTTCACAAACTACCCAAACAGTGGCAAAAGCCCTAGGGATATAATACTTTTCACACTCCTCCTGAAAGCCACAATCTTCCAGGAAGGTAGAAAGGACTAATCAAGCTATTAAAAGGACCTCGAGCAAATGATGCCAGGAAGCCTCTTTACCATGGCTAAAACTTCTACCCATGGCACTTCTTCAGATCAGAACAGCCCTTAAATTACGTCTATGGCTTAGTTTCTTTGAAGTCCTATACTGGAGACCCTTTCTACATGCAAACCTAATATTATACCCAGAGGTTACGAAATTAACCCAGTACATAAAATCCCTGACTTAATTTCAAGAGGTCGTCCAGGAGTTTGGACAGAATTCTGAGTCTAACCCCCCTAACAACCCATATAACCAGGCAGGAAAACAAGTCATCATTAAAGTCTGGAGAGATGGATCTCTCAGATCTCAACTAACCCCGTCACAAAAGAACAATGTTACTATCATAATTTCCACCCCAATAGCTATCAAGTTTCCTGGCATCCCTAGCTGGACACATTACTTCTGAATACAACTGGAAACACATTAAGGAACCAAAGATTGAACCAACACTTACCTACTCCTGTGACCCACAGGAGGACTTACAAATTTCTCTCCAAATGAGAAGATAAGTAATGCTCTCCCTCCTTTTACCTCAAAGTAGTGTGATCCCAATAATGGCAAGTAATGCTCTCCCTCCTTTTACCTCAAAGTAGAGTGATCCCAATAATGGCAATCTTATTTGCAGTGGTGCTGTTGATTCTTACTTTCACCCTAACTTGTGCACCACCAGGAGTTCCATTAAGAGTTTTTTTTTTTTTTTTTTTTGAGACGGAGTCTCGCTCTGTCGCCCAGCTTGGAGTACAGTGGCGCTATCTCAGCTCACTGCAAGCTCCGCCTCCCGGGTTCACATCACTCTCCTGCCTCAGCCTCCTGAGTAGCTGGGACTACAGGCACCTGCCACCACACCCAGCTAATTTTTTATATCTTTAGTAGAGACAGGTTTCACTGTGTTAGCAAGGACGGTCTCGATCTCCTGACCTCATGATCTGCCCACCTCAGACTCCCAAACTGCTGGAATTACAGGCATGAGCCACCGTGCCCAGCCATCTAATACTAATTTTTTAACCTAATTTAGTTATTTTACTTTTGACTGCTTTAGTCCATCAGCAATGTTAGTAATACTTTGGTGTTTATATTGCAAGTCCTAATACTCTTTGCAAACTTACTAATAAACCTTTGTTACTGTAAACCAACACCCTCTCCAGGGAAGTTTCCTATGTCCCTCCTACATTTACACATCAAAGCCATAATCTGAGTAGTGATCTCTCTAATAATCATTGCATTAACAGTTGCTCTTAACAAGCATCTCAATTTGGCCCTATTCTGAACCATGCAGCCTAATGTTCTCTGGTCATTACTCATACTCTTTTGTTGTTGTTGTTGCACTCTGCAGGCAACTCCACAACTACTAAACTCTACCAATTCTTCCTATGCCTCAAACCTGTTAGCTAGTCATGAATTCCTCTTCATTCAGGGTGGGAATGGCCTACTTGGCCACAATACAAGAATGGGCAACTTCTCAAGCCCAACTTAGCTTCACCTATCATCAGGACCTCTCTATACAAAAACCTTCCCTCTGCTAACATAATATTTTTAATACAACCTAAAGCAGCTTTTAAAGATTTTCTTAAACCCACCCCCATTGATTCAAGCCCCTTGTTCTCCCCTGCTACCCTCATTGGCCAGGCACTCCTATACATCTGTGCTACTGTAAATTCCAGATCCATTGTGGGTGCTTTAGACCCAGCACAATGCAACACAACAAGCACCATTATTGATATTTCTCAAAATTTTGTTTCACTAAATATTCTCAACATCAAATGAGATTTTCTATTCTCCCTCCAAATGTTTTAACACCTGGACCATTCATCCAAAATGATGCCTCTGAGTTCTGCGTCAGTCACCCTTCTTGGAGTCAACCCAACCCATGGTGTTGACCAAGCCAGTATAAATTATGCAAAAGGTTTCAAGTCTTTAATTTCTTTCAGAAAATCCTTTTCTTTGACACTACTAGAAACATGCCTATGTTTAAAAAAAAAAAAATAGGACCCATGTCTGGCTCCCCTGGCAGCAGCAACTTTAGTGGCAGGATCTCACATGTCGGGTAGCCAACAAGGACCCTGGTCAATGTTTGGAACTGACCTCACCTTCTGCATCCATTTTTATCGACTACAGAACTTTACTTCCTGTGTGAAATGCAGGCTTATCTCTGTCTCTCTGGAAACTTGACGAGCACAAGCACTCTGGCTTCCTTCACCCCTAACATTTCCATTGTCCCGGTTGATGCTTCCTTGCTGTTACCCTTTACTACCTCACACCAGATCGACTAAGCAGTTTATCTTTTTTTTTTTTTTTTCCTGAGTTTGGCATCTCAGGTGCCACTATAGGAATAGCTGGCATAATTATTGCCTCCTCAACTTACCAAAACCTGTCTCTGGAACTGACTCACAAAATAAAAACTACTGCTCAGACTCTTACAGAGTGACACCAACAAGTTGATTATCTCGTGGCTGTAGTTTGAAATTGTAGAGGTCTTGCTGCAGCTCAGGAAAGAATCTGCCTTATGCTAGGAGAAAAATGCTGTTTCTGGGTTAACAGATTAGGGAAAGTCCAGGACCATGTTAGAGGTTTTACAAACCAGGCCTGTCACCATCAGAAACATGCCACTGAAAGCTAGTTCTCTTGGGGTGCCACTTGGTTCCAATTCTCATGACATCCCACTTTTTGGGGATCCCTAGCCTTTGTCTTCCTTTCTCTCTTTTGTGAGCCTTGCTCACTAAATCTAGTAACCAGGTTCGTTTCCTCTCACCTAGAAACTCTCAGACTTCAAATGGTCCTGCAACAGGAATATCGACCTATTTTCCCCCAATCTGCACAGCCATGTCCCTACACATTTCCTCTGGACAATGCAAGTTCAACCTTCTGGGAGAACATGGATGGAATCTTTTTCTGACAAAAAGCAAGAGAATGAGATACTGATGAATTCTTTATCTCATATTACCAGGAAGTAGTTACAGAAGACCCACAGTGCCCCTAGACTCAAAGATTTTTGGAGTCTCAATCTATTGAGGAGGGAACGTTAGAGGAGGCAGTTAGACATGAGCAGGAAAAAGCCCCTGGGGGAGAAAAATCTCATGCTCCAAAGACAACCCAAGATATGTACGCTAAATTTGAGCAGAGTGGACAGGAAATACCCATGAAGAAAGAATACCCAGAAACACCCCTTAAGACACCCAATAATTGCTCATACTGTGATTAAACTGTCAGAATGTAGCTAGCTATATGCTGACAAAAAGAGGGAAAGGGCAAAAGGAAACTTCCTAAGAGATATGCAGGCGTAGTAAGTACAGATTTGACTGCTATATGACTTTCCTAGGGTAGTGGTAATAAGCTATTCTGCCATCAAAACTCATTGATCACTGGAACTCACACATGTACATCAGCCGACAGTAAGGAAGCATCTCATAGACCTGGGAAGAAACTCAGTGAGGATAAAAGAAGAGATTTACCAGGAAGCAGGAAACTCCACAAAGACAAAGGCAGACACTTAAGACAGAGGTGGGAATTTTTTTTAAGTCTATAATAATAAAAACTGCAACATGTAAATCTCAGGGCTGTTTCCAGCTGAGCCAATCCACTCCTCCTTTGGTGTGTTCTTTATTTTCCTTTAATGAACTCTCTGCTTGCTTCACTAATTGTCTCTGGGCTGAATTGTTTCTCTCAAGAAAACAATAGCTGAGGACCTTATATATGCTGAATTACATTAATGGAATTAATGAATGTTTGAATTCAATAGCTGCCATAATCGCCTAATTTTTTCTAGAGAAGGTGACCAAGAACTTGGATAAAGTTAGATGACTAAAAATAAAAACTGTACCCCATGAACTGCATCCACCAAAACAAATTTCAAACTCAAGATTGCAATACGAATCTCAACAAAAAAAGATCATTGCAGATTTTGAATCTACACAGATCATTCTATTATTTTTGCAACACTTAACATTTAGTCAAAAATAGAAGATTCTGCATAAAAAATAAGTTTTGCTATGTCATAGAAAATTATATGTAAAATTCTTCATCTACCATTAAGTCTTAAAAATTTTATTTCAAAGATATATTTTAAGAGATTTCAAACTTCTGATGTGTTTCTTCATATGGTGCTTACAATCTGCAACCAACTTATATTTATGCTTTAATATATATTAAGGTATGTTACATTTAACACACTTTGTGTTAGATTCTCATACAATTTTTCTTTTACAAAGAGAAAAACGGTGCTCACTTAATCCTCTTACATGTGGACAGTGAATTAGTCTTACCTCAATTACATGATCTGAATGTTGCATTGATAAGCTATAATCTCAAACACGCCAGTTAAAAACAATATACATTAAAAATTCCAAACTTCTCATCAGAGCCTAGAAAGTCCAAGTGAAATTACATGGCATGAAGAGAACAGTGAGGAAACTGTAGCCATAACACAAAGAAGAGCAGTGAAGCATACATAGCTGGGGATAAACACATGAAGACATCAGAAAACTAAAGACAATTAGAAAATAAAAACAGAGGCCAGGTGCAGTGGCGGATGCCTGTAATCCCAGCACTTTTGGAGGCCGAGGTAGGTGGATCACCAGGTCAAGAGATCAAGACCATCCTGGCAACACGGTGAAACCCTGTCTCTACTAAAACTACAAAAATTAGCTAGGTATGGTGGTGTGCACCTGTAGTCCCACCTACTTGGGAGGCTGGGGCAGGAGAATCGCTTCAACCCAAGAGGCGGAGGTTGCGCTGAGCCAAGATCATGCCATTGCACTTCAGCCTGGTGACAGAGTGAGACTGTCTCAAAAAACAAAAAAAGAAATATAAGGAAAATTAAATGTTCCAATAAAATATAACTATACACATTGTAAAATTACATCTAAAAAGTATTTTCTGTGCACTAACTTTTTAAAAAAATTTTATAATTTCTGACCAGCCCACATACTTTATGGAGTTAAAAAAAAAGAATGAGAAACAAGAAAATTATACCTCTAGCATGAGCACCACATTAAAACAGAGACTTTTTACAGGGAGATTCTCAAAAATGATCCATTAGATTTTACAGTAATTACATAAAAATAAGAAAACATAGATTTTAATTCAAAATGTTTTAGGTTTCTAGATTTCCAGTAAATTATCCACAGTATTAATAGAAACTTCTTTGTTCCAATATTGCTATTTTCTTCGGAAAATAGGTACAAACTCTCATGCAAACACAATTGCTTGCTTCATAATTTTCTTACACCCAAGGTTTATCTTTAGAGCACAACATTTATATATTTAACTCCATGTAAATTAAAACTAAGTCTGTATGTTTACAGGAGAACATGATGCATGTCCAAAGATAAATATGAAACATTTTTGAAAATCATTCAGGACTCAGGAATGTATGAATTATAATTATACTCTGATATACTTATTACAATCATAAAATGACCTGTAGTAGAAAAAATTGTACATTTAAAAATAATTGAAGTGTATAATTAGATTGTGGGTAATATAAAAGATAAATGCTGGAGAAACCCCAACTCTACTAAAAATACAAAATTAGCCAGGTTGCCAGGCGCAGTGGCTCACACCTGTAATCCCAGCACTTTGGGAGGCTGAGGCAGGCAGATCACGAGGTCAGGAGATCGAGACCATCCTGGCTAACACGGTGAAACCCCGTCTCTACTAAAAATACAAAAAATTAGCCAGGCGAGGTGGCAGGCGCCTGTAGTCCCAGCTACTTGGGAGGCTGAGGCAGGAGAATGGTGTGAACCCTGGGGGGCGGAGTCTGCAGTGAGCCAAGATCACGCCACTGCACTCCAGCCTGGGTGACAGCGAGACTCCGTCTGGGGGGGGGGGGGGGGAATTAGCCAGGCATGGTGGCACATGCCTGTGATCCCAGCTACTCAGGAGACTGATTTAGGAGAATTGCTTGAACCTGGGAGGTGGAGGTTGCAGTGAGCCAAGATCGCACCATTGCACTCTGGCCTGGGCAACAAGAACGAAACTCTGTCCCAAGAAAAAGAAAAAGAAAAAAAAAAGATAAATGCTTAAGATAATGAATAACTCATTTACTCTGTCATTTATATATTGTATGCCTGTATCAAAATAACCCATATATACCATAAATATATACATAGTTATGTACCCACAAAAACTTTTTAAAAATTTAAATAAGAATAAAAATGCAACATGGGAACAATATTCAGTTTACTTGCTGTTTAAAGCCATTGGAAAAATAGACTAGAAATGTCATTCAGCTATGTTATCAGATAGTACATTGTTAGCATCTCTTACCTACACCCTTGAGTAAGGTGGAATAGGTGAAAGTTGGTGGCATAACACATCATTCAAGGCACAATAATTTCTACACATTAATAATTTTATTTAAAAAATTAAGGCCAGGCGCGATGGCTCACGCGTGGAATCCCAGCACTTTGAGAAACTGAGGCGGGTAGATCACCAGGTCAGGAGCTCAAGACCAGCCTGGTCAATATGCTGAAACCCTGTCTCTACTAAAAATACAAAATGTGGCCAGGCCTGGTGGTGTGTGTCTGTAATCCCAGCTACTCAGGAGGCTGAGGCAAGAGAATCACTTGAACCTGGGAGGCGGAGGTTGCAGTGAGCCAAGATTGTGCCACTGCACTCCAGGCTGGGCAATAGATTGAGACTCCGTCTCAAAAAAAAAAAATTAAGTTCACACATGATCTTAAAAGACAATTTTAAAATTTACAGCATTTTATTATTAAATAAATGTACAATTGGTAAAACAATTTACTACTAAAATTCAGATTGTTTCTCACAATAATGCAAAATGTTACTCTGAACACCTACTTCATGCATCACTCTAAGTCAACCACAAAAATCCTCTCTGCTTAGATTTTCCTCAGGCATCTTTCATTTGTTTTTTCTCTTTCATGTAAAAGTTCATGAATACTGCCCACCTAATGGAATTTCTCATATCTCTGGTGCAGCAATAATTCATCACATGCTTTCACATAAATGAGAAAACTGAAATACTATAATTTTGGATTTGAATTATTTGCTTTTCAAAAAATCTATACTTTTTTTCAAGTAAAAAAATATACTTTGAACGAAATCTCTTCAAAAATCTACTTCTTTTCAACTTATATACGCAGAACCTTTTTTTTTTTTTTTGAGGTGGAGTCTTGCTCTGTTGCCCAGGCTGGAGTGCAGTGGCACGATCTCGGCTCACTGCAAGCTCCGCCTCCCAGGTTCAAGCCATTCTCCTGCCTCAGCCTCCTGAGTACCTGGGACTACAGGCGCCCGCCACCACGCCCAGCTAATTTTTTGTATTTTTAGTAGAGATGGGGTTTCACCATGTTGGCCAGGATAGTCTCGATCTCCTGACCTCGTGATCCGCCCGCCTCGGCCTCCCAAAGTGCTGGGATTACAGGCGTGAGCCACCGTGCCCGGCCAACAAAGAAAGTTTCTAACAGGTTGAACTTTGGATTTTTTTACACTTAATACTCCGATTTCTTGTAAGGTGTTAGTTCCTTAGTTCTTTCTCCAGTAAATCCTCTGATGTTTACATAGGCTTAATTTTAGCCTAAATATTTCTCCACATTTATTGCATCTACAAATTCTCTTCTAATATAAACTCTCTAGTGTTTCTTAACCTGCAGTTTTTGAACAGATGTTTTTCCACATTTATTACATTTGTCGTATTTCGCTCCAATGTAAATTCTCTGATGTTGAACAAAGTTTGAGCAACTGCTTCTGAGTCTTCCGCTAGTACAAAATGTGTACAGTAAGATCCAGGATACAAGTACAGGTACTACACCCTCTTTATATTTGTATTGTCTGTCTTAAGAATACTCTTCTTCGCTTTAATGGCCTATATTTTCTAAAAGGTCTTTCAACAGAAATTACATTTATAATGCTTTTGTTAACCATAAATTCTGATATCTGGTAAGATGTGAGTAGAAATTAATGGCTTTTGTATTTTTATATTTGTGCAATTATTCTCATGTATAAATGCTATCACATGCAAAAAGATATGAGCATTGATTAAAAGTTTTGCCACATTTTTTGTATTTCTACTTTTCTTCAGTAGTAATTACATACAGTAAGATGTGATGAGAATTTGAAGTCTGCCGGGCGTGGTGGCTCACGCCTGTAATCCCAGCACTTGGGGAGGCTGAGATGGGCGGATCACGAGGTCAGGAGATCACGACCATCCTGGCTAACATGGTGGTACCCCGTCTCTACTGAAAATACAAAAAATTAGCCTAGCATGGTGGCGAGCACCTGTAGTCCCAGCTACTCGGGAGGCTGAGGCAGGAGAATGAAGTGAACCGAGGAGGCAGAGCTTGCAGTGAGCCAAGATCGTGCCACTGCACTCCAGACTGGGGGAGAGAGCAAGACTCTGTCTCAAAAAAAAAAAAAGAGAGAATTTGAAGTCTTTGCCACATTTTAATTTTTCATATGGCTTCTCATCAATATCATTTATCTTATGTTTAGAACACAGTGAGGTGTGGTTAAAAGCTTTCTCATATTTTTCACATTTCTGGAGTTTCTCTCCATTATGAATTATCTTACGATTAGAAAAGATTGAGGAACATTTAAAGACTGCCACATTCTTCATATTGGTAAGACATTCCTCCAGTACGAGTTCTCTTATGTTTAAGAATGCTGGAGTACAGCTTAAAGGCTTTTCCACATCCTTTACACTTGTATGGTTTTATCTCCAGTAAGAATTCTCCCTTTGGGAGGCCGAGGCGGGCGGATCACGAGGTCAGGAGATCGAGACCATCCCGGCTAAAACGGTGAAACCCCGTCTCTACTAAAAATACAAAAAAATTAGCCGGGCGTGGTGGCGGGCGCCTGTAGTCCCAGCTACTCGGGAGGCTGAGGCAGGAGAATGGCGTGAACCCGGGAGGCGGAGCTTGCAGTGAGCCGAGATCCCGCCACTGCACTCCAGCCTGGGCGACAGAGCGAGACTCCGTCTCAAAAAAAAAAAAAAAAAAAAAAAAAAGAATTCTCCTATGTACATAAAGGTTTCCGGACTGTCTAAAGGCTTTGCCACATTCTTCACATGTGTAGGGTTTCTCTCCAGTATGAATCCTATGTTCAATTAGGGTTTTGGAGCTATTAAAGGTTTTATGACATTCTAAACATTTATAGGGTTTCTCACCAGTATGGATTCTCTTACGTTTAGCAGAATTTGAGGATGAGGTAATGACTTTGCCAGATTCCTTACATTTGTAGGTGTTCTCTCCATTATGAATTTTCTCATGTTTATTTATGGGTGAGGACCGTTTATAGGCTTTCCCACATTCTTTACATTTGTAGGATTCATCTCCCATATGAATTTTCTTATGTTCACTCAGGGTTGTGGACCATCTAAAAGCTTTGCCACATTCTTCACATTTGTAGGGTTGCTCTCCAGCATCAATTTTCTTATGTTGATTCAGGTATGCGGACTGTTTGAAGGCTTTCCCACATTCTTTACATTTGTAGGGTTTTTCTCCAGTATGAATTCTTACTTTCATTCAGGGTTGTGGACCATCCAAAAGCTTTGCCACATTCTTCACATTTGTATAGTTTATTTCCAGTATAAATTTTCTTATGTTCATTCAGGTTTGTGGATCATCCAAAGGCTTTGCCACATTCTTCATATTTCTAGAGTTTCTCTCCAGTATAAATTTTATTATGTTGATTAAGGTATGAGGACCACTTAAAGGCTTTGCCACATCCTTTACATTTGGGGGTTTTATCTCCAGTATGAATTGTCTTATATTTATTCAGGACTCTGGAACGTCTAAATGCTTTGCCACACTCTTCACATCTATAAGGTTTCTCTCCAGTATGAATTTTCTTATGTTTACTCAGGTATGTGGACCATCCAAAGGCTTTGCCACACTCTTCACATTCGTAAGGTTTCTCTCCAGTATGAATTGTCTTATGTTTATTCAGGGCTCTGGAACATAAAAAGGCTTTGCCACACTCTTCACATCTATAAGGTTTCTCTCCAGTATGAATTTTCTTATGTTTACTCAGGTATGCAGACCATCCAAAGGCTTTGCCACACTCTTCACATTTGTAAGGTTTCTCTCCAGTATGAATTATCTTATGTTTATTCAGGTCTGTGGACCATCCAAAGGCTTTGCCACACTCTTCACATTTGTGGGGCCTCTCTCCAGTATGAATTCTCTTATGTTCATTAAGGGTTGTGAACCGACTAAAGGCTTTTCCACATTCTTCACATGTGTAGGGTTTCTCTCCAGTATGAATACTCTTATGTTTATTAAGGGTTGCGGATTGTCTAAAGGCTTTGCCACATTGTTCACATTTGTAGGGCTTCTCTCCAGTATGAATTCTCTTATGTTCATTCAGAACTGAGGACCTACTAAAGGCTTTGCCACATTCTTCACATGTGTAGGGTTTCTCTCCAGTATGAATTCTGTTATGTTTAGTAAGGGTTGTGGACCTATTAAAGACTTTGCCACATTCCTGACATTTGTAGAGTTTCTCTCCGGTATGAATTTTCTTATGTTTGGCAACATTTGAGGATGAGGTAATGATTTTGCCACATTCTTCACATGTGAAGGGTTTCTCTTCAGCATGAATTCTCTTATGCTTAGTAAGGGTTGAGGACCTATTAAAGGCTTTGCCACATTCTTCATATTTGTAAGATTTCTCTCCAGTATGAACTTTATGTTTAGCAAAGTTTGAGGATGTGGTAAAGATGTTGCCACATTCTTCACATGTGAAGGGTTTCTCTCCAGTATGAATTATCTCATATTCATTAAAGATTAAATACCATTTAAAGTCTTTGCCACATTCTTCACATGTGTAGGGTTTCTCTCCAGCATGAATTCCTTGATGTTGAGTTAGGTCTGAGAACTTCTGAAATGACTTGCCACATTCTTTAAAGTGTTTCTCTCCAGTATGTCTTATCCTACGTTGGTTTGAATTTGAAAATGTACTAAATACTTTGACATGTACATTACACTGAAATATTTTGCTCTGGATAGTTGACAAGCATTGATTAAATTCATTATAACCTCCTTTCTGCACCTTCCTTTTACAGCTTTTTCTTAATTCTAAATTCTCATGTCCACATTTCTCATATCTTCTTAATATAAGTTTGTGGAACGAATCTTCTATCCCCTGCACTGGCAAAAAGTCTTGGGTGAAATGAGAACACACAGCTGAAAGAAATAAAAATAAATTATCCTGCTTACTAGATTCATACGAATATACTTTAAAAATCTAATATATAAACTTATACAAAGTACATTAGTAAGATGGCATAACAAAATACCACAGGCCATAATTTCTTCACAGACATATATATGTAACAAACATATACTGATCAAAATGCCTTTTAGTGAAATTTATAAATGAGTTACATGCAATGCCTCAGGTAAGCACAATGCCAAGAGCCACATAGAACAGGATACAAAGTTTGTTACATTTACCAACCACAGTTCTTCCTCCTCCCCAATATAGCACTGTGCCATTAGAAGTAAACTGTCAACTCCTGTCTTCTTACTTAAAAGAAAAGAAAAATACTGACACGTATCCTTACTTCTGGCTTTTGGGGATCTTTACAAAAACTGGTTTCTGCCTCCAATAACAAAGAGTGCTGAAAGAAATGGTGATATACTTAGGAAGGACAGGTTGGGTCTGCTAAGACCAAATGTACATGTTTCAAGAGCAGACTGAAGTGCTAAATACAGACAACAGACCAAGTGATTAAAGACTCTTAAGAGGAAACATGAACAAACCCTTTTAACTAAAAAATAAACACAAAATTCTAGACAAGACACATCCTTCCAACATGTATGAGAGGTTACTATAATCCGTATCAAAGACAACTGGCTTCAGACTATGTCAGGAGAAAACAACATTGTAAAGGTTGTGATAAATAGCTTTTGGTTAATGTTCAAATAACAAGCAAATATTATAATGTATACAAAATATTAGAACATGGTCTAATTAAACAATTTAAAATTTTTCAGAAAACAACCATAAAAACAAAGATGTACAAATTTTTAAAATGTAACCTGAATAATGCTGAATCAGCTAAATGGAAACACGTACAACTAAATGTAATCAGAAAAATGAGAACATCAATGAAAACATTAAAAACAAAAAACAAATCATGAAGGTGAAAAATGCAAAATAAAGACAGAAATTTTCAAGTTAAAAAAGGATATAAAAACGGAAGAAGCTCAACAAACTTCAACAAGGTTACACACACAGATTTACAGCAAAGCACATATATAAGCAAAGTTTCAAAAATCAAACTCAAAAACGACATCTTAGGAGCTGCAAAATAAAAGTGATGTGTCATTTATAACTGTGGTCTTAAAAGATTACCAGTGAATCTGTCAACAAAACTATTTCGCAACAGAAAGAATTGGGATATTGTTAAGGTGCTAGGAAAAAAAAAAAAAACTTCTATGTGGGAATCATATAACCAGCAAAACTGTCCTAAAAATGAAGAAAGAATAAAGACCTTTCAAGATAACCAAATGCTGAAAAAGTATATTAGCACAACACGTCTTACCAAAAAAATGCTCAAGAAAGTATCTTCCAGTGAAAATAACATAATGTAAGAAAGCCAAACATAATCATATGAAAATATATAGCTTTCTGAAAAAGATATGCACATCCACAAAGTTCTGTACCACTATCATATTACAGAAAATATTGTAATTATTCTCTAAAATTTTAAAGAGGAAAGCATAAAAATGATCATAAACTGTTCATCATAATCTGGTAATAATACACAACAACAATATGATTACTGACATCAATAATGAAGTTGAGGGCAGATGTAATGAGGAGGAATTTTCAAATTCAATGGAAGTTAAGTTTTTACCAGTTTAAAATATATTATTTTAACTTAAAGAAATTTTATGTAATTCTCAAGATACCAGAAAAAAAGTATCTGTATAGATACACCAAAAAATAAGAATTAAAGGTGTATCAATACAAAAATAAAAAAGACTAAGGAAGACAGAAAAAGAAAATAAGGGACAAAGATAAAATAATCCAGTAAAACAATAAGATGAGTAAGTCTATTTCAGCAAATTATTCAAATATTTATGAAGTAAAGTTTCCATTCAAAATACATGCACCAAATAAGGGGATTGACTGCAAAAATTAAAAAACAAGATCCAACTTGCTTTTCTACAGGAGTCACTTGAGATGTAATGATTTAAAAAGACTGAAAAAGGCAAAATGAAAGAAGAGATTTCATGCAAATAACCAAATAAGAGGTCCAAATTATGTAATACAAAGTACATCTTAAGTCAAAACTGTCCTATTTCATAAAATATACTTTAAAAAGTCATAAGAAAGAAGGACATTAAACAATAATAATAATAAAGGTTCATTTACTGGGAACTAATGACAAACATGTCTATACATACGTTAATATGTGTGTGTGTCTCCCCCACATTGAGTTCCAAATATACAAAGCCAATACTCACAGAATTAAGACAAAGACAGCAATATAACTATAGTAGGATATTTAAATACCCCAGTTTCTGTAAGGAATAATGAAACAAGATAAAATATTCATAAGGAAACAGGAGACTTGAAACCAGTATTAAACTATTACGCCTAACAGAACTGTAGAGAACACTGCTCAGCAACAACTAAATACACACCCTTCTCAATACCTCATACAATATTCTCCTTGATAGACTACATGTCAGGGCACAAAAAAAGTCTTAAAGTTTTAAAATTGAAATTTTACAGATTACTTTTAATGACCAAACTGGAATGAGAGTAGAAATAAAGAAAACTAAAAAATTTACATATTTATAGAAATTAAACAACACACACTTAAGCATGCTCTTGTTCAAAGTTTGAAATAATGAGAATATCTAGACTGCTCAATATAATCTACAGATTAAATGCAATCCCTGTCAAATTTAATTAAATTATTGTAGTAATAGAAACAACAATTCCCATATTATATGGAATTAAGAAACAGTGAAGTACCCAACAATCTTCAAAAACAGAAGCAATCTCAGAGGCTTCACAGCTCCTGATTTCAAAACACATACAAATCTAAAGAATTAAAGCAATCTGGGATAGGTATAAAGCTGAACAGCTAGATCAACTAAATAAAATCTGGCAAAAATATAAACTCTCACACATGGTCACATGAAGAGTAATTTAGACACTCATAATTATTGCAGCACTGTTCCTGAAAGCAAATAACAGCAACGCATATTTCTCTCACTAAATAAATTGAGAAATATAATTTCAATTATTAAAATAATGAAATATTACTCAGTTTGTAAAAAGCAAAAAATAAACAAGTACAATAAAGATAAATCTTGATGACATTATACAACAAAAAGTCACGAAGAGACAAACTATATGAATCAACTTACACGAGATATCTAAAGCAGTTTGACTTTAAAATAAAAAACAGAATTGTTTGTGTAGAGTGAGAAAACAGAAAAAGTAGGTAGTTATATTGAGTGTTAGCTTTGCAAGATAAACATATTCTAAAAATATAGTGCATAAAATTATTAATAAAATGACTAAGCTGAATATTTAAAAATATATAAGATTTTAAATGTTATGCATTTTTGAAAACAATATATAAAAGAGATGGAGGTATGAGTTTTGGAAATTATCTTCAAATCACAAAAGTGTTACACACACACAAATATAGATTTACAAATAAATAGAGGGTAAAATTAGGAGAATTTCAATGACTACTCACCTAGGCAGGGTAAAACCACCATTGTTACACACAAACAAAATAAGTATACAACTTAAAAACAATAGGGAAACAATATGCAGAGAGATAAACACAGAGACTCTTATATTGGAAATAGATATATCACTGATCCATATTTGACTTATGCTCCACAGTCTTACAGTGTACATAGCTGAATGCTGTCATAGACAATAATAATACTAAATAAAAGCATCCTTGTTGTGTTCCAGATCTCAGATAAAAAGTTTTCTGCTCCTTCCTATTCAGTATGATTTCAGCCATTAATCTGTCATATACAATCTTTATTGCACTGAAGTACATAATATCTATACCTAATTTGTTGAGTTTCTTAAATCACAAAGACATGTTCAATGTTGCCAAATGCTGCTTCTGCATCAACAATAAAAAATAAAGATTTCTAGTAGCAAACATAATTAAAAAGGTGAACACTCTTTACACTGAAAATTGTAAATAATTAAAAAGTGAAAAAGACATGAAAATTTGAAAGATATATATTGCTCATAAAATTAAAAAATATGAAAGTGGCTATACTACTCAAGGTGATCTATAGATTCAACGCAATCTCTTATCAAAATACCAATGATTTTTTTCACAGAAATGGAAAAAACAAACTTAAACTTCACAGGGAACCACCAAAGACCCCCAAATAGCAAAAGTAATCCTAAGGGGGGGACAAAAAAAAACAGCTGGAAGCATCACACTACCTGACTCCAAAATATACTATAAAGCTATAATAAGCAAAACAGCATGATAATGACATAGACAGATCAAACTATCCAGTGAGCCCAGTAATAAATTCCTGAACCTAGAACCAAGTGATTTTCAACAAAAATGTCAAGAACTCACATTTGGAAAAAGACAGTCTTTTCAATAAATGGTGCTATGAAAATTATTTACATGATAATCAAAAAAATAAAACTAGGCTCCTACCTCTTACAATATAAAAAACTCAATCACAAATACAGATTTAAATGGGAAACTCAAACCTATAAAGTTATTTGAAATAAACATACAGGAATGCATTACCACATAGTACAGAGAAAAGAATCTTAAGACCTCAAAATCACAGGCAAAAGAAGCAAAAATATGCAAACGGGATTACAAGAAACTAAAAATGCTTTGCACAGTAAAGAAAACAATTAACAAAGTGAAGACGTAATCTACACAATGAAATAAAATATTTGCAAAATGTACATGACAAAAGATAAATTTACAGTATAACAAACTTAACAAAAATAACACACAATTTAAACATAGGCAAGAGGCCTTAAGAGACATTTTTCAAAAGAAATACAGATGGCCAAAAAGTACATGCAAAGATGCTCAACATCACTAATTGTCAGAGAAATGCAAATCAAAACCACAATATAAGACTTGACTCCAGTTAGAATGACTGTAATTAGAAAGACAAAAAAAAATGTTAGTGAGAATGAATAGAAAAGGAAACACGGTAAAACTGTAAGTTAGTAGAGCCATTATAGAAAAAAAACAAGTATCACAGGATAACATATATTTAAACAATCAACAAATGGTATTTTAACACTGTTTCTTTGACTCCCCACCTAGACAATAAACCATGAACTACCACACACACACAAAAAAAATTCAAATTGCTGGATCACAGGTTCTATTTTTAATTTTTTAATTAAATGGGATTGCTGGAACATACGTTAGTCCTATTTTGTTTGTAGCTAAAGAAAACAAAATCAGTATGTCAAAGAGAAATCTACACTCCAATGTTTATTAAAACACTATTTATAGCCAAGGTATTCGATCAATCCAAGTGTCCAAAACTTGGATGAATAAAGAAAATGTGGTATATATACACAACAAAATACTATTCAGCTACAAAAGAGAATATAATTTTGATATTTGCCACAACAGGAATGAACCTGGAGGCCATTACGTTAAGTGAAATAAAAGATACACTGAGACAAATACAAAAGATCTTACCCATATGTGAAATCTAATATAAACATTTATGAGGAAGGCTTTATGCAACTAGTCTCAACAATAACTTTTTGAATACAACATCAAAGGCTTAAGAAAAAAAATATGGACACACACATGGTACCACATCACTGTATCCAAAATATACCAAAAATATCCGAGGCAGGACTTTACATATTTACACATGCATGTTAATTATTATTTGCAAAAGACAATTCCTGGAAACAACACAAATGTCCCTTTAGAGATCAATATCAGATTTTTTAAATGTGACATACATACAATATTTTATTTTAAAACAGATATTCTGACACATCTTTGTGGAGGAAAAGTTAAATATTAAATTTGAACTCAACTGAACATGACAAACAATGGTCACCAAATCCCAGAATGGGTTGTGTGAGCCCCCAGCACTGTTTCAAAGAAATTTCTATTTCAATCTATTCCTATATGTTAGTTATTGAAAAACAATAGACAATCGCAAACACAATTTGACCTTTTTGTGTTCCTTGAGTCCAGTCACAAAGGGCCCTTGTGACTGGGCCTCATGCCAAACAACTCATTACAAAAAGAGCTAGGGTCCCAGACCATGCCGAAGCTACATGAGACCTCTCTTCGTCTGTGCACGGAAGGGTGGCGGACTCTGGAGCCCAGGCTGTTGCTTCCCAGTCTAGTGGTGAATCCTCCACAGGCTGGTGAGTGTAGTGTCTGACTCTGGAGCCCAGGCTATTGCTTCCTAGTCTGGTGGTGAATCCTCCATAGTCTGGTAAATGTAAATATATATATCTCCTTTTCCTTCTCCCCTTCCCATTGCAATTTGCTTATTGTATCATTTGCTTATATATCTGCATTGCCATTTACATGGGATAAAGGTTGTTTACCCTTAAAGATATTGTGTGTGTGTCTTTTCTTCTCCCCTCACGCGTTTCCCGCACAGGACAATCTTACAAAAACAAAGCCTGAGAACATTATGTTAAGTAAACTGAGATAGTGAAAAAAAAAACAGACATGGGGGCCGGGTGCAGTGGCTCATGCCTATAATTCCAGCACTTTGGGAGGCCGAGGCGGGCAGATCACGAGGTCAGAAGATCAAGACCATCCTGGCTAACACGGTGAAACCTTGTCTCTACTAAAAATACAAAAACAAAAAAAATTAGCTGGGCGTGGTGGTGGGCGCTTGTAGTCCCAGCTACTCTGGAGGCTGAGGCAGGAGAATGGCGTGAACCCGGGAGGCAGAGCTTGCAGTGAGCCAATATCACGCCACTGCACTCCAGCGTGGGTGACAGAGCGAGACTCCGTCTCAAAAAAAAAAAACAACAACCAGACATTATATTATATAATTACACCAATAAGAATATAAAAATCAGTCAAAATTATAGAAATAGTAAGTAAAATGGTGTTCTTCAGGACCTGAAGAGAAAAAAATGGCAGTTTATTGTTTATGAGGTATGAACTTTACTTTGATAAAATTAATCTAGAGATCCATTTCAAAATAATGTAAATGTACTTAACTCCACTAGGCTGTACACTTGAAAACCTTTAAGCAATGTTAGGTTTTTCATCACAACTAAATATTTACATCTACCTAAAAAGGTTACATTTTTCAAAAATCACCTTCAAATAAAAAGTGTTTCTCTCACAGAATAACATATACTCAAACAATAAATAGGTGGTAATTTTTTACTGTTTCTTTGACTACTCACCTATAAAAGAAAACAGTGATGACCACCAGAAAGAAAAATTTATAAACCAGGTAGGGGCATTATTTACACAGGCAAACACCACATAGATAACTTTTATAGGCTATAGAAATGTCTGAATTACACATATATTTTAAATTGCTCCAAGTGAAACCCAATGATTTTTATTTGAATTAAACACCACATGGTCATAAAAGGTACAGAGTTGAAAATTACCATACAAATATGAAGATTAAAAACAAAAAATAATTGAGGAGAACCTACATGAAAAAAGACTCCCCAGTAAAATAGAGTTTGAAAACAATAAAAAATTCTGACCTATAAAATATAGAATATAGATGTAGATGTATCATAAAAACAATCCTTCAAACAACTACAGTTTTCAACTGTGACTATGTACTTATGAAGATCCAGCATTTTGAATCTTTGACATGCAATGTACAGCAGTAAGAAAAAAAAAAAAAACGGCCAGCTGCAGTGGCTCACACCTGTAATCCCAGCACTTTGGAAGGCTGAGGCAGGTGGATCTCAAGGTCAGGAGTTCGAGACCAGCCTGACCATCTCTACTAAAAATACAAAACAAAAAAATTAGCCGGGTGTGGTGGCTGGCGCATGCCTGTAATCCCACCTACTCGGGAGGCTGAGGCAGGAGAATTGCTTGAATCCGAGAGGCAGAGGTTGCAGTGAGCTGAGATGGTACCATTGCACTCCAGCCTGGGCAACAAGAGCAAAAAATTCTGCCAAAAAAAAGCAGCAGTTATGTCCTGAAAAAGGAAATTTATGGGAGCTTTGGAATCCATGTCAAGGGTTGTGAACCCAAGACTGAGGAGGGCTGTATTGAAAAGGCATGCCCTTGCTTGAGTGGCATGCTTGCCCATCACAGTCCCAGCTACAGAATAAAATGTGTCCAATTTTCATTGTAGACTTAGCTGCAGACCATTTGGTTTTGTTCCTGCTACTAGCACCATCTGCAAAGACACCTAGGAGAATTTCTAATGTTCTATGCCTCAGGTGAAAGGCCTTTAGAAGTTGGTTCTATCTGTGATCTCTGAATTAGCCCCAAATCCACTCTTTACACATGTCAGTCATGGTGTGGAAGGAATCCTGCCCAGACACCCACAGAGAGAAACATCCATCTGTGCCCGAATGTAGGCTTGCCAATAATTATTTGACAGTGGATCTTGACGTGGCACTATAAGCTGGCTCCAAGTCCATGCAACCAAGTCCAGAAGAAGTTTTTCCTAACCTGGGACCTGCCAAAAAGCACACCTGTATGTGCCCCTGTAGGCATGCTGGCTGACTTTATTCCCACTGTGAATTGTAAAGCAGTCCTATAACCAAGCTCTGGTCTCTGTCATCTAGAGTCTGGAAGAAGTCCTACCCACCTAGAAATCCACAGGGAGAAATACCGTTAACCCAGAAAAAGACCTGAACACTTTGGTCTCAGCTGTGTATCCTGAAGCAGCCGCATGAATCAGTTTCATACCCTCTCAGCTGTGATCAAGGGTCATTACTGCTCATCTAGGAACCTGTCCAATGACTAGGTTAGAGCATTTCCAAACACCTCGCAAGAGCGACACAGCAGGAGCCACACCTGCTCACATTGATTGTATCAGCACCTTAATCTGCATATATAACTGGAGGCTTTTTTCCTCAGTGCCAGTCATATTGATCAACATCTTGAAGAAAGTTCAGTCTTCTCAGAAAATAGAATCCACAACTGTCTGATGCCCTGATGACAGGTCTGCCAAGCAGGAATTTCACTGCAAACCCAGTAGTAGCTACGTGACCCGGATTCCAAAGCACTTTATTGCAACCTCAGTGGAAATCTCATCAGCCCAGAAATCCAATGGGAGAAGATATTTACCTCCTCAAACTAGTCTATAATGACTGAAAGAGGTATTTACTCCTTCAGATGCAAGGACATCAAAACAAAGCCTCATGAATTATGAAGGATCAGGCAAACATAACAGCATGAAAGGAAACTAAAAATGCTCCAGGAAGCACTAACAATAAAACACAGATCTAAAAAATGGCTAACAGAGAATTTAAAATAATTATCTTTAAAAATCTCGATAAGATGCAAAAGTACACATATTACTAAATTTTTTGCAACAATGCATGAAGAAAACCAATGATAATAAAGAAAGATAAGCCATTAACAAAGAACCAAGGCGATATGCTGGAGCTGAAGTACACAATAGTAGAACTAAAATATTTAACAGAAAGCTTTAACAGGAGACTCAGTTATACAGAAGGGGAAAAATCAACAAACTTAAAAGTCATTTGAAAGTTCGTAAATAGACTTTTTTTAAAAAAGTGAATAAAGCATATAGCTTCAATAATTTGTTAATGGTATATAATATAAAAAGATGTAAAGTGTGACATAAATAGTGTGTTGAAAGGAGTAAAACTGTTTAATATTTTTATACATAGAAGTTCACTTTTGCTTGAGGCCAGGAGTTCAAAACCAGCCTGGTCAATATAGCAGGACCCTGTCTCTAAAATAAATACATAAATAAAATAAAATAAAGATTTCAGAAAGCTATTTATTCTTTTTTTAAAAAGAAGCAGTTGGGCCTGATAATGCATGCCTATAAACCTAGCACTCTGGGAGGCCAAGGCAGGTAGATTTCTTGAGCCCAGAAGTTCATGACCAGCCTGAGCAACATGGCAAAACCCTGTCTCTACAAAAAATACCAAAAAAATTAGCTGGACATGGTGGCATGTGCTTGTAATCCCAGCTACTTGGGAGGCTGATATGGGAAAAGTGTTTGATATTGGAGAGTTCAAGGCTGCACTGAGCTGTGAACCCACCACTGCACTACATCCTGGGAAACAAAGTAAGATCCTATGTGGGTAAAAAAGAAGTTAGATTGTTACCTTAAGCTAGACTTTTTAAACTATGAGATATTTTATGGTCCCTTGGAAATTACAAAAAAAAAAATGTTGAAGATACATACACACAAAAGAAATTAAAGCATATAACAAGAAAAATGAAACAAACTCAACACCATACAAGGGAAGGCAGCATGAAAGAAAAAACAGAAATTACTAAATGGTTAGAAAACAATGAACAAAATGATAGTAATAAGTTCTTATCAATCAGTAATTCCTTTAAATATAAAAAAAATTTAGTTAGCCAATAAAATCACATTGCTATGGTTTGAGTGCCCCCTCCAAAATTCATGTTAAAATGTAACTGCCATTGTGAGAAAATTAATAAGTGAGGCCTTTAAGAAGTTATAAGGTCATGAGAGGATCAGTATCATTATTCCACGAGTGGGTTAGTCATCATGAGTGGGTCTATCATAAAAGTGAGCTCGTGTTGTGATGTGGAAATATGATTGTCATCAGATGGGAATGACATGCTCTTGGACTTCTTGGCATCCCAGATTGTGAGCTAAGGAAACTTCTATTCTTTATAAATTACCAACTGTAGGATATTGTTATTGATGCAAAAAATAAACTAAAACACTCGCGAAATGTCTGAATAGATTTAAAAAATCAACAACATGCTGCACACAAGCGACTTACTTTAGATTTAAGGAAATACATAGGTTAGTGGTTCAAGGATGAAAAAAAAATTCCATGCCAGTAATAACTAAAAGAGTATAGAAGTGGCTATATTTACATCAGACAAAATAGACTTCTAAAAAAAATCTGCCACAAAAAAAAAAACTTCATGATATAGTGATAAGAGGCTAATCTGTCAAAAGAATATAACAATTAAAAATATATATATACCCAATATTGGAGCACATAAATATATAAACATATATTAAAAGAAATGGAGAAACAGAAAAACATAATACTGGGGGACTATATTGCCCTACTTAATACATCATTCAGACTGAAAGTTAGTAAGAAAACAATTGCTTGCATAGCACTATAAAACAACTGCACCAAAAGACATATATATAGAACATTTCATCCAAAAGAATAATTTATATTCTTCTCAAACACACATGGAATATTCTCTAGCATACATCATAAATCTGGCCCACAACAAAGACAAACAAGTCTTTTCATTTTTTAAAAGACTGAAATCATATCAACTTGTTTGTGTTTTTTTTAGTTTTTTTGAGAAGGAGTCTTGCTCTGTCGCCCAGGCTGTAGTGCAGTGGTGCGATCTCGGCTCACTGCAAGTTCCGCCTCCAGGGTTCACGCCATTCTCCTGCCTCAGCCTCCTGAGTAGCTGGGACTACAGGCACCCGCCACCACGCCCGGCTAATTTTTTTGTATTTTTAGTAGAGACAAGGTTTCACCTTGTTAACTAGGATGGCCTCGATCTCCTGACCTCGTGATCCACCCACCTCAGCCTCCCAAAGTGCTGGGATTATAGGCATGAGCCACCGAGCCCAGCCTGAAATCATATCAAGTTTTTAAATTACAATTTTATAAATGAGAAATCAATAGCAGAGTGAACATTGAAAATCTTACAAATATGTGTATATTAGACAACATGCTTCTGAACAACTGATGAGTCAAAGAAGAAAAAGAAAAGAAAAATCAGAAAGTATCTTGAGACAAATGAAAATAGAAATAGGACATATCAAAAGTAGAATGTAACAAAAGCAGTTCCAAGACAGAATGTTATAGTAATATAATTTTATATTTAAAAAATCTCAAACACTGTAACTTTAATTCTTAAATAACTTGAAAAACAATAATCTCAATGTTAGGATAATAAAGAAAATAATAAAAAACAGAACAGAAACAAATTAGAGACTTAGAAGACAACAAATACTGGGTGCAGTGGCTCATGCCTGTAATCCCAGCTCTTTGGGAGGCTGAGGCGGGTGGATCACGAGATCAGGCAATCAAGACCAGCCTGGCCAACATGGTGAAACCAAGTCTCTACTAAAAATACAAAAATTCGCCGGGCGTGGTGGCGGGCACTTGTAAACCCAGCTACTCGGGAGGCTGAGGCAGAAGAATCGCTTGAACCCAGGAGGCGGAGGTTGTGGTGAGCCAAGATCACACCACTGCACTCCAGCCCGGGCCACAGAGTGAGACTCTGTCTCAAAAAAAAAAAAAAAAAAAAAAAGAAGAAGAAAAAGAAACAAACAAAAAACAAAAAAGATAAAAGGCAGAGAAAGAATTTACATATAAAAGTTTTCTAAGTCAAATATTTTAAGAAAAGGAAGGAGTAAATACTTTTCCTTTTTTCCAGCTGGAGGATTAAGTCTGTTTCTATTTTACATTTATATTTACAATAACCACATCCAACAATTTTGCCTAGAACTCACGGACATCTGATTTCCAGCAGGGCCTGGATTCAGGCACCTGCAGGGTGACCTGAGGCATACTATGTTCACAGGAAAGAGTGTTTGTGAGGGAAAAAAAAATGCAGAATAAGAAAAGATGTTATCAAGAACCCAAGAGTGAGGGTCAGTGCACAGGTGGAGAAAGGACTGGTTACTGCTATAGATACTGGCCCAGGCAGGCAGCTCTGACTTATGAATGTGTGTGTGCAGGGAGATAAGATGGTCAGGTGATCCAGAAGCCTAGGCTACTGGAGGAAACAGGTTACTGGTGCAGATTGAAGATCTGAGTGGTAGAAAGAACCCATGAGTCTTCTGGGCACTTATGTGTCCTATTATTGGAAAACTCTAGAAGCAGAGGTGCTCTCAGTACAATTCCTGAGAATGAAGCTTTGTCATGGGAGAAGTGTGGCCACACCATTGCCTAGCGTGCATGTGTGTGAATGTGCAGAAATCACTTTATAGCAAAAGGAGTCAGAACTCCTTCCCTTTGAGTACTCAGTCCCCTCTCACCCCCGGAGGATACCTAGAATCACAAGACGATTCACAGTGTGACAGCTTCTGTGCAAAATTTTAAACTCTCCATTCTCCAACAGACCCACGGTCTCCCTCCAACTAGGGCTGCTGTGATACCTTTATGTGTTTTTGAGACAATGTCTCACTTTGTCACCCAGGCTACAGTACAGTGACACAATCTCAGCTCATGCCAGACTCAACCTCCCAGGGTTCAAGCGATCCTTCTGCCTCAGCCCCCAAGTAGCTGGAACTACAGGTGCATGCCACCATGCCCGGCTAATGTTTATCTATTTTTTGGTAGAGATGGGATTTCACCACATTGCCTAGGCATGGTGCAACCAGGAGGAACTCCCAACTCTATGCTTCTTCCTCAGCAGAGAAAGAAAGTGGGATATGTGTCCACATTTCTGGTTTTTGGGGAACTGTGCGAAGATGAGTTTTGTCTCCCCTGACAAAAAGTGCTGAAGGAAATGGTGGTATACTTTAAATTGCAGCAGCTATGCATATTTTGCATTAATATAACAAGCAATCCTGAAATTTTATCAGAATTAAAGAGACCAGAAGTGCTCAAGAATTGTCAAAAAGAGAAACATCAGAAGCATCATACATCATTACTTTAAAAACTAATTATGAAGCTATAGTTATTGAAACAGTTTATAACTAGATTTTAAAAAGACAATGACAGTGAACAGAAGAACATGTAAATAATCCCTTGCATGTATTATCAAATGAAGAGTAATTTACACATCCATATTCATTGTGGCATCATCTACAAAACTGAAAAAAACTTTTCTTAATAAAGACAATTTTGAATATACAAATAAATATTATTCAGCTTCTTAAAAGCAGAAAAGTTTTTCTATATCCACAATGAGGATACATTTTTAAGACTTTATTTAGGTGGAGGAAGCCAGGCACAAGAAGACAAGTGCTATGTAATTCCACTTATGTAAGATATCTAAAGTAGTTAAATGCTTAGAAACAGACTAAACTGTGACAGGGGTTAACTGCAGAAGAAAATGAGTAGCTGTTGTTTAATGGACAACCTGTTAGAATGCAAAACAACTCTTTTTTTAACTTTATTTTAGGATGGGGTATATGTGCAAGTTTGTTATACAGGTAAACTTGTGTCATAAAGGTTTGTTGTACAGATTATTTCTCATCAAGGTATTCAGCCTGGTATGCATTAAAGATTGAATTATACAATACCTCCTTTCAGACCACATGGAATAAAACTAGAAATCGGCCAGGCTCTGTGGTTCACGCCTGTAATCCCAGCAGTTTGGGAGGCCAAGGTGGGCGGATCACGGGGTCAGGAGATCAAGACCATTCTGGCTAACATGGTGAAACCCCGTCTCTACTAAAAATATGAAAATTATCTGGGCGTGGTGGTGCACGCCTGTAGTCCCAGCTACTCAGGAGGCTGAGGCAGGAGAATGGCGTGAACCCGGGAGGCGAAGCTTGCAGTGAGCCAAGATGGCGCCACTGCACTCCAGCCTGGGCGACAGAGCAAGACTCCGTCGCAAAACAAAACTAGAAATCAAAAGCAGAAGCAAAATTGCCAAATCCAAGAATATGTGAAACTTAACATACTTTTTTTTTTTTTTAAAGACGGAGTTTTGGTGTTGCCCAGACTGTAGTGCAATGGCGTGATCTCGGCTCACTGCAGCCTCCGCCCCTCGGGTTGAGGTGATTCTCCTGCCTCAGCCTCCCGAGTGGCTGGGATTAGAGGTGTGTGCCATCACGTCCAGCTAATTTTTGTATTTTTAGTAGAGACGGGGTTTCGCCATGTTGGCCAGGGTAGTCTCGAACTCCTGACCTCTGGTGATCCACCCGCCTCGGCCTCCCAAAGTGCTAGGATTACAGGCGTGAGTCATCGCACGTGGCCAACACACTCTTGAACATACTCTTCTTTATGTCAGGAGATTTAATATTGTCAAATGACAATACTACCCAGTGATATTCAAATTCAATGTAATCCTGATGAAAACACAAATGATACTGTTTGAAAAATATATATATATATTTTTTTTTGAGATGGAGTCTCGCTCTGTCACCCCAGGCTGGAGTGCAGTGACAAAATCTTGGCTCACTGCAAGCTCCGCCTCCCGGTTTCACACCATTCTCCTGCCTCAGCCTCCTGCCTTCAGATATACTTTGGATATTTTGAATAGGTGCTCAGAAGTAGAATTACTGGCTCATATAATAACTGCATTTTTAGTTTTTGGAGGAACCTCCATACATTTTTTTCAGGTGGTTGCATCACTTTTTCCCCACCAACAGTGCACAAGAGTTTCAATTTCTCTACATTCTTTACAACATTTTTTTTTTGCTTTATATTGGCCATCCTAATTAATGCACAACAATAACCTTATTGTGGTTTTGCCTTACATTACTCTAAAAATTAGAAATTTTCTCAATAATTGTTATATGTATTTCATCTCTGGAGAAACATTTTCATCTCTTGTCTATTTGTTAATCATGTTATTCTTTGTTGATTTTTTGGAATTGTTTATTCTGAATGTTAACTTTTGTCAAACACATAATTTTTAATTTTTTTTGCTTTTGTGCTTCTTAGGTGGGACTCTTAATGTTTGTTAATGTGCAGAGATAAATTTAATGTAGTCTCATTTTTCTGTGGTTTTAAGTTTGTTGCTCATGTGTTTGATGTTATATGTAAGAAAACATTGCTGAGACCAACGTCATAGTCTCTATTCCTATATTTTCTTCTAAAAATTGTAAAGTTATAATTCTTACATTTCAATATTTAACTCACTCAAGATAGTTTTTGTACATGGTTCAGGGGAAGGATCCAACCTCAATTTTTCCCATGTGGATACAGAGTATTCCAACACCATTTATTAAAGAGACTGTCTTTTTCTTATTGTATGGTTATAGCAACCTTGTTGAAGATCATTTGAGCATATACATGATGGTTAGTTTTTGAGTTCTCTGTTCTGTTCTATCATCTATTTGTTTTCCTGCAAATACCTCACTGTTTTTATTTATGTAGCTTTGTATTCTGTTCTAAAAACAAGAAGTGTTGTGCCTCTAGCTTTGTTCTTATTTTCTAAGATTGGGCCATGATGGTCCTTGAAATTCTATGTAAATGTAAGAATTTTTAAAAATATTTTTCCAAAAAGTAGGCTGGGCGCAGTGGCTCATGTCTGTAATCCCAGCACTTTGGGAGGCGGAAGTGGGCTGATCATGAGGTCAGGAGATTGAGACCATCCTGGCTAACACAGTGATGTAACAGGGTTTTGAAACCCAAAACATCCATGTTATTGCAACAATATTCACTGTATTAGTTTATCCTCGTATTGCTATAAATACCTGACACTGGATATCTTATTTTTAAATAGAGATTTAATTCGCTCATGGATCTGCAGGCTGTACAGAAGGCATAGCAGCTTCTGTTTCTCAGGAGGCCCCAAAAAGCTTCCAATCATGGCAGGAAGCCAAGCAAGAGTGAGTCATCTCACATGGTAGAAGCAGGAGCAAGTGTGTGGAAGAAGCTGCTTTTAGAAAATGAGATCTCTTTAGTTATTAAAAGAAAACTGCAGAACTCCTCATTGGTTTTCCTTTACCTAATGATTTCTGTGAAGTGAGACTTGGGTAGTAGGAAGAAGGAATTAGACACTCTACCTGCCACCCTGCATGTGTGTGCGCTCGCGCACATGCTGTCTACATGTAATCCACTCCTTTTACTTTCCTTTGAAACTGGTAAGGTTAAAATAGGGGAGAAATCCTACATGTTGCAATGATAGCTTTTTGGAAAATTTAAGAAATCAAACTCTCCAGGCTCTCCATCTTGATTTATGCTTGAATTGTTATGTGCCATATTTGCTTTGAACTCTGATTACCAGAAGTTTTACTAAAATGTTGAAGAAATAATTCACTTTCACCTGCTTTCTAGATTTTGTACATCTCAGTTCATAAAGCAAGCTTATTGTTAGCATAGTTTTCTAAATGCTGCAGATTTGCAGCCATTACCACTACAAAGAATTTTGAATGAGGGATTTTTTTTCTTTGTTAAAATAGTTCGTGTTTCTGTAGAAATTTCACTTTTAGATTGAACTGCAATGGATAAGCTATCAAAAATAAAAAGAAAGAAAATGAGATCTCAGGAGAAGTCACTCACTATGGCAAAGACAGTACCAAAGGGGATGGTACTAAACGATTCATGAGAAGCCAACCCTACGATCCCATCACCTCCCACCAGGCCCACCTCCATGAGGGCTTGTAATTTGATGTGAGATTTGACTGCAGACACAGATCCAAGCCATATTATTTACAAAAGCCAAAACATGAAAAAACTCAAACATCCTTCAACAGTTGAATAATTTAAAAGGATGTGGCTTACACATACAATGAAAAATTATTTAGACTCAAAATGAAAATATCTTGTCAGATGCTACAATATGGATAAATCTTAAAGCCATTATTTTAAGTGAAATAAAACACTAACGAAGTGACAGTGTAAGATTCCACTTATATAAGGTATTTTACTTAGTAAACTCCTACAAAACATAAGTAGAAAATTGCTTGCCTATAGTTAGGGTTGTGAAACCTCAGTGGAGTCAAAGATCAAGGGGGGTTACTTGGAAAAAGCAGGCCCTCACCAGGTGGCCAACTCAAGAGCCCATAGACATAGCTACAGACAAGGAAATTATGCACAGAGTTTGGTCTTACTGAGGATTCCAAAAATAGTTCTGTAACCTCTCTCAAATTCAATCTCAGCTATAGTCCAGAAGTGGTCCTTCCCATCAAGAGACCTGCAGGAAGACACAGCCAGCAATGGCCCTGGAGGCAGGCCTGCAGATCCTGGCCTCAGCTGTGGTCCCTGAAGCAGCCCTGCAGATCCTGGCCTCAGCTGTGGTCCCTGAAGCAGCCCTGTGACTCAGTTCTAGCCATATGTAGTCACAGTCTGTGGCCATTCGTACACATTCAGAGGCTCACAGAGAGACCTGTAAAAACTGTTCCCAGGTAGTCAGCAGAAGCCAAACCCATTCATACACCTGTTATTTGGGCCATCATATACAGACAAACTTCAAAACCCTAGCCTACAACCTGCCATATAGATTAATGTCCTCAAGGAAATCTAATCTTTTCAGGGCCCAGAAGAATCCATAACTGTCCAAATCTCTGGCAACACAACCATCAAAGACACAATGCACAGCAGACCCAGCAGCACCCTTGTGACCCAGCTACAACCCTTCTCTGCAAACCCAGAGGTAGTCTCATCAGCCTGGGGACCCAACAAAAGGAGATGTTTACCTGCCAAAAAATAGATTATACAAACTGTAAATCATTGTTAAATCCTTAAAATATACAGACACAGGGCTGCTTCAGGGACCACAGCTGAGGCCCAGATCTACAAGCATGCTTCCAGGACCACAGCTTCTATCTTAACATATTACCAAATGTACCAGAACAATTAGGCAAGGAAAAGGAGAACAAAGCTCTCCTGCTTGCAAAAGTAGTAAAAATGTTACTGTTTGTAGATAATATGATCATGCATATATATGAAACCCTAGAGTGGAATAACAAAAACTGAACTAATAAAGGCACTCATTAAGGTATCAGGATACGTAATCAACATACAAATATCTGTAGGTAGTTTCTTGGTTTGTGTTTATAAGGCAAGGTCTCACTACAAGGCCCAGGCCCATCTCGAACTCCTGTGCTCAAGTGATCCACATGCCTTGGCCTCTGAAAGTGCTGAATTACAAAAAGGAACCAATATACCTAGCCCAACATACAAATATGTTTCATTTCCATAAAGTAACAAAATTTCCAAAAAAAGAAAAAAATTCAATTTGCAATACTATAAAAATAAGAAATTAATTCAAAATAAATTTAACCAATGAAATAAAAAATTTACACACTAAATACAAGATACAAAATCTAGTGTATAACAATAAATTTAGACACTAAATGATGACAGAAACTGAAGCAGACACAAATAGATAAAACCAGATTCCATCAGGATAACAGATATTGTCAAAGTATATTTTCGAAAGTGATTTGTAGATTCAAATGTGATCCCTATCAAAATTTTAGTGGCGTTTTTCACAGTAATAGTAAACACAATTGTAAAATTTAAGTGTAACCTTAAACAATTTTAAATAACGTAAGCCATCTTGAGAAAGAACAAAGCGAGGGGCATCATACCTTCTAATTTTAAACTTTATTTAAAGGTTATAGTAAGCAAAAGAGTATGGTATGTGCATAAATACAGATATAAAAAAACCAATGGAACAGAATAGCCCAGAAACAAATCCATGCATACAAGGTCAACTAATTTTGGCAAGGGAACCAAGAACACACAATGCAGAAATTACACTCTTGTCAATACGTGGTGCCAGAAAAACTGGATATCCACAAGCTAAAGAATAAAAGTAGATCATTTTCTTACACCATACCCCAAAATTAACTCAAAATGAAACACTTCAATATAAGATAAAAAACCTTAGAACTCCCGAAGAACATATATGGAAAAGCCCTGTTGATACTGGCTTTGGCAATAACTTTTTTGATATGCCATCAAAAGCACAGCAACAAAAGAAAACACAAGTGGGATTGTATCAAAGTAAACTGCTTCTGCACAGCAAAGGAAAAGAAAACAAAATTTCTAAAAACCCTACAGGATATAAATATTTGCAAGCAATTTATCTGATAAAAAATTTGGGAGGCCGAGGCGGGCAGATCACCTGAGGTCAGGAGTTTGAGACCAGCCTGACCAACATGAAGAAACCCCGTCTCTATTAAAAATACAAAATTAGCTGGGCATGGTGGGGCATGCCTGTAATCTCAGCTATTTGGGAGGCTGAGGCAGAAGAATCACTTGATCCCGGGAGGCAGAGGTTGCAGTGAGCTGAGATCATGCCACTGCACTCCAGCCTGAGCAACAAGAGCAAAACTCTGTCTCAAAAAAAAAAAAAAAAAGTTAATATCCCTATCCGAAATGTATAAGAAACTTATACAATTCAAAGCAAAACAATAATGATGATAAGCCATTCAAAAATAGGCAAAAGGTTAGATTTTTTCCCCCCAAAGAAGACATACATACAAGGTAAGTGCTATATGCTGTTGGTGAGATGTAAATTGATAAAGTCATCATAAAAAACAATAAAAAGGCCGGGCGCAGTGGCTCACGCCTGTAATCCCAACACTTTGGGAGGCTCAGGTGGGCGGATCACGAGCTCAGGAGATCGAGACCATCCTGGCTAACATGGTGAAACTCTGTCTCTACTAAAAACACAAAAAAAAAAAAAAAAAAAAAAAAAAAATTAGCCAGGCGTGGTGTTAGGTACCTGTAGTCCCAGCTACTCAGGAGGCTGAGGCAGGAGAATGGCGTGAACCCAGGTGGCGGAGGTTGCAGTGAGCCGAGATCGCGCCACTGCACTCCAGCCTGGGCAACAGAGCAAGACTCCATCTCAAAAAAAAAAAAAAAAAAAAAAAACCAGTAAGAAATAAAAATGGAAATATTATATAATCCAGCAATACCACTTCTGGGTACACTACCAAAGGAAATTAAGTTAGCACCTTGAAGAAATATCTTCAGCCCATGTTTGCTGTAGTATATTTACAATAGCCAAAATATGGTGTGTGTGTGTATATATATATACACATATATATGTATATATGTATGTGTATATATATATATATATGTGTGTGTGTGTATATATATATACACACACACACAGTAGACTACTATTCAGCCATAAAAGAAAAGGAAATCTAGCCATTTACAACCTGGATAGACCTGGAGGAAATGATGCTAAATGAAATTAGCCAAACACAGAGAGACAAAGAAACTGCTTCTTCTCACTTAGACAGGGAATCTAAAAATGTCAACTCATAAAAGCAGAAAGTAGAATGGTGGTTGTTGGTGCCTAAGGGTGGGACCATGAGGAGATGTTTTCAAAGAGTACAAATTTTTAGTTATAAATTGAGTAAGTCTGAGAAATCTAATGTACAATAGCATTAGATTAGCAAAATAGCATTGTTTATAGTTAATACTATAATGTATGCTTACAATTTGCTACAACAGTAGGCCTTAAGTGTTCTTATTACCAAAAAAAATGGTTAGCTATTTGAGTAATAGATGTGTTGATCAACTTGACTATATTTTACAATAAAATATGTGCATATCAATTATAAAATATGTGCATATCATTACATTGTAAATATTAAATATAGTTATACTATTTTTATTTATCAGAAAAATTCATATCACGCAAACACAGATATATAGTAAGTACTCAATGTAAAAAACAGATTCTTGAAAACTGCAACTATAAATGAAGCAATGTTACTATATACCAAACATAACTCTTGTTTACGTCAATTAAAGTCTGGTAAAATTAGTTTGGTTTTGGTTTTTTTGGAGACAGAGTTTTGCTCATGTCGTCTAGACTGGAATGCAATGGCATGATCTCAGCTCAGTGCAACCTCTGCCTCCCAGGTTCAAGTGATTCTCCGGCCTCAGCCTCCCAAGTAGCTGGATTACAGGCGCCCCCCACCATGCCCAGCTAACTTTTTGTATTTTTAGTACAGATGGGATTTTGCCGTGTTGGCCAGGCTGGTCTCGAATTCTTAACCTCGTGATCCACCCACCTCAGCCTCCCAAAGTGCTGGGATTACAGGCGTGAGGCAAGGCACCCAGCCCTAAAATACGCTTTCTAAAATGATACGTTGCTTCACTTCGTTTCCAAGAATCTATCAACAATGTAAGAGTTTATTATACACATATATAACTTATTTAGGTGTGTGTGAGAGACACACATTTTTATATAGATACAGATACACGTCAATGACAGAATCTCAGGCTTCCTACTAAATAAGACAAAATTATAATAGTTATTAAGAAATAAGGTAATGATTGAGCGCTTAATATTAGCAATGTTCTAAGCTGGTTAATGACATAGAACATTTAAGAAATCTAGAAGGTGAGTAAACACTTTAATCCAGTGGGGGCCAAAACTTTGAATGAGAGGGCTTTTTTGCTTATCTAAGGTGGTGGATATCACAAAACTTATTCACGAACCTTTTTCTTTAAGCTCATCAGCTATCATTAGTATTAATGTATTTCACGTGTGGCTCAAGACAATTCTTCCAATGTGGCCCAAGGAAGCCAAAAGGTTGGAAACCTGTGCTTTAAACTATATTATAATTTGAAAATTTTCACATACAGAGTTTAAATCACAAATCTCAGTTTATACTAAAACGATAACATTCTGAAGTAACATTACATTTTTTCATATTTAGGAAAATGCCTATTGTTCTGATAAAATTGCTGAGTAATAATTTTTGTAGAATTATATTTGCAACCTCTATAGGATTAAAAATCACTAAGCAGAAAAGACGCAACATCTGTCCCTGATGTTCTTGGGATTTCTGAACCAAATTCCAATATGTCCACTACTCACCGTGCACATTTTAGACATGTACAAAAAGAATATTTGAAAAAAATACACTGACATAGAGCTCCTCAATATACACATATTCCTATGTCTCCAAATGCAATGGAACAGCAGTCAGATCATGCAGCCCCTAATAAACGATAAAGTGGACATTGGCTCTCCCTGTAAACTTGAAGGGAGATCACTAAAGAAAAAAGAGAATTCTTAGATTTAACAGCATGGGACAGAAGATGCCCCTATTCATGAATATGAGAAAAAAATGCAGCCTTTTCAGAAATTATTTTCACTGGAGCAGAGCTTCCCAAACTACATTTTAAGGCCTAGCTTCCTTCTGGACCTTGGTCCCCTGGCCTGTGTCCTCTCCTTCATTCACTGTCACCTACCTGGGTGTTTGGCTACTGTCTCATGTATCTTCACTTTGTAGGGCTCCTTTCTTTGCTCCAGATAGATGACCAGGTCTGGGTTAGAGATAGCAACACCTGTTTATTTTAAAAAATTAACATGCTACTGTTAGGGATTCTCCAATTACCTACCTAATACTATACTAAGTAGAAAAGAGAAATTATGGAAGATCCTACATAATTAATCCAAAAATTGTTTCCTGGCAGAATCTTTAAAATATTTAAGTATTTTAAATCTGTGGGTTCTAAGTTCCACTACCAAGTACTACTGAATCAAAATAAGCGGTGCAAATTGTATTTTAAGATGTGGGAAACAATAATTTATGTCATTGAATTTCGAGAATTACCACTAACCTAAAATGGAGGACACAAATTAGCTCAAGAAAAGAGAAGGTTTACGTAAAGATAAAACATCTTAATATTCTTTTTTACACCAGCAAACTCCCAACAGTTTCTTGAAGAAAGAAACTGAAATTCACACAAAGCAGAAGGTTCCCAAGAGACATTCTACAAAAATAGAAAATAAAACTCCCTGAGGGAGTATTAGGAATTATTTACTGAAGTTATCCTCACCCAGGGAGATCAGGTTCCTGTAGTTCTCCAACATCACATCTCTATACAAATTCTGCTGGGCAGGGTCCAGGCATTTCCACTCTTCTGGAGAGAATTCTATGGCCACATCCCTGAATGTTAAGAGTTCCTGAAAATATATATGTATCAAGTGACAGAGTTCTTAATTTGACTACAGGTGAAATGAGTTAAGAGAACTAGTTCTGACATGTGACTGACTGAGATTATCTGATAAAATAACTTTCAACACAGTAATGTTCTCTAAAGTATTCTATAGCTCTGCAGAAAAAGGATGGCATTCCAACAGTTTCTGTTCCTGCAATAAAAATAACGGGCTACACTGACCTGCCCCTACCAAAACCAAGCAGAGTAGGCCCTGTGACCTCCTGGAAAAAAAGATTTAACTCAGCTCTCATGAAAGTATCTGGAATGCCTCACGCTTGACCTTGGCCTCGCTGTAATATGCGAGGAACTTAATTTAAAAATCAGAAATGTTTCCACCCAGAACAACAGACAGGATCTGTGGGGAGGGCACAGGTGATGATTTCTCTTCAAATTGTCCGTGTGATCCTACTGCAACACTGGGCTGAGAGTCACTTAGCTAAGCGCTGCCTCTCAAGCTTCAATGCGCATAAAAATTATTTTATATTCTCGGCCTCACTGTAACAAAATTTTGCAGGTTTGAAAAGAGTTCATGAATTAGCTTCTTATAGCAAGTCTTCTGTTAATGCTGATGTTCCTCCACCTAGACACATTATATTACCACTCGGCTAGAGAAAGCAGGCACAGCATAGAGTCCCTTACCCCAACACCCTTATCACAACACAAATACTTTTCATCCCAAGACAAGACCACAAATCATCATCCTGAAGCACAGCATTCTCTGGAGGCCGTTTAAAGTTTACAGAGGCTGGAGATGGTGTCAATGTCTGAGTAAGTCTGCATTTGAAAAACAACATGTGGTCCAGGGGTGGTGGCTCATGCCTGTAATCCCAGCACTTTGGAAGGCCGTGGTGGGGGGATCACAAGGTCAGGAGTTTGAGACCACCCTGGCCAATATGGTGAAACCCTGTCTCTACTAAAAATACAAAAATTAACCAGGCATAGTGGCGTGCGCCTGTAATCCCAGCTACTCAGGAGGCTGAGGCAGAAAAGTCACTTGAATCCGGGAGCTGGAGGTTGCAGTGAGCCAAGACCATGCCACTGCACTCCGCCTGGGCGACAGCGAGACTCCATCTCAAAAAAAAAAAAAACAACAAAAAACAACATGTGCGCCTGCATTAATGCGGTATTTATGGAGCATGTACTATGTGCTCAGGAGTATGTCACAGAGCACTGTGCTAAGACACTCACATTATGTGTAAATTCTTAGGACATCCTGGGAGGTGGGCACTAAGTGTCCAATACTTCCCAGGATTTAAATACAGGGCCCAGAATTACCATTTCCTTTCTATTTTCCTACAATTGATTTGTTTTTTAAAGGTATAGAATAACCGGTCAATATAAATAGATCACAAAGAAACAAAGGATGTATTAAATGCAATTCAGAGAAATTTATTTTTGTGTTGTATTTAAGATTTGTAAAAAAAAAAAAAAAAAAAAAAAAACTGCAGGGATGGAGAACAGGTTGCTGGATGAGATGTCTCTAGAAACACTGGTTTTAATTTTATAAAAAAGAATTTAAGGCACAAAAGTATATTGCTTTTCCCCATTTATCTGCTTTTGTGTTTCAGGAAATTGGGAGCACCAGCTTTGGAGAGGCAGTAGGAGTAGTCACTCCAAACTCTGATCTCCTCTAAGCAGTTCCGAGAGATTTCAGTGTGGGGTCAGACCTGGACAAGGTTCAGTAGAGGGTGGATCTGGGCAGGGTTAGGACAGAGAGTGGGCCCTAGACTTCTGTTCTCTATGCCGCTAAGTTTTTTCAGTTTTGTCTTTTCTAAGCCTCCCCAAGAGAAATTTGATTCCCAGATTTTATGAAATTTTAATCTATTTTAGCCACTTCTCTGTGTCTTTAATAACATACAACAAGGAATTTAACCAAATCCCTTATGTTTCTCTAGCACAATTATATTAGAAGCTAAATATTTATTCTTAGCAAGGTAAAGACAATACAACTTCTCTTCTGTCAATTAATAGTCATTCAGGTGGTGGCATCAAAACTCACAAAACAATAAAAGGGAAGTAACCCAAATGAAGCTTAAGTGTCCTGTACAATTTCCATCTTTGTACTGAACATATGATGCTGAATTCAACCATTTATTCATGTGCTCCAGACTGCAAGTTCCTTGAGGGTAGGGACCATGACTGCATCACCTCTTTTTCTAATGGACCATATGAAATAGAAGTAATTAGCTTATGGATTAGTTTGAGTCTCCGGATCTCACTTTTCACCAAAAAAAAAAACTAGAAACCTGGAGCAACTCTTATTTGGGTACAAACCAAGGAGATTCTTTGAGGGGAGAAACAAACCCTGAATAAGTCATTTATCTTCCTCTAAAATGGGAGCAGAATTAGACCTTGCTGTCAGACTGACCCCAGTCTGCACAGGACATCCGCAGATGTCTCAAATACAGGTGCTGGTTGAGTGTCCCCAGTGACCTTGGGCTGATATCCCCATAGTGATCCAGGCAGGAGAGATTCAGGCTCAATTAGTGGGATGCAAACAGAAAATGAAACAGCCCTGGTGAAGCTGCAGATCCTGGATCCAGACGTGATAGCCCCTGTCCCTGATCAGCTAACTCTGAGGCAAGGGGAAGGACAAAACTACTCTACTCCAGTAAGAGTTTACGGGGAGGCATTGTTGTGACTTTGGCTCTGAATATTTTGTGGCCCTGAACTCCCACTGCTAAGGTGCTTTTTTACACTTAACAGATTCTGCCACAGGATTCTTCTGTTCCCACCAGAAGCCTCCCACACAACTATATCAGGTCACTGGACAAGATCTGGAAAACTCAAAGAGCTCCACCTATGTTGACCTCTCATGATGTAGAAAATGTCTTCTATGAGTTTTCTGTTATGTCTTCAGCCCAAAGTCTGGTCCTGTCTTGTGAATCCTAGGCAGAAGTCAGTTTTTATGTGCATATTCTAGGTGGGATCAATGTGCCTCAGCATTCTTAGGGGTTACAGTAAGCAGAGTAAAACCAGAGGTAAGATTCTCTCATGGAGGCTCCTTCAACACATTCTAAAGAATATTTTGACCTAAAAGGAAAAACCTGGGGTAAACACAAGTAGAAAGTTTATTTGGGCCAAAACTTGAAGATGCAACACTGGAATATAAAGGTGCCCTGAATATACGCTCCAATTAGAAGCAGTTATGAGTATATATACACATATATACACATATGTGTATATATATATACACATATGTACACATATGTGTATATATATATACACATATATACACATATGTGTATATATATATATATACACATATGTGTATATATATATACACATATATACACATATGTGTGTATATATACACACATATACGTATATATGTGTATATATACATATATACACATATATATGTATATATATAGTTTTATATATATAATTTATATATAAATATATATTTATAAATTATTTATATATAAATAATATATTTGTATATATTTATATATTACATATGTAAATTATATATATAATTTTTATATACATAAATATATATACTTTTTTTTTTTTTTTTAAAGAGATGGAGTTTCCCTCTTGTTGCCCAGGCTGGAGTGCAATGGCACGATATCAGCTGACCGCAACCTCTGGCTCCTGGATTCCAATGATTCTCCAGCCTCAGCCTCCCAAGTAGCTGGGATTACAGGCATGCGCCACCATGCCGGCTAATTTTTTTTTTTTTTTTTTTTAAGTAGAGACGGGGTTTCACCATGTTGGCCAGTCTGGTCTCGAACTCCGGACCTCAGGTGATCCGCCTGCCTCGGCCTCCCAAAGTGCTAGGATTACAGGCGTGAGCCACCATGCCCAGCTGACGAGTATATTTTTAAAGGCAAAAAGGGAGGCAGAGAGGGAACTGATAGAAAGTTGTCAGAAATTCTTATTGGCTTATAGAAGTAAGTGGTTAGTGACTGGCTATATACATTAACATATAAGGTGTGGGTTATAGTGTCAAGTATGAAATTATTAGGTTAATTTATAGCCATTTGTGGCCAGGCATGGTGGCTCACGCCGGTAATCCCAGCACTTTGGGAGGCCGAGGCAGAGGGATCAAGAGGTCAGGAGATTGAGACCATCCTGGCTAACACGGTGAAACCCCGTCTCAGCTAAAAAATACAAAAAATTAGCCAGGCATGGTGGTGGGTGCCTGTAGTCCCAGCTACTCAGGAGGCTGAGACAGGAGAATCACTTGAACTCAGGGGGCAGAGGTTGTAGTGAGCAACCACTGCACTCCAGCCTGGGAGACAGAATGAGACTCTGTCTCAAAAAAAAAAAAAAAAAAAAGAAAAGAAAAGAAAAAATTATAGCCATTTGTGGCAATAGCACACAATTACAAAAGACAAATAGTTCAAAGAGGGGAACAGTACATGACTGTGGTCTCATTTTAACACATCACTGGGTCTGATCATTAAAATAACTTGTATTTCTCAGATAAAAGTTCTGTGCTTCTCTCAAATCCCAGGACATAAATTCAGAATTTGGAACTACATATTTAAGACTTGGAGGGCTGGTGAGCTATGCACATTTGTGGGCATTTGGGCAAAGGGAGAAGGGAGTTGAAGTTCTCAGGTTTACCCTAGAAGAAAACCTAAGCAATATCATTCAGGACATAGGCATGGGCAAGGACTTCACGTCTAAAACACCAAAAGCAATGGCAACAAAAGCCAAAATTGACAAATGGGATCTAATTAAACTAAAGAGCTTCTGCACAGCAAAAGAAACTACCATCAGAGTGAACAGGCAACCTACAGAATGGGAGAAAATTTTTGCAATCTACTCATCTGACAAAGAGCTAATATCCAGAATCTACAAAGAATTCAAACAAATTTACAAGAAAAAAACAACCCCATCAACAAGTGGGCGAAGGATATGAATAGACACTTCTCAAAAGAAGACATTTAGGTAGCCAAGAGACACGTGAAAAAATGCTCATCATCACTGGCCATCAGAGAAAATGCAAATCAAAACCACAATGAGATACCATCTCACACCAGTTAGAATGGCGATCATTAAAAAGTCAGGAAACGACAGGTGCTGGAGAGGATGTGGAGAAATAGGAACACTTTTACACTGTTGGTGGGACTGTAAACTAGTTCAACCATTGTGGAAGACAGTGTGGCGATTCCTCAGGGATCTAGAACTAGAAATACCATTTGACCCAGCCATCTCATTACTGGGTATATATCCAAAGGATTATATATCATGCTGCTATAAAGACACATGCACATGTATGTTTATTGTGGCACTATTCACAATAGCAAAGACTTGGAACCAACCAAAATGTCCAACAATGATAGACTAGATTAAGAAAACGTGGCACATATACACCATGGAATACTATGCAGCCATAAAAAATGATGAGTTCGTGTCCTTTGTAGGGACATGGATGAAGCTGGAAACCATCATTCTCAGCAAACTATCACAAGGACAAAAAACCAAACACCGCATGTTCTCATTCATAGGTGGGAGTTGAACAATGAGAACACGTGGACACAGGATGGGGAACATCACACACCAGAGCCTGTTGTGGGGTGGGAGGAGTGGGGAGGGACAGCATTAGGAGATATACCTAATATAAATGACGAGTTAATGGGTGCAGTACACCAACATGGCACATGTATACATATGTAACAAACCTGCACGTTGTGCACATGTACCCTAGAACTTAATGTATAATAAAAAATATATAGACAGATAGATATAAAAAAGAAGTTCTCAGGTTTAATCAATGCACATGTGTGATCCTGATTGGGATTATGGGCCCCATGATCACGGAATCAGTGTCAGATTTGAAGATGCCAGGCACACTGACGAAGGAGGAATAACTGATTGCAGTACTAAAAAGTTATTTTTGTAGAAATCCAGTATAACTGTTATAGAAGCGACTGTAGATAGAAGGAGAGACCATTCTGTTTCCAGATTTGGGGAGCACTTTGCTGCACTTTGTGCACCTTGCCACCAAATTATGGGTTGTGAGTGGAATCCTGAGAAAGGTTTTTCTCTAAAGTGAAGCCTAGAGGGCACTTGTGTATAATGTCTGGTGATTCTGGACAGTGTGAGGAAAAATATAACTAAAAGCAAAATCATCTCCAATCCTAAAAAACTCCACAATAATAGAGAAGTAAGAAAATGTTTTGTTACATAATTAAACCAAAATGTGATGTGCATCATAGGCAATCTACTAAGAGACTACAAACACAGAAACTCACCATAATTCTCAAGTAGAAGACATGACAGCACCATTTGTCATATACGGCTTATTGTAATTTCACCTAGTAATCTGAGAACTCATCTGGGTTTTCTAATTGGTAATATTTATAGAAAAAATAAACTTCCAACATCTTCATGACAGGAGGCAGATTTGCAACGTGAGGCTAGGTACCTGCTGAAGGCAGCCTATTAGTCGCCTACAGAAACTGTGGGATAGGATGCATGTTCTTGCTATTCACTTTTCAAAGCAATAGTTTTCAGGTCCTAGATAAAGACAAGTTTGACTCAAAAAAGACAAATGACTTATTTAACTGACAAAAATGACATATAAATTTTAAAGAAGCAGAGAAAATACTTAAATATAAAAGTTTTCGAGACAGGAGCAGTGGCTCACGCCTGTAATCCCAGCACTTTGGGAGGCCGAGGTGGACAAATTGTAACGCCCAACCTTGTTTCTACTAACCCTGTTTTTAGACTCTCCCTCTTCTTTTAATCACCTAGCCTTGTTTCCACCTGAGTTGACTCTCCCTTAGCTAAGAGCCAGACAGACTCCATCTTGGCTCTTTCACTGGCAGCCCCTTCCTCAAGGACTTAACTTGTGCAAGCTGACTCCCAGCACATCCAAGAATGCAATTAACTGATAAAATACTGTGGCGAGCAATATCCACAGTTCCCAGGAATTCGTCTGATTGATAACGCCCAAAAGCCCCGCGTCTATCACCTTGTAATAATCTTAAAGCCCCTGCACCTGGAACTGTTTACTTTCCTGTAACCATTTATCCTTTTAACTTTTTGCCTACTTTATTTCTGTAAAATTGTTTTAACTAGACCCCCCCTCCCCTTTCTAAACCAAAGTATAAAAGAAAATCTAGCCCCTTCTTCGGGCCGAGAGAACTTTGAGCGTTAGCCGTCTCTTGGCCGCTGGCTAAATAAACGGACTCTTAATTCATCTCAAAGTGTGGCGTTTTCTCTAACTTGCTCAGGTACAACATTAACACCTGAGGTAAGGAGTTCGAGACCAGCCTGGCCAACATGGTGAAACTCCCTCTCTACTAAAATTAGAAAAATTAGCTGGGCGTGGTGGCACAGGCCTGTAATCCAGCTACTCAGGAGGCTGAGGCAGGAGAATTGTTTGAACTCGGGAGGTGGAGGTTGCAGTGAGCCGATATCACGGCACTGCCCTCCAGCCTGGGCAACAGAGTGAGACTCCGGCTCAAGAAAACAAAACAAAAAATGTTTTCAAACTAAATGCTTTAAGAAAAGGGAGAAGAGCAAAAATTATTCCCTCATTCTAAAGAGAGACCATTAAGCCGCGTCTAATTTGGGTTTGCTCCTGCAACAGCCAGGTTTAAAGGCATGGTCTTGAAGTCACTAACGTCTGAATTCTCGCAGGCAAGTGAGGGATGGACTTGGGCACACTGTGTGCACAGGAAATAAGATTTGTGAGGAAGAAAAAAGCAGAAGAGAGAAAGGAGCTATCAAGAGTCATGGTGGGGACAGGGCAGGACTGACTAAATAAAAGACTAGTTTGTGCTACAAGTGCAGGTCTAGGCAGGGTTACCATCTGACTGATTCATGTGTCCATAAAGGCAGAGGAGATTAGGATCAGGTGGTCCAGAAGCCTGGGTGGGGGAAGGAAACAGGTTCCTGCTATAGATCCAGTGTCTGGGGTTGAAATGAGCCAGGAGTCTTCCTGGCACTGTGTGTGTTATTGGCAGAATACCCTAGGAGCAAAGCTGTCACGGGCACAATTCCTGAGGGTAGAACCCTGTCCTGGGAGGAGTGTGGCAATGCGAATGGCCAGTGAGCGTCCTCGGGAGTGGGTTAGCATTAAGTGGGGGCTGGCAGCAGGGTGCAGGGAAGGGATGTTTCTCAGAACTCCTTTCCTCTAAGTTCCCAGTCCCTTCTCTCCCCGGAAGGAGACCTGGAGGAAAAGGACAGTGCCCAGCGGGACAGCACATGTGCAGAACCCGGCCGCGCCTCCCGCAGACACCAGGCATCTTTCTCCAGCCCAGGCTCAGCCATGTCTTTCTTCTGACAGAAAACGTGCGGAGTTTGCTCAACATCAGTCAATGCTCCAACCCCAACGCGGTGTCCAGCAACTCACTAACGACACCACCCAGAGTCAGCGAAGACCCCACAAGCTCAGCGCTCTTCCCGCAGCTGCCCCCCCCCTGCAGACGGCAGTCCCTGCCTCTGGACACCCGTCTTCATTTCTGAACGCCTGCCTACAAACCAGGGGCGCCCACACCCTCCTCAAGTTCAATAATGTGGCAGAACTACTCACAGAACTCAGCGAAGCGCTGTGCGCGCCCACACCAGCGTATTCTAAAAGATGCCACTCAGGAACAGCCACGCGGAGGAGGCGCACAGGGCAAGGGGACTGGTGGGCAAGTTGGAGCGGGCGGGTGATTTGCTTCGCTTCCTCACACACCTCACAAAAGCTTTTCCTTCAAGACCCGCTGGCAGCCCCCAAACCACAAGCCATGCCCGGGGCTGTCCCATTAATTAGTCCCCATTTGCTCACATGAACTCTATGTTTTGATAGGGCCTCGATCTTATTCCGAACAGGGTAAAGTAGGGACTCGACGACCGGACCACAGCTCCTCCCAGGCGGGCACCTCGCACGCCACGCAGGCGTTTTCCCGATGAGCTCCTCCTCACCCCACAGCCCAGGGAAGGTGCGGGGCTGCGGGCGCAGAGCTGCACAAGTAGGGCTGCAGGCTGGGCCAAAGCCGCCTTGCGGGGACCGACATGAACCCGGGTCCCTCACCGGAAGGGACCAAGGACTGAGGGCTGAGCGGCGGCAGCGGAGACTCCGTTCGCAGACTCCGTCCCGCCGCCGCCATTTCCCGCCGGTTCGGATGAGGCCTCCCCAGCCTTGGGACGCCCTGCCCCCACACTCACCATTTCCCCACTTCAGGGGTGTAGCGGAGTCTCAGCTACGAATCATCCAATACCCGCAGGTCACAGAGCGACGGAGGCTGAGGCTGTGACCGAATCACCGACGCCTCCCTGAGGGGTGAAAGCACGGCCGTGGAGACCCTAACCGAGCTCACGCTGGCGCAAAAGGCAAAAGCCGCGCCAGATCCCGGATGCCGCCCCCTCCTCTCCGGCTGCGCGCCTGATTGGGCAGTTCTCAATCCAGCGCTCTGATTGGATAAGATACCAAGCTCCCCACGCTCAGAATTTGAGTGACAGAACTTGCCACCACACAGTGCACTTAATGAGGCAAGAGAGACAGACTCGTGCCTCCAGGTATTTTCAGTCAGGGCTTTCTGTGCTAGGCTTGGCTCTGTTGGGGGTTCATTTTTAACCTTCTGGTGTGTAAGGTTACGCCCATTTATAAATTGTGTACGTACGCGCGCGCACACACACAGACACACACTTGTTCACAAATGGAAACAATATAATGACAATTATTTTAATATTTTAGATTTCATAACCTCTCTGTCCTCTGGTCTTTTGAGTAGGATTTTAAGGGGGAAGCAATCCTTTAAAAAATAAAATGTTAGCTATTTGTGAATTTTCAATTTTTTATTAGCCACATCAAAAATAATAAAAAGAAACAAGTGAAATTGTTTATATTTTAACCTATTGTATCCAAAATATTGTTTCAATATGTGATCAATATATAATTAGAAATAAAGTATATTTCTGATTTAATTCGTCTAAACTCACTGTGTATTTTATGTTTGCAGCACATTTTACCTCAAACCAGCCACATTCCAGGTACTCAGTAGCTACATATGTCTGGTGGCTGCCACATCGAGTACAGCCATGAGGGCTCTGACCTCAAGAAAGTGAGGGCCTGAACACGTCTTTTCTACTGGAAGTAAGGGACCAGCCTCTCTACCAACTTTTCTCCTCAGGATGAAGGATGGGTAGGACAGTGCCCCTAGAGAGAGCAGGGGCTGCAAGCTGAGAGTGTCCACGTGAAGATCACTGTCTCCCCCTTGCTGTTTGGTACCAGTGTGGTGGTCTCCTCAGTTCAACCACGTCTGGGCTCTCTTCCCATGACCAGGAAGAATAAGACATACAGACACCAGAGAGTGAGTAAAGCAGAATAGGATTTATTAAGCATAGGGAAAGCTCTCAGCAGTAAGAGGGGACATGAAAGCAGGGTGCCAGAAATGGGGCTGAGTTTATATGGCAAGAACAAGGAAGTCTTCTGTGGGCTCTGCCCAAATGGGAGGGGTAAAGTTCCCCTATAACAGTGTTGCATCTGAGCATGCCTGGGATTGACCACAGTGACTCCGTCTTGGTTATTACCCATGAGTGCCCAAGCGAAACCCACAGCAGGTGGAAAGGGTGAAGCTAAAACCAAAATACTTATGTCATGTTAGGTAACATTATAAGGAGCTGGGTCAAGTTAATGACATTTAGGTTGATTTATTACACCTGGGCCTAAGTGGGGACAGTCCCTTCTGATCAACATCCTGGCATAAGAGGAAGTTCTTAACCACATTTCTTCCCACTAGCTACAAGGGTGGTGCATGTGCGGTCCCATGGGTGTTTTTCCTCTCCAGAGACCCTCCCTCCCTATCTTCCTAACTAGCTTCTGACTGCCTCCTCTCTCAGGGGTTCCTCTTCCTTTTAAATATCAGACAGTAAACAAGGAATGATGGGTCCACAGGAAGAGAGAGCACCATGTATTCAGATCTCTTCACAGCCTTGCCCTCCAGAGTTTAGATGTGGAGGGAATAGATTAAAGGCAAATTTCTTGTTTTGCTATTTATCTTTGGACCTGTCAGGCTGTAACTGTGTGTTTTTCTCCTGTGGTGTGGGGCACTGTGTGAGTTTAAGCACCAATCACATGCATCCACTTCTACCTGCACTTCTGTTCCCAGAAGGAAGGCCGTGAGTGTGAGTTGTCCAGGTCCTTGATATTTTGAACAAAGAATTGAACAAAATGCAAAATGGAACGAAACACATGAAGGAAACAGCAAAAGCAGGGGTTTATTAAAGCAAGAAAGCACTCCACGGGATGGGTGTGAGCCCCAGCAAGCAGCTCAAGGACCCGGTTACAAAGTTATCTGGGTTTTAAGTACTCCTTTTGAGGTCCCTATCAGCTACCCCTTATCTGGATGAAAGATTTGGTCCGTGGCTAATCAAAGGCTGAGGTGAATTGGTACCCCATGCAGATGAAGGCATGGCCTGTGCTTGGCCCACGGCCACTCCAAGTCACTCTCCTTTTCTATCAGAGAACTGGTGCAAAGGAGAGGGTTGTAGCAACAGTCACCTTTGATCCTTTGCTACTCAGGTGTAGATGAGGTTTTCCTTTTGGTTTAGATGTAGGAAGTTCACGTTAATTGGCCTTAGGTTCCCTGCTCCCAGACCTTGGTGTTTCTTCTTTAGGAATTCAGCACGAATTGGCCTTAAGTTCCCTGCCTCCAGACCCTATTCTCTTGCCTCACTTCTATATAAGTCAATACCATCTTACAACAAATTTAACTTTAAATAAAGGAAACACAATATCAATACTTACAGGGTGCCAAGCATTTGCAGGTTATTTGTAATCAATCTGTCCTGGAATCCTGGAATCCTGTCTTTAATGGGTGTATATATTACTAAGCTATAACTGCATAACAATCCTGAAACATACTAGCTCAGGGTTGAGCTGGTTAGAAATTTAGGCTGGGCTTAGCTGGGCCATTCTTCTGGGCTCAGTTTGGCTCCTTCAGGTGTGAGTGGTCAGATGCTGGTGAATTAGGTGGCTCTGCTTCTGGGAGTGAGCTGTCTGTAAACTGGCGCACTTTGGCTTTCCTCAGCATGCTATTTTATCCTCCAGAAAGTTAAAATGGGCTTGTTCTCATAGAGATGGAAGAATTCTGAAAAAGATAACAGAAGCATTTAAGACCTTTTGAACCTGGGCCCCAAACTGGCACACTGTCATATGCACAGCTTCGGCCTGTGCAAATAAGTCAAGAGAGATTCAAGTTTGGGAAACAGAATCTGTTTCTTGATAGGAACAACTATAAAAGCCATTTCCAAGAACATGAATACAATAAGAATTTTTTTAATTGCTGTTTTTGCGATCAATTTTATCATGACTTTTCTTGCAGATGTGGCTTATATAACTATCCCACAGCTACCAAGCAGCTGGCTTGGACTCAGGATTGATGCTTCCCTAACTCTGAAGCCCCTGCACCTCCATAGACCACACTACTCAGCCAGCTTTTCGTGTCCTTCACGGGGCTGAAGAGTGACACTTCTGAAATAGAAGCAAGATTTTTTTTTTTTTTAGAATCTCATCCCATCCACCCCTTACTCTTCACCATTGGAAATAATTCACTCCAGGGAATGGTTCTGAAGTCTCTTGGAAAAACTGGCAACAATTTGAGGAAATTGCTGAGCATTGGGTTTAGGAAATTAATGCCCAACGTTACATTTTTAATTTATCATAGGAGAAATTTGAAAACACCTATAATGCACTCAACATAGCTGCAAACTCTTTATTTTTTGTATTTGTAGACTATTTATGATTTTTAATATAGACTAAATCAAATTACTGTTCCTGAAACAACTTTTGCTCTGCAGGCAAGTGACATAGCAATAGGGCTGCTGATATTTTTTCCTGCTGCAATTTAGCCAACCAGCAGAGTATGCTTTGAAGGGCCAAGATGTTTTCTAAGACCCCACATTTAGGAGCAGCTATAGGGCAAATACCTAGAGCACACATAGAAATCACACATAACCAATTCATTCCTTGCCCTGAATCAATGCTTCTCACCCTTGGATGCACATTAGCCTGTTGTGCATGTAGGTGGTGGTATTTAAAGTTCCCAAACCCAAATTGCAAGGGAATAATTAAGCCAGAATCCCTAGCTTAAGACCCAGGCAAAAGCCAGTGTGATTTAAAGCTCTCCAGGTGATTACAATATGCAACCATACTCCCAAATGTCTGCTGTAAACCAACATCTTTCAGAGAACCAGTTGAAAATATTTCTCAAATTAATGTAAAAAGTGTTTGCTGTTGAGTTGTGGCCTTTCAGTCTTACTCATATTACCCACATTCTTTCCTTTGCAAAACTGACCTCTGCTACTTGTTTTGTTCCTGATTCAAACCAGTTCCACACACACTGAGTGCACACTGTGTGCAGCCCACTGTGCTAGGTGAATATTGTTGTGGAGGAAGGACTTTGCTGTAAGAAATTTACATTCCCCAAAACTAAAACCATGCTACTTACTCAATTGAAATAAAAAATGAAAGACTGAGGGGGACTCCCAAGGGTCAAGACATGTATGCATACCTTGGAATATTAGTATCCATCTCATGATGACTGAATGTAAATGCTCCACTATTTTTTTTTTTTTGATATGCAGTCTCACTCTGTTGCCCAGGTTGGAGTGCAGTGGACCGCGCCTGGCCAATGCCCCACTTTCAAACAAAACAATACGAAACATTGCTATTATTCTGAAATATTAAGTTAGTATTAAATATGTAATATTTACATTTTTATTGATGTATAACATACATACAGAAATGCATCCACAATGAAATATTAATGTAATGCTCAATAATTTATAACAAAGCTAATACATTCGTGTAACTATAGAATGGAACTACCCTTGTTTTTCCCCACAAACCACTTCTTCTTTTCCTTCCCCCCAAATCTAACCACAATCTTGAGCTAATGTTATAGATGGTTGTCTTTTTAGAAAAGTCTTTTATTAGAGAATATTTTAAACTTATACACAGTAACCAATATAGTATAATAGGCTGATGCTCAGCCTCAACATCTACTAATTTTGTCTCATTTATGTTTAATTTCTTCTTCACTTTTTTTTCTTTTTTTTTTTTTCAGACAGAGTCTTGCTCTTGTCGCCCTGGCTGGAGTGCTGTGGCGCGATCTGGGCTCACTGCAAGCTCCACCTCCCGGGTTCACTCCATTCTCCTGCCTCAGCCTCCCAGGTAGCTGGGACTACAGGTGCCCACCACCACACCTGGCTAATTTTTTGTATTTTTAGTAGAGATGGGGTTTCACCATGTTAGCCAGGATGGTCTCGATCTCCTGACCTCATGATCCACCTGCCTTGGCCTCCCAAAGTGCTAGGATTACAGGTGTGAGCCACCACACCCAGCCTCCCATCTCCACTTTATTATTGTTTTTAGTTATTTTCTGTAAGATAAGATGTATATGCATTGAAACATACAGTCTTTACTGTACCTTTTTGACAAATCAATACATCCATATAACCTTTTCTCTTTCAATCATAGAATTACTGCCACTTAACAATTATTAATATGCATGTGAATTACCTGGAAATATTTGAAATCCAGATTTTGATACAATATATCTGGGTTTTGCCTGAAAATGTGTATTTCTAACAAAGTACAGATTCATAGAGCACATGATAACTACAAGGTCTATTTTGTCTAAAGTGTATAAAACTTGATGAATAAAATTAAGAAAAATTGACCTCAGAGGAACAAATCAAAATGCATGTGCAATATGCTATCTGTAGGAGCATTTCATCAACAATGACTCACAGTCATGTGTGACCTTTACTGAATTGCCCAAAATTCAGTCATTTATACCAAGTGCACTTAAATTTCATAATTTCCTATTAAAATTATATTTAATGCCTTTACAAAATCTAACAGTTTTCTTATAAAATTAAGTAACAATATTTGATATGACATTATAAGTTCCATTTATATTAAACTTAAACTTACATAATTTTATTAGACTGTGTCTATGCATCTACCACTGGATATCCTTTTGGCTTCCAGCATTTGCACAGGCACCACAGCTGAGAAGCACAGGACAGATTCACTAGACACAGGATGTTCCCTGCATCTTTATCTCTAAAGTTCATCAGTTAGCCAAGTCAGGTGAGAATTGAGGTCATGTATTCGCTACCATATAGTGTCTCATGGACCCTCTCTTTAGAGGGAAAAGAGACTAGAAGATTCTTTTAGGGAGCAGTTCCTGGGACAAGGGCTAAGCTGCCTAAGGAGTGAGCATTCTGTCCAGCAGGTACAGACTTCTCAGAAGAGAAAGACGAGGCAGCCATTCTGAACCTGGAGCTCCATTGCCCCTTGTCCCATCTCATTAAGACAATTCTGAGGGGTTGTTCTGGAACATGTCTGGATGATGGCAGTTAAAAGACAGTATGAGCTTTGATGGGACTTGGGTAAGGTCTGTCATTGGAAGGTAGGAGGCCAATGCTCAGCCTCTCAGTTTGTGTTCTTGAGGACAAAGGGTTGCCATTTTAGGCCCTAGTCCATTTTCACTAAAGAGTAGGCTAGAGAGTCTGCATGGCTCCCAGATTCCATTTATGATTATTTCAGGGGGTGGGGTCAGGAAGGGTCTAAGTCTCAACATCTTTGGGAAATTCTGGAAAGCCTGTTTTGGAAACCCGGAAAGAACTCTTGCCTGGTGCCTGAATGCTTGATTTGCTGTTCTGCATTTATATATTCTTCGCAGCCAGATAGCCAGGTTTGCATTCACACCGACAGAGCTGTGAGTCACAGGTTGAAGTGGCCAGAATGAGTGTCTTGGTGGCAGGCTAGGGTACATTATGATAGCAAACTTCAAGACTGTTTACATGCAGCTTGGCAATCAGGGTTGAGTCCTAGCCCAGGTGCTTAGATGCAGCATGGGGCCAATCAATAAATCACGTCCAATCCTTCAGCTGTCTATGAGGTAAAAGGGAGCCCAGTTCATGTCTTGACTGGGGGGCTCTACCAGGTGTTTAGATGACACCCTGGATTTCTTGACTTCTGACTTACTTATAAGAACAGATTCAGGACAGTTGTATTCTTGGATGTGTGAACTGTCATTACCCTGCTAGGATAATGTGAGACAGATTGCATTAAAATAGAAGGTGTTAGAAACCCCTGACAATAGGGAGAAAAATCACAAACTCAATTAAAAAATACACAGAACTTATTTAAAAAATTACACATTAAAATAAGTTGGCCGGGCGCAGTGGCTCACACCTGTAATCCCAGCACTTGGGAGGCGAGGTGGGTGGATCACAAGGTCAGGAGATTGAGACCATCCTGGCTAACATGGTGAAACCCCATCCCTACTAAAAATACAAAAAGAAAATTAGCCTGGAGTGGTGGCAGGTGCCTGTAGTCCCAGCTGCTCTGGAGGCTGAGGTGGGAAAATGATGTGAACCCGGGAGGCGGAGCTTGCAGTGAGCCGAGATGGCACCACTGCACTCCAGCCTGGGCGACGGAGCAAGACTCCATCTCAAAAAAAAAAAAAGAAGTAAAAATGGCCATTTTGCTGGGCGTGGTGGCTCACGCCTGTAATCCCAGCACTTTGGGAGGCTGAGGTGGGTGGATCACCTGAGGTCAGGAGTTCGAGACCAGCCTGACCAACATGGAGAAACCCCGTCTCTATTAAAAATACAAAATTAACCAGGCTTTGTGGCACATGCCTGTAGTCCCAGCTACTCGGGAGGCTGAGGCAGGAGAATCACTTGAACCCTGGAGGTGGAGGTTGCAGTGAGCGGAGATCGTGCCATTACACTCCAGCCTGGGCAACAAGAGGGAAACTCCATCTCAGAAAAAAAAAAAAAAAAAGGCCATTTTTCACAAGGCGCCCAACTTCAATGTGGTTAGAAAAAAAAGCTCCAAAATATATGAATTTTGTCTGGCATCACTTTGGGAAATTAAATGTTTTCTAACATTGTCTCTTTTTATGAGCAGTAGAAACACACTGTTCATGCTTGTAAAGTGTATAAACGGTCAATAACCTTTTGAAAGATAATTTGAAAATATGTATCAAGAGTTGAAAGAAGCCAAGCACGATAGCTCACACCTGTAATTTCAGCACTTTGAGAGGGGAAGGTGGGTGACTTGCCTGAATCCAGGAGTTCAAGATCAGGCTGAGCTACATGGCAAAAACCCCTATTTTTGCATATAAAAAATGCAAAAAATGGCCAAGTGTGGTGGCTCACACCTGTAATCCTAGCACTTTGGGAGGCTGAGGTGGGAAGATTACAAGGTCAGGAGTTCGAGACCAGTCTGGCCAACATGGTGAAACCCCGTCTCTACTGAAGATACAAAAATTAGTGGGGCCTGGTGGCACACACCTGTAGTCCCAGCTACTCGGAAGGCTAAGGCAGGAGAATCACTTGAACCCGGGAGGTGGAGATTGCAGTGAGCAGAGATTGCACCACTGCACTCCAGCCTGGGTGACAGAGTGAGACTCTGTTTCAAAAAAAAAAAATGCAAAAACTACCGTGGTGTTGTGGTCTGAGCCTGCAGTTCCAGCTACTTGAGAGGCTGAGGTGAGAAGATCAGTTGAGTTTGGGAGGTATAGGTCCTAGGAGCTGAGATTGTGTCATTGCACTTCAGCCTGGGCAACAGAGTGAAACCACATTTAAAAATAAAAAAGAAGTTGAGAGTTACATGTTCTTGCATAAAGGATTCTACCTGTTGAAGGACATTTCATAAGAAACTTGAGCATCTGCACAGAGATGCTCACACTAGCATGTTGTTGGTGGGCATATACATAATCAATAAATAAGAAGAAACAAGTGGAAGTAAAAAAAGAAAAAGAAGAAGGAAAAGAAGGAGGAAGAGGAGGAGGAGAAGAAGAAGGAGGAGGAGGAGGAAGAAGAAGAAGAAGGGGTGCACACATATACGTGAATTTTTTTTGGTCATGAACACCTAGAAAATATCTTTCTTGACATTAGGAAAGAATTGGGAAAGAATTTTTGGCCAAGTTCCCAAAAGCAATTGAAAGAAAAACAAACATTGACAAACAGGACCTAATTAAACTAAAAAGCTTCTGCACAGCAAAAGAAGCTATCCACAGAGTAAACAGAAAATTTATAGAATGAAAGAAAATCTTTGAAAACTATGCATCTGACAAAGACCTAATTTCCAGAATCTGTAAGAAATGTAAACAACCAAAAAAGCAAACCAAAACAAAATAAGCCTATTTTAAAATGAGCAAAAACATGAACAGATACTTATCAAAGGAGAATTTACAGGCACCCAACAAACATGAAAATATGCTCCACATCACTAATCATCAGAGCAATGCAAATCAAAACCACAGTGAGATAACATCTCACACCAGCCAAAATGGCTATTATTAAAAAGTCAAAAAAAGGAAGATGTTGGTGAGGCTGTGGAAAAAATGGAACACTTATACACTCCTGGTAAGAATGTAAATCAGTTCAGCCACTGTAGAAAGCAGTATGGAGATTTCTCAAAGAACTTAGAACTACCATTTAATCTGGCAATCCCAGTACTGGGTATTTATTCCAAAGAAACCCAATTATTCTACCAAAAAGCTGTCAGTGGATCTACAATTCTGGGGTCTGGAGGATAGTGGCTCTCTTCTCACAGCTCCACTAGGTGGTGCTCCAGTGGGGACTCTTTGTAGGGGCTTCTAACCCCACATTTGCCTTCCATACTGCCCTAGCAGAGGTTCTCCATGAGGGCCCTGCCCCTGCAGCAAACTTCTGCCTAGGCATCCAGGAATTTCCATACATCATCTGAAATCTAAACGGAGGTTCCCAAACCACAATTCCCAACTTCTGTGCACCTGCAGTCTCAACACCAGGTAGAAGATGCCAAGGCTTGGGGCCTCCACCCTCTGAAGCAATAGCCCAAGCTGTCCCTTGGCTCCTTTAAGTCACAGCTGGAGTGGCTAAAACACAGGGCACCAAGTCCCTAAACTGCACACAGCAGAGGGACGCTGGGCCTGGCCCACAAACCATTTTTTATTCCTAAACCTCCGGGCCTGTGATGGGACAGGCTGCCACAAAAGTCTCTGACATGCCCTTGAGACATTTTCCCCATTGTCTTGGTGATTAACTTTTGGCTCCTCATTACTTATGCAAATTTTTGCAGCTGGCTTCAATTTCTCCTCGGAAAATGGGATTTTCTTTTCTATCACATTGTCAGGCTGCATATTTTCCAAACTTCTATGCTCTGTTTCCCTTGTAAAACCGAAAGTCTTTAACAGCACCCAAGTCACTTCTTAAATGCTTTGCTGTTTAGAAATTTCTTCCACCAGATACTCTAAATCATCTCTCTCAAGTTCAAAGTTTCACAAATCTCTAGGACAGGGGCAGAATGCTGCCACTCTCTTCGCTAAAACATAACAAGAGTCATCTTTGCTCCAGTTGCCAACAAGTTCCTTATCTCCATCTGAGACCACCACAGCCTGGATTTTATTGTCCATATCATTATCAGCATTTTGGTCAAACCCATTCAACAAGTCTCTAGGGAGTTCCAAAACTTTCCCACATTTTTCTGTCTTCTTCTGAGCCCTCCAAACTATTCCATCCTCTGCCTGTTACTCAGAACTTCATTTCTGGTTACCTTTTGAGCAGTGTCTCACTCTACTGGTACCAATTTACTGTATTAGACCGTTTTCATTTTCACGCTGCTGATAAAGACATATCCAAGACTGGGCAATTTACAAAAGAAAGAGGTTTAATGGACTTACAGCTCCACAATGCTAGGGAGGCCTCACAATCACGGCGCAAGCTGAAAGGCACATCTCACATGGCAGTGGACAAGAGAAGAGAGCTTGTGCAGGGAAACTCTCCTTTATAAGCAAGCCATCAGATCTCATGAGACTTACTCACTATCACGAGAACAGCATGGAAAAGACCTGCCCCCATGAATCAATACCTCCCACTGGGTCCCTCCCACAACACATGGGAATTCAAAATGAGGGTTGGGTGGGACACAGCCAAACCAAGTCAGGCTCCTCCTGGGCTTCTGTTGTTTTCTGGGTGAATGGGTGATCCCTTCCCCTAGAGGACTCCACCTTAACCCAGCCCCTCCCAGTCAGTAATCTCCCCTACTAGTCCCCCAGATGCTAATTATTGCTCACTTGAGTCTTTCTCACCCTAATTGAAAATTAATGTCTGATTCCTCTCTCTCCCCTGCATAACCTCTGTGAAAAATGTCAGATGCCTTAGACCCAGGAGGTTTCCTGCCTGTATTTCCTTTCCCAGCTCTCTCTCCCAGGTATGTAGACTCCATAAATTCCTTCACACATATGTGTCCAGAGCGTACCCTGTTCCAGCCCCTGGGGATATAGCAGTGAACAAAAAAAAATGCCCCCATCCTGCGGGAGCTTGAGTTCTAGTTGGGGAGACAGATAAGAGTCAAGACGAATAAATAATATGTAAGTGTGATCGATAGCGATAAGGACTGTGGAGAAAAAGAGATTGAGAAAGGAAGACAGTAAATCCCCGGGGGGAGGCAGTTCTGCAACTTTAGAGGCAGATCAGGGAAGACCTCACTGTGAGGGTAACATTTAGGCAAAGGCTTGAAGGAGGTAAGGGAGGGAGCTGTGCAGCTATCTAAAGGAAGAGCAGTCCAGGCAAAAGGAACAGCAGGTGCAGGGGGCCTGGGAAGCCCATATGTTCCAGGAACAGCACAGGGCCAGGGTGGCTGCAGGGCAGCAAATGAGAGGAGGTGCAGTGGGAGGTGAGCTCAGGGGGGTGACGTGCAGGCAACATGGGCCAATTCTCCAGGGTCCTCCGGGTCATCTTAAAGCCTCTGGTTTTTACTCTGATGAGACAGGAAGCCAGTCCATGGTTCTGTGCAGAGCACTGATATGATCTCACCCAGTGTTGGGTTGCAAAGGCACTTCAGGGGTCAACAATGGAAGTGGAGACCAGTTAGGGGGAGAGGGATGAAGGCAATGAGTAGTCATGGGGGATGAGAAGCAATTGAAGGTGGGGCCCACAGGAGGTGGGTGTGAGAGAGGAGGTGAGGACAGTGGCCTGGATCACTAACTGGAAGGATGGGGTTTTGGGAGGAGCAGGTCTGGGGAGGAGGATGCAATGTGGGCAGCCTGCACACAGCACTTACAGCCTTCTCTCCAGCTGTGTGTCAGTGGGTACTTGCCGCTGTGCTTTTGCACATGCTGGCCTCTGTGCCTGCCAGTCATTCCTTGCCCTGGGAGAAGAACTTTAACTGCCCTCTCAAGGGTACCTTCTGTGAATCAGTCCTGTTGGCCTCCACCTCCTCTATCCCTCTCTTTGCTTCATGCACATGCTGGAACTCATGCACATTGCACAACCTCGACCATATTGTGCCCTGGAAGGTGCCCCAGAAATAAGGACAGCGTGCCATCCATCCCTGAAGCCTGTGTTTCTCAGAGTGCCCACACCTCAGAGTGTCCACCACACAGTAAAGGCTCAACCACAGACTGACTGCGGACCTGACTGGGGTCTTGCTCTCCCTTTAACTTTAAGCCCCAATTGGCAGCAATCGCAGAGCTTTGTCCCTCCCTGTGAGCCTGTCTGGCTGTTTATGCTGGATGACATGCACCCCCTCTGCCAGGAGTGCATAGTCTATGGCCTGGCCAGGCAGCCATTGCAGATGAGAAGAGCTTCAACCTCAACTTTATTGTGCTGCTGGGTTTTTTCTGCTGGCTCTTAGCACGTTTCTCATGAGCCATGATTAGCCTCAGGTCTATGGAACCTTCTGCAGCTATGTCATGGTGACTGAGGACATCATCTGAAGCATGTGCCACTGCTACCCCAAGGCAGGTGTTGGTGAGGCTGTGTGGGGATAGGAGGGTTGGAGACCATGCCTCTATCTCATAAATGAATTCTTCATCCTTCAATCATCTCCTCATTCTCATTTTGACTCTCTGTTTATTTCTTACTGCTCTCATGAGCATTCATCCATCCATCCATGTTTCCATCCATACTTTCATCCACCCATCCATTCATCTATTCATCCATCACTTAGCAGAGGGGTTGATCAGAAGCCCCCAGGATCTGAAACCATGAAACAAATACCATGGAAGGGAAGAAATGAAGCACAACACATTACTCACGTGCTTAAACTAAAAGACAATGAGTGCTTTAAAGCTGAGGCTGAGAAAGTGAGGTTCTATAGCTGAGTGGCAGGGTTTGGATTGGAGCTCAGATGTGCAAATGTAGGCATCATTCTTGTTTTTGATTTCTCCATTTCAGGGTCCCAGAGCTTTCTGGGGTGGGTCAGGTCTAATCTTGGTGGAATGCATTAAGCAATTCCTTTTTTTTTTTTTTTTTTTTTGAGATGGAGTCTCACTCTGTCGCCAGGCTAAAGTGCAGTGGCACAATCTTGGCTCACGGCAACCTCTGCCTCCTGCTTACAAGCAATTCTCCTGCCTCAGCCTCCCAAGTAGCTGGGACTACAGGTGCACACCACCACACCTGGCTAATTCTTGTATCTTTAGTAGAGAGGGAGTTTCACCACGTTGGCCAGGATGGTCTTGATCTCTTGACCTCGTGATCCGCCTGCCTTGGCCTCCCAAAGTGCTGGGATTACAGGCGTGAGCCACCGCATGTGGCCTGAGCAATTCTTTATCTTTTGGAGTCTTAATGTATTCCTAGCCCTAGGAGTGATTTAGGATGGGAAAAGCACTGGTATGAGAGTCTTGTGTTCTATTCCCAGTTCTGTCGCAAACTTTGTGTGTGATTTTTGTCTTTCTGAGCCTCAGCTTTTTATCTGAAAAATGGGACTCAAGCCTCTGTTTTGCACAGCCTCACAGGGTATAAAGATCAGAGAAGAGATTATAGAGAAGACAATTTTGTAAACTCTACAGTGTTGTAGGTAGGTGAAAGGCTGCCAGGTACTGATAACCCTGAGAGAAGGACATGTCAGCTCCAAAATCAAATCTGTTACTTTTTCATTTTTATTTTTAACTTTAGACACAAAAATGTTTCCTTTTTCTTGAAGTACATGCTTAAGAAGCTCTGATAACAACATGAATGTTTTTCTCTCTCTTTTTTTTTCTGAGATGGAGTCTCACTCCATTGCCCAGGCCGGAGTGCAATGGCGCAACCTTGGCTCACTGTAACCTCTGCCTCCTGGATTCAAGCAATTCTCCTGCCTCAGCCTCCCGAGTAGCTGGGACTACAGGCGCACACCGCCATGCCCAGCTAATTTTTTGTATTTTAGTAGAGACAGGGTTTCACCATGTTGCCCAGGCTGGTCTCGAACTCCTCCACCTGCCTTGGTCTCCCACAGTGCTGGGATTACAGGCATGAGCCACTGTGCCCGGCCCTGTTTTTCTTTTGAAAATATTTTAATTTACTTTTTTTGTTGAAGGTATTGCAGGTAAGTATTCATTTCTAGCTTTAAAGATAATTTATCTCAGATTCATTTATGTTTCTTTTTCTGGTTTTCATTCTATGCAGCTGTGGAAATGTTACTTCCATCTTTGTACATTTTTTTTTCTCTCACTGATTTATACTGTTTTTTTCTACTGTGGTCTCATGCAGCTTGGCTATTTTTCAGTATTTAATCTATTTATGTTGTTGACACACTGCATTTCTGAATTCAAAGACTTATGTCTGGTTTTCGATTTTAGAAACTATAAGTCACCAAGTCTGAATATTGACTTTAATTTTGAAAATATATTCTGTAGGCCAGGCACAGTGGCTCACGCTCACGCAGTGCTGTAATCCCGGCACTTTGGGAGGTCGAGGCAGGTGGATTACCTGAGATCAGGAGTTCAGGACCAGCCTGGCCAATATGGGGAAACCCCATCTCTACTGAAAATACAAAAAATTAGCTGGGCGTGGTGATGAGCACCTGTAATCCCAGCTACTTGGGAGGCTGAGGCAGGAGATTCACTTGAACCTGGGAGGCGGAGGTTGCAGTGAGCCGAGATCATGCCATTGCACTCCAACCTGGACAACAAGAACGAAACTCCACCAAAAAAACACACAAACAAATGAAAATATATTCTGTAGAAACAATTGGGTTTGTTTTAGTTCCTTTCATCCTACTTTTCATACATGTATATTTGAGGTTATATAACTTCTCCTTTTCTGTTTTTACACTGATTCTGCTCAGTATTATAGTTGACTAATCTCATCAGCTAAGACAAATGTTTCAGTGATATGTTGTAAATTAAGTAGATTATTTACATTTTTAATTGTTTGCTTCATATTTGGCTGTTTTTCAAATATGACTTGTCACCCTCATATCTTCTTGTTCTTTCCACATTATTAATATGTTGTCTATTTTCCTGATTGTATTGCCTTGAAACATTTTAAATGTAAATCCTGTAAATGTAGGCAACATAAGTTGTAATTGTTTCACATTAATGGGAGATACCACAATTGCAATGTCTGCAGTTAGTTTATGGTTCTTTCCCCATTTGCCTATGTCAACTTGGTCAACCCCCAGGAACTTGTCATCTCTGTCTTTACCTATATCCAAGAAGAGCTCTTGTTTCTTAGATTGATCACATTCTGGATAGTTTATTTGGTCTTCTTCACTACCTAGAAAGTTCTCATATTTTTCTTGCTACTCTACTCAGAATTTTAAAAGTTCTTGTTGCTGGGCGTGGTGGCTCATGCCTGTAATCCCAAGCACTTTGGGAGGCCAAGGTGGGTGGATCATGAGATCAGGAGATTGAGACCATCCTGGCTAACACGGTGAAACCCCGTCTCTACTAAATATACAAAAAATTAGCTGGGCATGGTGGCGGGCGCCTGTAATCCCAGCTACTCAGGAGGCTGAGGCAGGAGAATCGCTTGAACCCAGGAGGCGGAGGTTGCAGTGAGCCCAGATGGCACCACTGCACTCCAGCCTGGGTGACAGAGAGAGACTCTGTCTCAAAAAAAAAAAAAAAAAAAAAAAAAAAAGGCCGGGCGCGGTGGCTCACGCCTGTAATCCCAACACTTCGGGAGGCTGAGGTGAGTGGATCACCTGAGGTCAGGAGTTCGAGACCAGCCTGACCAACATGGAGAACCCTCATCTCTACTAAAAATACAAAATTAGTCGGGCATGGTGGTGCATGCCTGTAATCCCAGCAACTTGGGAGGCTAAGGCAGAAGAATCGCTTGAACCCGGAAGGCGGAGGTTGCGGTGAGCCGAGATTGCGCCATTGCACTCCAGCCTGGGCAACAAGAGTGAAACTCTGTCTCAAAAAAAAAAAAAAAAAAAAGGTTATTGTAACTTCCTAAGAATTTTAGCTTTCTATATTTAAAGTTTCTAGAATATGTATTTTCCCAAACAGCAAACATATCAACAAAGCATCCCTGAGAAAAATATTTCACAATTTTTTTGGCAGAGAACAGCATCTCATGAAAAATTTCAAGTTATTTAGAATATATCTTTCCCTCAATTATACTACAAAGTAACAATAATTCATAGAGTGTATTTTTACTACAGAAAAACTGATTTTATGTCTTCACAAAATTTTGAAAACTACCCCAACTGGAAGGAATAATATCTAAATATGGGCAGAATGCCACTTTCCTCTATGATTAAGATAACACTCGCAGGATTATTTACTGAAATTCAGGGTTTTGGCGTCAATCACCATGCTTCATCATGAACACTTTTCTGAATCCAAATTCTATTTGAATTTTCTATTTAATCCAGAAATTAATTTTTTAAATCTTATAGAAGTTTTATGTAGATAGATATTACTTGTGAACTCACTTTAGTAGATGCCTTCGACTGTTATTTACAATGCCTAGAAAATACTACCTGCTGGGTTTTTGCTCTCATGCATTCAACGACATATTTCGGTCCTAAAACCTTTCCATTTAATGGGTATTTTTTGTTTACTGGTTAAAAATTATTCCCATTGGAGCGCCTCTGCCCGGCGACCCCATTGTCTGGGAAGTGTGGAGCGCCTCTCCCTGTCTGTCGCACCATCTGGGAAGTGAGCAACGCCTCTACCCGGCAGCTGTGCAACCCTCCAAGTGTGAAGCGACAGCCTTGTGTGTGATCTTTCTGCCTTCCCCAGGTTTGCATTTTCGACGTTAAAGTTTACTTTTAAATTAAAAGTTAAAAAAAATTCTTCCCATTTATTTCTATGGCTATTTAGTCAAACTTTCTTATACAGCCATTTAACATTATTTATGTTCATGTAGTTGTTGTATACCAAAATAGTTAATTGATGCAATGGCCTTAATATAACTTAATAGGCCGGGCGCGGTGGCTCATGCCTATAATCCTGGCACTTTGGGAGGTCAAGGCGGGAGGATCACGAGGTCAGGAGTTCGAGATCAGTCTGACCAACATGGTGAAACCCCGTTTCCATTAAAAATACAAAAATTAGCTGGAAGTGCTGGTGCGTACCTGTAATCCCAGCTACTCAGAAGGCTGAGGCAGGAGAATCGCTTGAACCAGGGAGGCGGAGGTTGCAGTGAGCCAAGATTGTGCCATTGTACTCCAGCCTGGGTGACAGAGCAAGACTCTGTCTCCAAAAAAAAAAAAAAAAAAAATATATATATATAAAAATCAGAGTGAAAATGTGAGTGGCTAGGAGAGGGAGTGGATGTAGAAAGCGAAATTGTAACAAGTTTCACTTAGATGAGAGAATAAGTATTAGTGATTGATTGCACAGAATGGTGACTATAATAAATAATAATGTATTGTATATTTCAAAATTGCTATGAAGTAGATTTCAAAAGTTTTCACCACAAAAAAATCATATGTGAGCTAAAGAATTTGTCACTTAGCTCAATGTAATCATTTTACAGCATAAAAATATCAAAATATGACATCATACTCAACAAATATATACAATAATAATATTTCAATTAAAAGTATAATTTTTAAAGGTACCGGTTTTTCTTATTCAATAAATGTTTAATATATTCACTTTAAACTCTTAGGTGTTAAGCCTATAAATGTTTAATGGCTTAGAATAATGTCTCACACATTGTATGCACAAAATACTAATGACAATAATGGTCAGATTACCTTATGCTCATAGTTTTCTTTAAAGACAATATTATTTTGTATTTGTTCTTATTAAAATGTATTTTCTTTCTTTTTTTTTTTTTTTAGACGAAGTCTTGCTCTCGTCCCCCAGGCTGGTGTGCAATGCTGTGACCTCAGCTCACTGCAACCTCTGCCTCCCGGGTTCACATGATTCTCCTGCCTCAGCCTCCCAAGCAGCTGGGATTACAGGTGCGTACCACTGCGCCTGGATAATTTTTTGTATTTTAAGTAGAGATGGGGTTTCACCACGTTGGCCAGGCTGGTCTTGAACTCCTGACCTCAAGTGATCCACCCACCTCAGCCTCCCAAAGTGCTGGGATTACCGGCATGAGCCACCGCACCCAGCCCGTATTTTCTGTCTTACTTAAATATTGATAAATATAGAAGGGAGGCTTTGTTCTCCTGCTTTATACATTCCAAAGTCAAATTGCAATTTTATTAACTTCCTTCTTATTCAGTAATTCATTTGTCTCCCACAGTAAACGTAAGTATTAACTAACACAATTATAGTCATATTCTCCATCTTAATAATGCAGTAAAATTTGTGTTATTCATTGACTGGGTTATAGCCTCATATTTTTATCTCATGTTATTTCATGTGAAGTACCTAAGATATAAATTTTTATAAAATACTATGAACTAAAAATAAATGTCTTTTGCTTGAGCTCAGGAGTTCAAGACCAGTCTGGGCTACATGGAAAGACCCCATCTCTACTAAAATTACAACAGACAGCCAGGAATGATGGTGTATGCCTGTGATCCCAGCTACCTGGGAGGCTGAGGCAGGAGGGTCCCTTGAACCAAGGAGGCAGAGGTTGCAGTGAGCCAAGATCATGCCACTGCACTCCAACCTGGGTGACACAGCGAAGCTTTGTCTCAAAAAAAAAAATACATACATACATAAATGTCTTAATAGGCAAAAATTATGATAGTAATGTTATAGTTACAATGTCATAGTAATCAAATAATGTAGTACCACCATAGGAATAGAATTATGTAAATTAAAAGAATAAAATTGAAGGTATATTAATAAACACATTAATTTTAGGTAAACATAATTTTGTCAGTCATGCTAGGAAATTCCAATAGGAGAAATTGTTCAAAACATAATGCTGAGAAATCAGTTTTCAACATGCAAATATAATGGATATACATACATATATGTTAAATAGAATAGAGTAAATGAATAGCCATATAACAAGTAAAAAGAAAGTATTAATTAAATTATTTTCACATAGAAAAGCTCAGTGTCAAATTGCATAAATTCTAAATTTCACCAATATTTAATAATACATAGTATAATTTTTTCACAAAAACTTTCAGCAATAGCAGAGATAACATTTTTCTATTAATCTATTAGCCAGGGGTACTGTGGTACCAAAACCGTGGCTGGGCGCGGTGGCTCACGCCTGTAATCCCTGCACTTTGGGAGGGCCAAGGTGGGCAGATCACAAGGTCAGAAGATCAAGACCATCCTGGCTAACACGGTGAAACCCGTCTTTACCAAAAATATAAAAAATTAACCGGGCATTTTGGCGCGTGCCTGTCATCCCCACTACTTGGGAGGAGAATTGCTTGAACTAGGAAGTCAGAGGTTGCAGTGACCCAAGATTGTGTCACTGCACTCCAGCCTGGGCGACAGAGTGAGACTCTGTCAAAAAAAAAAAAAAACAAAAAAACAGACAAAATAATCACACATAAAGAACACTATGAACCAAAATTCCATATAAATATAGAATTCCTGATGAAATTATTAGAAATGTTAGCAAACTAAATCCAGCAACATGTAAAACTGATTGCATACCATGACCACGTAATAGTTTGTCATAAATGCAGTGTTGGCTTAATATTTTAAAAATCAACCAACATATTACAAAATGTTACCTGAAGAATAGAAAAAGGTGATAATTTAAATAGACACAAAAAGTATGACAGATCCAGCACCCATTCATTATAAAACACTCAGAAATCTACTAGAAAGGAACTTGTTAAGACCTGCTAAAAAGCATCTATAAGAAATCAATACCTGGCCGGGCATGGTGGCTCATGCCTGTAATCCCAGCACTTTGGGAGGCCAAAGTGGGCGGATCACCAGGTCAGGAGATCAAGACCATCCTGGCTAACACGGTGAAACCCCATCTCTACTAAAAATACAAAAAATTAGCCAGGCATGGTGGCGGGCGCCTGTAGTCCCAGCTATTCAGGAGGCTGAGGCAGGAGAATGGCGCGAACCCGGGAGGCGGAGGTTGCGGTGAGCCAAGATTGCACCACTGCACTCCAGCTTGGGCGACAGAGCAAGACTCTGTGTCACAAAAAAAAAAGAAAGAAAGAAATCAGTAGCTAATAGTATACTTAATGGTAGATGATTGCAGGCTGTATCTGTAAGTTTAAAAATGGAACAAGAATGTACACTTTTTCCACTCTGTTTAACATTGTACTGGAAGTATTAGCCAGAAAACTATACTGGATAAATAAATAAAACCCTCAGATTAGAAAAGAATTAGAATACTATTTTCTTGCCACAATGTTATATAAAAAACTATAATAAATTTACCAAAAATGTACTTGAGTTAATAAACAATTTTATTAATGTCACAAAATACAAGATTAATAAACAAGGTTAAATAATACTTTTATATAACATAATCAACAGACTGAAAATCAAATTATGAAAAAAATAATGTCATAAAAACCATTTAGGAATATATTAAAAGCAAGTACACATGCTTTACATTGAAAATTATTTAAAATGCTGAAAGAAAATTTTAAAACTCTATAAGTAAAGATACATCTAATATTCAAGGTTATCAATGAGAAATATTAAGATCAAAATACCCAGCAAATCTATCTACAGATTCAATGCAAATTTCAAAGTAAATTATTTTCTTTCTTTCTTTTTTTTTTTTTTTTGAGATGCAGTTTCGCTCCTGTTGCCCAGGCTGTAGTGCAATGGTGCAATCTCGGCTCACCGCAACCTCTGCCTCCCGGGTTCAAGCAATTCTCCTGCCTCAGCCTCCCAAGTAGCTGGGATTACATGCATGCCTGTAATTAACCATGCCTGGCTAATTTTGTATTTTTAGTAGAGATGGGGTTTCTCCATGTTGGTCAGGCTGGTCTCGAACTCCCGACCTCAGGTGATCCACCCGCCTCGGCCTCCCAAAGTGTTGGGATTACTGGTGTGAGCCACTGCACCTGGCTATTTTCATAGAAATTGACAAGCTGCTCTTTCTAAATTCTATACAGACATGCAAAAAAATCAAACACATGAGAATTTTGAAAACAAAAATGAAATTTATTTCTGATATTCTTACTAAAATGTTATACTAACCAAACAATATGGCATTACCATAAGAATTGATTTTGAGGTCCCACCCAGGATTGATACAGAGCCAAAGGAACCCCCACCCCAGCCAAGAAAAATGGTGAGTGAATGTGCAACCCCAGGAAACCACACTTCTCTCAAAGATCTTTGCAACCCTTGCATCAGGCGATTCAGTTGTGAACCCACTCCACCAGGGTCTTGGGTCTGACACACAGAGCTGTGTGGAGTCTTGGTAGAACAGCTGCTCAGACACAAACAGAGTCCCAGGAGCTTTACATACCTCAGCCCTGGGACATCCAACAAAGATGACTGCAACTCAGGCAAGGTGGGAGATTGGTGCATACCCCTAGGAAGGGGGCTGAATCCAGGAGGCTGAGCAGCATCAGTTTGTGGATCCCACTTCCATGGCACTTCACAAGATAAGACCCACAGATTTGGAATTCCAGCTAGTTACTGGTAACAGTGTAGCACCTGCCTGAGATGGGTCAGAGCTTCTGGGTGAGGGATGGGCTGCCATATTTGCTGTTCGGATGACAAAGTCATTGCAGCCTGTGGGCTTTGGAGAGTCCAAATGATCTGAATGAGGCAGGGACCCCACAGCACAGCACAGCTGCTTTACCAAAATGTTGCCAGACTTCTTCTTTAAATGGGACCCCAATCCATTTCCCTCACTGTGTGAGTTCTCCCAGCAGGGGCCTCCAGCTGCCCCACCCATATTCTATGAACAGAGTTCTGATTTCTCTCTGGGATGGAATGCCCATGGTGGAGGGGCGCCCTGCCACCTTGGCTGTTTGGGGGACTAAGCCATTTAAGCCTGAGGGTTTGGAGAGTCCAAGCAGATTTGGGCAGAGGTGGTTCCCCAGCATGCCATGGCTGTTTTGTTGAAGCATAGTCCTACTGCTTCTTTAAGTGGGACCCCAATTCATTCCCCCTTGCTGGGCGGGTCCTCCCAGCCAGGGCCTCCATCTACTTCTGCCCAAGTTCTAAGGCCAATAGAGTTCTAATTTCTCCGTGGGATGGAGTGCCCAGGGGGTGCGGTGGGCCACCATTTTTGCTGTTTGGGCAGGTAAGTTAGTGCAGACTGTGGGCTTTGGATAGCCCAAACCATTTGAGAGCTGAAGGAATCCACAACACAGCACAGATGCTCTACCAAAACACAGCCAGACTGCTTCTTTAAGTAGGCTGCTGACCCCATTCCTCCTGGTTGGGTGAGACCTCCAATCCAAAGCCTTCAGCCACCTTCTACAGGTGTGTTCAGGCAGGCAACAGGTCAGTATGCATTCTGACCTGACAAAGGGGCAGGCTGCCATCTTTGCTGTTTCACAGCCTTAACTGGTGATACTTCCAGATACTGAAAAAGCCAAGGGCACCAGGGTCTGGAGCAGACCTCCAGAAAACCACAGCAGCCCTACACACAGTGGTCAGACTGTTAAAAGAAAAACAATAAATAACAAAAAATAACCACAATAACCCTATCCAAAGGTCAGCAATCTCACACATTGAAATAGATAAGCCCACAAAGATGAGAAGTGGCACAAAAATGATGAAAACTCAAAAGTCAGAGTGTGCCCTTTTCTCCAACTGACAGCAACACCTGTCCAGCAAAGGATCAGAACCAGGCTGAGGCTGAGATGGCTGAAATGAGAGAAGTAGGCTTCAGAATATGAATACAGATGAACTTGGCTGAGCTAAAAGGGCACACTGTAACTCAATGCAACGAAGCTAAGAATCACGATAAAACAATGCAGGAGCTGGCAGCCAAAATAGCCAGTAAGAAGAGAAACACAAACGACTTGATAGAGCTGAAAAACACACTACAAGGCCTCCACGATGTAATCACAAGTATTAATAGCAGAATAGACCAAGCGGAGGAAAAAACATCCCAGAGCTTGAAGACTGTCTTCCTGAAATCAAACAGGCAGACACAAATAAAGAAAAAAAAAAAGGAATGAATGAAACCTTAGAATATGGGATTGTGTAGAGAGTGAATATACAACTGATGGGGGTAGCTGAAAGAAATGGGGAGAACTGAACCAAATTGGAGAACATATTTCAGGATATCATCCAGGAGAACTTCCTCAACCTAGCTAGACAGGCCAACATTCAAATGCAGGAAATGCAGAGAGCCCCACTAAGATATTCCATGAGAAGATTACTCCCAAGACAGGTAATCATCAGATTCTCCAAGGTCAAAATGAAATAAAAATATCTTAAGGGCAGATAGAGAGTAAGGCAAGGCCACCTACAAAGAAAAGCTCATCAGACTAACAGCAGACCTTGTGGGGGTTCAGACAGACTGGTGAAAAAAGTTTTAGTTATAATAGCCATAAACCCTCTTGGAAGGCCTGAGGGTTTTGCAAAACTTCGGTAATAGATCTGGCTGAAGGCGGCCTGGTCACTTTACCTTAAGTTATTAACTTAGGGCACAAATACAAACGGATGTAGAGTAGTTTATCTAACTACCTTGTTTACTCATGTGGTCCTCAGACTAACCTTTGATCTTGGGTGCTTAATTGCTTTCTACTCGCGAAGTCGGCAATGTCAATTACCTTCTAGTGGTGTTTACTCAAAGTTTTGTTACTTAATCTTTACCAAATAAATGCAAGTTTCGCTGGCTGGTTGGTGTGGCGGCTGCTACTCCCTACAGCACCTCTGTTAGTCTGTGAGGCAGCCTGGACCCTCAGTTGCACTGGCAAAGCAGAATATCTGCATCAGTATACATTGTTCATCCGTCATTGAGTCAGGGTCAGCGGGTCGGACCCCCGCAAGACTTCTCACTGGAAACCCTACAAGCCAGAAGAGACAGAAATAACAGGCTGGGCACAGTGGCTCATGCCTGTAATCCCAGCACTTTGGGAGGCTGAGGCAGGCAGATCACTTGAGGTCAGGAGTTTGAGACCAGCCTGGCCAACATGGTGAAACCCCGTCTATAATAAAAATACAAAAAATTAGCCAGGCATGGTGGTGCATGCCTGTAATCCCAGCTACTTGAGAGGCTGACGCAGGAGAATCGCTTGAACCTGGGAGGTGGAGGTTGCAGTGAGCCAAGATCATGAATCGCACTCCAGCCTGGGCAACAAGAGTGAAACTCTGTCTCGAATACATACATACATACATACATACATACATACATACATACATATATATATATATATATACCTATGTAGGGACCAGCCCCACAGAGTCTGTGGGTTTTTCTCTCCGTGTGCGGAGATGAGAGATCGTAGAAATAAAGATACGAGACAAAGAGATGAAAGAAAAGACAGCTGGGCCCGGGGGACCACTACCACCAAGACGCAGAGACCGGTAGTGGCCCCGAATGCCTGGCTGCCCTGTTATTTATTGGATACAAAGCAAAAGGGGCAAGGTAAAGAGTGCGAGTCATCTCCGGTGATTGGTAAGGTCACGTGGGTCACGTGTCCACTGGACAGGGGGCCCTTCCCTGTTAGGTAGCCGAAGCGGAGAGAGAGAGGACAGCTTACGTCATTATTTCTTTTACGCTCTTTTCAGAAAGATCAAAGACTTTAATACTTTCACTAATTTTGCTACTGCTGTCTAGAGGGCAGAGCCAGGTGTACAGAGTGGAACATGAAAGTGAAACAGGAGCGTGACCGCTGAAGCACAGCATCACAGGGAGACGGTTAGGCCTCCAGATAACTGCGAGCAGGCCTAACTGATGTCAGGCCCTCCACAAGAGGTGGTGGAACAGAGTCTTCTCTAAACTCCCCTGGGAAAAGGGAGAGTCCCTTTCCCGGTCTGCTAAGTAGCGGGTGCTTTTCCTTGGCACTGATGCTACAGCTAGACCATGGTCTGCTTGGTAATGGGCATCTTCCCAGACGCTGGCGTTACCGCTAGACCAAGAAGCCCTCTAGTGGCCCTGTCTGGGCATGACAGAAGGCTCGCACTCTTGTTTTCTGGTCACTTCTCACCGTGCCCCCTTCAGCTCCTATCTCTGTATGGCCTGGTTTTTCCTAGGTTATAATTATAGAGCAAGGATTATTATAATGTTGGAATAAAGAGTAATTGCTACAAACTAATGATTGATATTCATATATAATCATATCTATGATCTATATCTAGTATAACTCTTGTTGTTTTATATATTTTATTACACTGGAACAGCTCGTGCCCTCAGTTTCTTGCCTCGGCACCTGGGTGGCTTGCTGCCCACATACCTAAATGGTTTTTATGATATTATTATTACATTTTGTTCTTAATTTTCAGTATGTTGATTGCTGTTATATAAAAGATTTAACCTTGTCTATTAATCTTGTATTTTGTGACATTAATAAAATTTTTTATTAACTGAAGTATGTTTTTGGTAAATTTATCATAGTTTTTAACCCAATATTATGGCAAGATAATAGTATCCTACTTCTTTTCTAATCTGAAGATTTTATTTATTTTTCTAGTATACTTTTCTGGCTAATACTTCCAGGACAGTGTAAAAACAGAGTGGAAAAAGTGTACATTCTTGTTCCATTTTTAAACTTACAGATACAGCCTGCAATCATCTACCGTTAAGTATACTATTAGCTATTGATTTCTTTTTTTTTTTTTTTTTTTGAGACAGAGTCTTACTCTGTTGCCTAGGCTGGAGTGCAGTGGCTCAATCTCGGCTCACTGCAACCTCTGCCTCCCGGGTTCAAGCGATTCTCCTGCCTCAGCCTCCTGAGTAGCTGGGATTACAGGCACACACCACCACGCCTGGCTAATTTTTGTATTTTTAGTAGAGATGGGGTTTCACCATGTTGGTCAGGCTGGTCTCAAACTCCTGACCTCCTGATCTGCCCACCTCTGCCTCCCAAAGTGCTGGGATTACAGATGTGAGCCACCGTGCCCAGCCAGCTATTGATTTCTTATAGATGCTTTTTAGCAGGTCTTACAAGTTCCTTTCTACTAGATTTCTGAGTGTTTTATCATGAACGGGTGCTGGATTTTTTATACTTTTTTTGCTTATTTACATTGACACTTTTTTCTATTGTTCAAGTAACATTTTGTAATATTTTGGTTGATTTTAAAAATATTAAGCCAACACTCCATTTGTGACAAACTATTGCTTGGTTATGGTATGTAATCAGTTTTACATGTTGCTGGATTTAGTGTGCCAACATTTCTTTTTTTTTTTTTTTTGAGATGGAGTCTTGCTCTGTCACCCAGACTGGAGTGCAGTGGCACAATCTCGGCTCACTGCAACTTCTGCCTCCTGGGTTCATGCGATTCTCCTGCCTCAGCCTTCCAAGTAGCTGGGACTACAGGTGCGCGCCACCACGCCCAGCTAATTTTTGTATTTTTAGTAGAGACAAGGTTCCACCATGTTGGCCAGGATGGCCTTGATCTCTTGACCTCATGATCCGCCTGCCTCAGCCTCCCAAAGTGCTGGATTACAGTCATGAGCCACCATGCCCAGCCGTGTGCTAACATTTCTAATAACTTCATCAGGAATTCTATATTTATATGGAATTTTAGTCCATAGTCTTCTTTACTTGTGATTCTTTTGTCTGGCTTTGGTATCACAGTACCCCTAGCTAGTAAATTAATAGAAAAATGTTACCTCTGCCATTGATGAAAGTTTATGTGAAAAAATTATATTACATTTTTATTAAATGTCAGTGAAATTCAGAATTAATGCAATTTGACACTGAGCTTTTATATGTAAAAATAATTTAATTAATACTTTCTATTGTTATATGGGTATTCACTTACTCTCATTTAATATATATGGATGTATATTCTTCATTTTTGCACAATGAAAACTGATTTCTCAGCATTATTTGTTGAACAAACTTCCTCCATTGGAATTTCTTGGCATCTTTGACAGAATTATTTTTACCTCAAATTAATACCTTCAACTTTATTCTTTTAATCTACACAAATCAATTCCTATGGTAGTACTATATTCTTTGATTACCATAACATTATAACTATAGCATTACTATCATAATCTTTGCCTATCAAGAGTTTTTTTTGTTTTTTTTTTAGACAGTGTCTTGCTCTTATCGCCCAGACTGGAGTGCATTGGCGCGATTTCGGCTCACTGCAACCTCTGCCTCATAGGTTCAAGTGATTCTCCTGCCTCAGCCTCCCAAGTAGCTGGGATTACAAGTGCCCACCACCACACCCAGCTAATTTTTGTATTTTTAGTAGAGACGGGGTATCGCCATGTTGGCCAGGCTGGTCTCAAGCTCCTGACCTCAGGTGATGTGCCCGCTTTGGCCTCCCAAAGTGCTGGGATTACAGGCGTGAACCACCATGCCCATCTGGACATTTATTTTTTTATTTTTTGAGACACCGTCTTGCTCTGTCAACCAGTCTGCAGTGCAGTGTGATGATCTTGGCTCACTCCAACCTCTGCCTCATGGGTTCAAGGGATCCTCCTGCCTCAGCCTCCTGAGTAGCAGGGACCACAGGCATGCACCACCACATATGACTGACTTTTGTAGTTTTGGTAGAGATGGGGTCTTGCCATGTAGCCCAGGCGGGTCTTGAACTCCTGAGCTCAAGCAAAAGACATTTTTTAATTTTATACTAGTTTACAAAAGTTTATATCCTAGATACTTGACATGAAATAATATGAAATAAAAATATAAAATAGGCTGGGCGCAGTGGCTCACGCCTATAATCCTAGCACTTTGGGAGGCTGAGGCTGGAGGATCACCATATCAGGAGATCAGTACCATCCTGGCCAATATGGTGAAACCCCGTCTCTACTAAAAATACAAAAGTTAGTTGGGCGTGGTGGCGGGTGCCTGTAATCCCAGCTACTCAGGAGGCTGAGGCAGGAGAATTGCTTGAACCAGGGAGGAGGAGGTTGCAGTGAGCCAAGATCATGCCACTGCACTCCAGCCTGGGCTGTAACTTAATCAATAAATAACACAAATTTTACTCCATTATTAAGATGGAGAATATGACTATAATTGTGTTAGTTAATACTTATGTTTACTGTGGGAGACAAATTAGTTACTGAGTAGTTAACTGAGTAGTTAGAAGTTAATAACATTGCAATTTGACTTTCGAATGTATAAAGCTGGCAAACGAAGCCTCCCTTCTATATTTATCAACATTTAAGTAAGACAAAATGAATTTTAATAAGAACAAATAAAAAATAATTATATTGTATTTAAAGAAAGCTATGAACAAAAGATAATCTGACCATCACAGTCATTAGTATTTCATTCATACAATATGTAAGACAATATTTTAAGCCATTAAACATTTTTAGACTTAACACCTAAGAGTTTAAAGTGAATATGTTAAATATTTATTGAATTAAAAACTGGTACCTTTAAAAATTAGATTTTAATTGAAATATAATTATTAGGCCGGGCACAGTGGCTCACACCTGTAATTCCAGCACTTCGGAAGGCCAAGGCAGGCAGATCACCTGAGGTCATGAGTTCGAAACCAATCTGACCAAAATGGTGAAACCCAATCTCCACTAAACATACAAAAATTAGGCGGGCGTGGTGGTGTGTGCCTGTAATCCCAGCTACTTGAGAGGCTGAGGCAGGAGAATCACTTGAACCTGGGAGGCAGAAGCTGCAGTGAGCCAAGATCACACCATTGCACTCCAGTCTGGGCAACAGAGCAAGACTCCCTCTCAAACAAACAAACAAACAAACAAAAGATTATTCACAAAAATGGAAGTAAAATTTCCACAAATGTATAGAGCTAAAACCAGAGAAATAAATATAAATGGAACTGAGAGAAATTGTCCTTAAAGCTGGAAATGGATTCTTACAATACCTTCAACAAAAAAGGGTAAATTATTTTCAAAAGAAAAACATTAATTTGGTTATCAATAGGAGCTTCTTAAGTGTGTAGTTCAAGAAAAAAGAAACATTTTTGTGTCTAAAGTTAAAAATAAAAATGAAAGAGTAAGAGACTTGACTTGGGAGCTGACATGTTCTTTTCTCAAGGTTATCAGTACCCGGCAGCCTTTCAACTACAAACAACATTCTAGAGTTGACAAAATATTTGTATATCCCATCTCTTCTCTGATCTTTATATGCTGTTTGGCTGTGCAAAATAGAGGCTAAAGTCCCATTTTGCAGATGAAAAAGCTGAGGCTCGGAAAGACAAACATCACACACAAAGTTTGGGTCACAACTGGCATTAGAACACAGGACTCTCAAACCAGTGCTTTCCCATCACTAAACCACTCCTAGGGCTAAGAATACATTAAGACTCCAAAAGATAGAGAATTGCTCAATGCATTCCACCAAGATTAGACCTGACCCACCCCAGAAAGCTAAGCCGCTCTGGGGCCCTGGGGTGGAAAACTCAAGAAAAAGAATGATGCCTACATTCACACATCTGAGCTCCAATCCAAACTCGGCCAGTCAGTTATAGAACCTCATTTGCTGAGCCTCAGCTTTTTCTGATATAAAATGGAACTACAGAAGGCTCCAAAAAGATCAGGATAAGGGCAGAACTGCACTCTAAATGCAGGAGTGCCTGGCAGGTGGAAACCACTCACTGACTTTTAGTTTAAGCACATAAGTAATATGTTGTGTTTCACTGTGTCTCCTCCATGGTGTCTGTTTCATGGCTCCAGATCCTGGGGGCTTCTGATCAATCCTTCTGCTAAGTGATGGACGAATAGATGAATGGATGGGTGGTTGAAAGGGTGGATGAAATGATGCATAGATGGATGAATGCTCAGGAGGGCAGAAAGAAGTAAACACAGAGTCAAAATAAGAATGAGGAGATGATTGAAGGATGAAGAGTTGATGCATGAGATAGAGACATGGTCTCCAACCCTCCTATCCCCACACAGCCTCACCAACACCTGCCTTGGGGTAGCAGTGGCACATGCTTCAGATGATGTCCCCAGTCACCATGACATAGCTGCGGAAGGTGCCATAGACCTGAGGCTAATCATGGCTCATGAGAAACGTGCTAAGAGCCAGCAGAAAAAACCCAGCAGCACAATAAAGTCGACGTTGAAACTCTTCTCATCTGCAATGGCTGCCTGGCCAGGCCATAGACTATGCACTCCTGGCAGAGGGGGTGCATGTCATCCAGCATAAACACCCAGACAGGCTCACAGGGAGGGACGAAGCTCTGCGATTGCTGCCAATTGAGGCTTAAAGTTAAAGGGAGAACAAGACCCCCTCAGGTCCAGACCCAGTGCCTGGGCCCACAAGTTCAGATGGCAAGAGGCAGCACACTTCAGTGAACAATTGCACCCACCCACCCACTCACCTTCTCTCCTCACCATCCTGCCTTCTCTGCAGGCTAAGCAGTCCTGCAGGGCATGTATGAATCTGAATGAGAGAGTATGCAGGAAAGAGAGAAGGGAAGATTACCAGGACTGGGCCCCAGCCAAGGATTTGACATCACCTTATTTGCCTACTATAGGGATGAACTAGGTGGTCAAGTGGCCGTATTATTTCACTGTATTAATACAAATACACCTTCCAGCCCTGGGAAGCAGCATACAATTGCCAAGAGACGTTAGAATGCTGCTGGAGGATTCCAGGGTCTCACAGTCTGGATTTTAGAGTCCTGAATTTTAGACTTTTCAAGGACATGTGCTCCTCTGGGGTTCAGGCATAATAGACTATATTTACCGATGGTGACTGTGTGCATGACGCCATAACATGTTACACTATTAACTCACTTAAGGGACTCCATGAGGCAGGTACTGCTATCTTCACTTTACAGAGGACACTGAGCACAGGCAAGTAACTTCCCCATGGTCACACAGCTGGAAATAGCAGAGCAGCTGGGATGTGCACCCAGAGTCTGTGTACTTAGCCACAGTGCAATCCTGCATAACTACAAAACAAACTTATGTGTGTGAGCATCTATCCGCCCAAGCAGACAAGTGTCAAACTACGCGAATGCTGTCCAAGCACTGCGTGAGCATACACTTCTCTGAAAGCGTTCTGCTCATCAACAGGGCCAGCCAGTGACTTTTCTGATCGCTTAATGCACCTATCCAGTCTCTTCACAGGCGGCTCCTGGGGTCTGCCGGGGGTGCTGGCGTCGGGTTGGCCCTGGCGCTGTCCCCAGCCCCCACTCCCCAGGCCCTGCAGCGCCATGAGGTCGGACTCCTGGGCGTGTCCTGGGTTCTGACCCACCCGCGACGCCAGCTGCCCGCGCCCGGAGCGGATGGGCCTGGCCCGGCTCCACCCCGCGGGGCTCCGCGGCTCAACGGGTCGCCCAGGGGCGCGGGCCCGGCTTCGTCCTCGACGGTGTCCGCCCCGGCCCTGGCTAGGCCGACGGCAGCCGGGTCCGGGTGGGGCTCGGGCTCGGGGCGCGCCCCTCCCATCTCTCCAGGGTCCGCGTCCTCGCTGCCGCCAGGTCCCGCCGAGATCCCCGGTGGCCCCGGCTCCAGCGGCTGCAGCGTCGCCATCGCCGGGCAGACCCCGGCCGACCTCAAAGCGACCGCGCGGTGGGGCCGGCGGGGACTGGGGCTGCGCAGCGCGGCCTGGGGTGGGGGCGGCGGGGCCCCCAGGAGCTCCTGGGAACCGAGGGTCCTGGGGCGGTCCCGCCCCGCACAGCTCCGGGTGAGCTTGGGGAGGGAGACACACTCTCAGCCCACCTCGCCCCGCCCGACAGCGCTCCGAGTCCTGAGTCCCCTCACCCCCATTCTACAGACACGAAGGTGAAGCCAAAGACGGGACGCTCACTTCCTGAGAATTTGCTGCCTGCTGCGTGGACACCACCGACCTATTGTTTACAGCGGTCAGGGACCCGCCCCCCAGACCCCCAGGACCGCGCTTCCGGGGGAGGAGGGTGTCCTCAGCAACGGTGACCCGCACCAAAGCCCTCCTCACCGGGGTCACCGCCACAGCCGGTGCGAGGCCCGCAGGGCGCTGGGGATGCGCGACCGACTCCCGTGAACCTGCTCCTCGCGCGTCAGGGAGAGCTGTGCACCCAACTAGGCTCTGTGAGGACGGACTGAGGTCGGCCTGCAGGCTGCGGCCCCGAAGGCAGGATTTGTGGAGAGATGATTCGCGAGCCTTGGAGGAAGGATGGGCTGTGCGTGCGTGGGTGCGTGCGTGTGTGTGTGTGTGTGTCTGTGACTTTTGTATGTTTATGTGAGACTGCGTACGTGCGCGCGTCTGTGTGTGCGCGCGCGCGTATATGTCTGTGTGTGTGCGTGCGTGTATAATTTCTAAATGGACGTCACCTTACACATCACAAGGTTAAAAAATGACCCCTGGGCTGTGCCAGGCCAAGCACGAAGAGAAAGCCCCGCCTGAAACTGCCTGGAGGCCCCCCGGCTGTCACTCTCGCCACATTCCGTGGAGTATGTGGTTGCAACTTCTGTCACTCAAGGTCTGATGGCGGGGAGATTGGAGCCGTATCCAATCAGCGCACTGGAGTGAAAACTGCCCAATCAGGCACGCAGCCAGAGAGGAGGCGGTGGCTTCCGGGATGTGGCGCGGGTCTTTGCGTCTGGCTACTACCAGACCGCGGGTTAGGGGCTTCATCTCTCTGCGTTCTCAGTTGTGGGAGGCCTTGGTGATTCGGCCACAGCTCAGCCTCCGTCGCTCTGTGACCTGCGGGTATTGGATGATTGGTAGCTAAGACTCCCGAATACTTCAGAAGTGGGGAAATGGTGAGTGTGCGGGGCAGGGCGTCCCAAGGCTGAGGAGGTCTCATCGGAGCTGGCGGGAAATGGCGGCGGGACCGAGTCTGCGAACGGAGTCCCCGCTGCCGCCGCTCAGCCCTGGGGCCTCAGTACCCTCCGGTGAGGGACCTGGGCTCCTGTCGGTCCCCGCACAGCGGCTCTGGCCCAGCCTGCAGCCCTCCTTGTGCAGCTCTGCGCCCGCAGCCCCGCACCTTCCCCAGGCTGTGGGGTGAGGAGTAGCTTATCTGGAAGCCGCCCGCGCGGCGTGCGCGATGCCGGCGTGGGAGGAGCTGTGGGAGAAGCTGTGGTCTGGGGATCCCGTCCCTGCTTTACCCTGTTCGGAATGAGATCGAGGCCCCATCAAAACAGAGTTCATGTGAGCAAATGGGGACTCATTAATGGGACAGCGCCGGCCGTGGCTCGTGGTTTGGGGGCTGCCAGCGGGTCTTGAAGGAAAAGCTTTTGTGAGGTGTGTGAGGAAGCGAAGCAAATCACCCGCCCGCTCCAACTTGCCCACCAGTCTCCTTGCCCTGTGCGCCTCCTCCGCGTGGCTGTTCCTGAGTGGCATCTTTTAGAATACGCTAGTGTGGGCGCGCACAGCGCTTCGCTGAGTTCTGTGAGTAGTTCTGTCATATTATTGAACTTGAGGAGGGTGTGGGCCCCTGGTTTGTAGACAGGTGTTCAGAAATGAAGACGGGTGTCCAGAGGCAGGGACTGGCGTCTGCAGGGGGGCAGCTGCGGGAAGAGCGCTGAGCTTGTGGGGTCTGTGCTGACTCCGGGTGGTGTCGTTAGTGAGTTGTTGGACAGCCCGTTGGGGTCGGAGCATTGACTGGTGTTGAGCAAACTCCTCACGTTTCCTGTCAGAAGAAAGACATGGCTGAGCCTGGGCTGGAGGGAGTCGCAGGTGTCCGCGGGAGACCAGCCGGGTTCTGCACATGCACTGTCCTGCTGCGCACTGTTCTGTTCCTCCAGGTCTCCTCCCGGGGAGAGAGGGCGCTGAGAACTTGGAGGAAAGGAGTTCTGAGAAACATCCCTTCCCTGCACCCTGCTGCCAGCCCCCACCCAATGCTAACCCACTCCTGAGCCCGCCCATTGGGCATTCGCACGGCCACACTTGTCCCAGGACAGGGTTCTACCCTCAGGAATTGTGCCCATGGCAGCTTTGCTCCTAGGTTTTTCTCCCAAGAACACACACAGTGCCCAGAAGACTCCTGGTTCATTTTAACCCCAGATCTGTAGCAGGAATCTGTTTTCTTCACCCACCCAGGCTTTTGGACCACCTGATCCTAATCTCCTCTGCCTTTATGGGCTCAGGAATCAGTTAGAGCTTAGCCCTGCCTGGGCCTGAACTTGTAGCACAAACCAGTCCTTTCGTCAATCCTGCCTTGCCCCCACTCAAGGCTCTTGATAGCACCTTTCTTCTGCTCTTTTCTTCCCCACAAATCCTCTTTCCTGTGCACACAGTTTGCTCAAGTGCATCCCTCATGTGCTACAAGAATTCAACGTTAGTGAGTTCAAGACCATGCCTTTAGACCTGCCTGTTGTAGGACCAAATACAAATCAGAAGAGGCTTAATGCTTTCTCTTTAGAATGAGGAAAGAATTTTTACTCTTCTCCCTTAAAGCATTTAGTTTGAAAACTTTTATATTTAAATATTTTCTCTGCTTCTTTGAAATATATATAACTCATTTTAATCTGTTAACTAGGTGATTTGTCTTTTTTGACTCAAAATTGTCTTTAGGACATGGAAACTATTGCTTTGAAATGTGCATAGCAAGAATATATAACCTATTCCGCAATTTCTGTAGCAGAGTAGGAGGCTGCCTTCAGCAGGTACCTGCCTTCACATATCAAATCTACCTCCTGTCCTGAAGCTGTGGGAAGTTTATTTTCCCTTTGAATATTACCAATTAGGAAACCCGGATGACCTCCCAAATTACTAGGTGAAAGTGTAATAAACTATGTATGATACATGGTACTGTCAAGTCTTCTACTTGAGAGCTAATTATGGTGACTTTCTTTGTTTTGGCAGTCTCTTAGTAGACTGCCTGTAATGCACACCACATTTTGTTTAATTCTCTAACAACACATTTTCTTGCTGTTCTATTATTTTGGACAGTATTTTAGGATTGTAGATGATTTTGCTGTTATATTTTCCACACGCTGTCAAGAATTACTAGATGTTATACACAAAGTGCCCACCAGGCTTCGTTTTAGAGAAGAACCTTCTTTCTCAGGATTCCAGTCACAACCCACAGTTGTGCAGCAAAGTGCACGAAGTGCAGCAAAGTGCTCCCCAAAGCTGCAAACAAAATGATCTCTCTATTTGGGATCTACAATCCCTTCTATAGCAGTTTGACTAGATTTCTACAAAAATGACTTTTTAGGATAGCGATCAGTTTTTCCACCTCTTTCAGTGTGCCAATGATCTTCAGATCTGACACTGATTCAGAAATCATGGGGCCCATAAATCCAGCGAGGTTCACACATGTGCATTGATTAAACCTGAGAACTTCCATTCTCTCCCTTCTCCCCTTGCCCAAATGCCCACAAATGTGCTTACCAGCCCTCCAAGTCTTAAATGTGCAGTTCCAAATTCTGAGTTTATGTCCTGGGATTTGAGAGAAGAACAGAACTTTTGTTTGAGAAATACAAGTTCTTTTAATTACGAGACCAAGTGATGTGTTAAAATGAGACCACAGTCCTACCGTTCCCCTCTTTGAACTGTTTGTCTTTTGAAGTTGTTTGCTATTGCCACAAGTGGATATAAATTAACCTAATAATGCCATACTGGACACTATAACCCACACCTTATAGCTTAACAACGTACATAGCCAATCACTAACCAATGTTACTTCTATAAACCAATAAGAATTTCTGACAGCTTTCTATCAGTTCCGTCTGCCTTTCTTTTTGCCTTTAAAAATATACTTGTAACTGCTTCTAATTGGAGTGTATATTCAGGGCAGCTTTATAGTCCAGGGTTGCAATCTTCAAGCTTTGGCCCAAATAAACTCTCTTCTTATATTATGTTTACCCCACCTTTTTCCTTTTAGGTCAAAAAAACATTTTTCTTTTTTTTTTTTTTGAGACAGAATCTCGCTCTGTCGCCAGGCTGGGGTGCAGTGGTGCGATCTCGGCTCACTGCAACCTCCGCCTCCCAGGTTCAAGCAATTCTCCTGCCTCCGAGTAGCTGGGATTACAGGCGCACGCCACCATGCCCGGCGGATTTTTTATATTTTGTAGTAGAGATGGGGTTTCACCATATTGGCCAGGCTGGTCTTGAACTCCTGACCTTGTGATCCACCCGCCTCAGCCTCCCAAAGTGCTGAGATTACAGGCGTGAGCCACCGTGCCCAGCCTGTTTTGTGAGTTTTGATGCCATTATGTGAATGGCTATTCATTGACAGAAGAGAAGTTGTTATTATTTGTATTGTGTTTACCTTGCTAAGAATAAATATTTAGCTTCTAATATAATTGTTCTAGAGAAACATAAGGGTTTTGGTTAAATTCCTTGTTACTGTATGTTATACAAAAGACAGAGAAGTGGCTAAAATAGATTAAAATTTCACAAATTCTGGGAATCAAATTTCTCTTGGGCAGGCTTAGAAAAGACAAAACCGAAAGTACTTAGTGACATAGAGAGCAGAAGCCTAGGGCCCACTTTCTGTCCCATCCCTGCCCAGATCTACCCTCTTCTGATCCTTGTCCAGGTCTGAGCCAACACTGAAATCTCTCACAGAACTGATTAATAGAGGAGATCAGAGTTTAGGGTGGCTACTCCAGTCTCCTCTCCAGAGCTGGTGCCCACAATTTTCTGAAACCCAAAAGCCAATAAATAGGGAAAAGCTATATACTTTGGGGCCTTAAATCTTTTCTATAAAATTAAAACTAATGTTTCTAGAGACATCCCACCCAGCAACCTGTTCTCTATCCCTGCAGTTTCAGTGGCTTTTTCTTACAAGTCTCAAAGTAAATACAAACACAAAAATAAAAAAATTCCTCTGAATTGTACTTAACACTTTCTTTGGCTCTCTCCCATCTATTTATATTTAGCTATTATTCTATACATTTTTTTAAAAAGTCAGGGGAAACAGAAAGGAAATGGAAATTCTGGGCCCTGCCTTTAAATCTGGGAAGTATGGGACACCTAGTGTCTACCTCCCAGGATGTTATGAGAATTAACACACATAATATGAGCTTCCCATCACAGTGCTCTGTGACATACATCTGAGCACATATTACATGCCCCATAAAGATGGCATTAATGCAGATGCACATGTTGTTTTTCAGATACAGACTTACTCAGACATTGCCACCGTCTCCAACTTCTGTAACCTTATAGGGTCTGCAGAGAATGCCATGTTTGAAGATGATGATTGGTGGTCTTGGGATGAAAAGTATTTGTGTTGTGATAACGGTGTTGGGGTAAGGGACTCTGTGTGCTGTGTCTGCTTTCTCTAACTGAGTGGTACTATAATGGGTCTAGAGGGAGGAGCGTCAGCATTAACAGGAGACTTGCTGTAAAAAGCTAATTCATGGACCCTTTTCAAACCTGCAGAATTTTGTTACTTACAGTGAGGCCTACAATATCAAATAATGTATATGTACAATGAAGCTTGAGAGGCAGTGCTTAGCTAAGTGACTCTCAGCCCAGTCTTCCAGTAGGATCACATGGACAGTTTGAAGAGAAACCATCAGCTGTGTTCTGCCCACAGATCCTGTCCATTGTTCTGGGTGAAAAGTCCTTATTTATTTTATTTTTGATTGTTGTTGTCCCAGATTTATTGAAAATAATACAGCACTACAGAAAAAATTCAAACAGGTCCCCGAGGCATTTTGAAATTCATCCCAACTGTAGGCTGAGTGACCTGAAGGTTGAACAGACTGCCGAAGTCCAAAAGCTTCAGCATTTCCTTAGTGTCAGGATCTACTTCAATTATCTCCTGATCCAAGGCTGAGACCTTATTTTTTAAAATCAGTTCCTTGCGTGGTTAAAAAAGTATTAAAAAAGTTCCTTGCATGATTAAAAAAGTATTAAAAAAGTTCCTTGCATGATTAAAAAAGTATTTAAAAAGTTCCTTGCATGATTAAAAAAGTCCTTATGTTTTAAAATCAGTTCCTTGCATGATTCTACAGCAAGGCCAGGGTGAAGCATGAGGGCTTCCAGATACTTTAGTGAAAGGTGAGTTCACCCTTTGTTCCAGGAGGTCACAGGGCCTACTCTGCTTGATTTTGGTAGGGGAAGGTCAGTGTAGCCCATTATTTTTATTGCAGCAACAGAAACTCTTGGAATGCCATCCTTTTTCTGCAGAGCTATAGAATACTTTAGAGAATATTACTGCGTTGAAAGTTATTTTATCAGATAATCCCAGTCAGTCACATGTCAGAACTAGCGCTCTCAACTCATTTCACCTGTAGTCAAATTAAGAACTATGTCCCTTCGGCTGGGCGCAGTGGCTCACGCCTGTAATCCCAGCACTGTGGGAGGCCGAGGAGGGCGGATCACAAGGTCAGGAGATCAAGACCATCCTGGCTAATATGGTGAAACCCCGTCTCTACTAAAAATACAAAAAATCAGCTGGGCGTGGTGGCGGGCACATGTAGTCCCAGCTACTTGGGAGGCTGAGGCAGGAGAATGGTGTGAACCTGGGAGGCGGAGCTTGCAGTGAGCCGAGACTGCGCCGCTGCACTCCAGCCTGGGTGACAGAGCGAGACTCCGTCTCAAAAAAAAAAAAAAAAAAAAAAAAGAACTATGTCCCTTGATATATTTGTATTTTCAGGAACTCTTAACATTCAGGGATGTGGCCATAGAATTCTCTCCAGAAGAGTGGAAATGCCTGGACCCTGACCAGCAGAATTTGTATAGAGATGTGATGTTGGAGAACTACAGGAACCTGGTCTCCCTGGGTGAGGATAACTTCAATACATAATTCCTAATTTTTCTCAGAGCTTTATTTTATTCCTTTGAAGAATTTCTCCTGGGAACTTTTATGTTTTATCTTTACATAAACCTTCTCTTTTCTTGAGCTAATTTGAGTCCTTCACTCTAGGTTAGTGGTAATTCTAGAAATTCAATGACATAAAATATTGTTTCCCACATCTTAAAATCCAATTTGCACCACTTATTTTTTATTCGGTAGTACTTGGTAGTGGAACTTAGAACCCGCAGATTTAAAATACTTAAATATTCTAAAGATTCTGTCAGGAAACAATTTTTGGATTAATTTTCTAGAATCTTCCATAATATCTCTATTCTGCTTAGCGTAGTACTAGGTTGGTAATTGGAGAATCCCCATCAATAGTCATGTTATTATTTTTTTTAAAATAAAACAGGTGTTGCTATCTCTAACCCAGACCTGGTCACCTGTCTGGAGCAAAGAAAAGAGCCCTACAATGTGAAGATACATAAGATCGTAGCCAGACCCCCAGGTAGGTGAGAGTGAATGGAGGAGAGGGCACAGGCAAGGGGACCAAAGGTCAAGAAGGAAGCCAGGCCTTAAAATGTGGTTTGGGGCCGGGTGCAGTGGCTCATGCCTGTAATCCAAGGACTTTGGGAGGCCGAGGCAGGCGGATCACGAGGTCAAGAGATCGAGATCATCCTGGCCAACATGGTGAAACCCCGTCTCTACTAAAAATACAAAAATTAGCTGGGCATGGTGGTGCGCACCTGGAGTCCCAGCTACTCGGGAGGCTGAAGCAGGAGAATCACTTGAACCCAGGAGGCGGAGGTTGCAGTGAGCCAAGATCACACCACTGCACTCCAGCCTGGTGACAGAGTTAGACTCCGTCTCAAAAAATAAAATAAAATAAAAAATAAACCAGGTAGTTTGGGAAGCTCTGCTCCAGTGAAAATAATTTCTGAAAAAGCTGCATTTTTTCTCATGTTCACAAATAGGGGCATCTTCTGTTCCATGCTGTTAAATCCAAGAATTCTCTTTTTTCTTTAGTGATCTCCCTTTAAGTTTACAGGGAGAGCTAATGTCCACTTTATCGCTTATAAGGGGCTGCATGATGTGACTGCTGTTCCATTGCTTTTGGAGACACTGGAATATTTGTGTTACTGAGGAGCTGTATGTCAAAGTATTTTTTTCAAGTATTCTTTTCGTATTATGTCTAAAATGTGTAACGTGAGTAGTGGACATAGTGGGATTTGGTTCAGAAATCCCAGGAACACCAAGGACAGATGTTGCCTCTTTTCTACTTAGTGTTTTTTAATCCTATGGAGGCTGCAAATGTAATTCTACAAAAATTCTTACTTAGCAATTTTATCAGAACAATAAGCATTTCCTAAATATGAAAAAAAGTAATGTTATTTTACTTCAAAATTACTGTTTTAGTATAAACTCGTTTGTAATGTAAACTCTATATGTGCAAATTTTGAAATTATAATATAGTTTAAAGCATGGATTTCCAACATTTTGGCTTCCCTGGGCCACATTGGAAGAAGAATTGTCTTGGGCCACACATAAAATACACTAACACTAATGATAGCTGATGAGCTCGGATCATCTGAGATCGGGAGTACAAGACTAGCCTGACTAACATGGAGAAACCCTGTCTCTACTAAAAATACAAAATTAGCTGGGCGTGGTGGTGCATTCCTGTAATCCCATCTACTTGGGAGGCTGAGGCAGGAGAATTGCTTGAACCCAGGAGACGGAGGTTGCGGTTTGCCGAGATTTTGCCATTGCACTCCAGCCTGGGCAACAAGAGTGAAACTCTGTCTCCAAAAAAAAAAAAAAAAAAAAAGTTTTTGAAAAATTTTTGTGATATCCTCCACCACAGAAGATAAGCAAAAAAAGTCCTTGCATTCAAAGGGTTGGAAACCACTGGATTAAAGTATCTACTCACCTTCTATATTTCTTAAATGCACTGTATCATTAACAAGCATAAATGTGCTATGTCATTAACCAGCATAGAACATTACTAAGTGTATATTAAGCTCTCAATTGTTCTCTTATTTGTTAATAGCTATTATAATTTTGTCTTAGTAGGAAGTCTGTTGAGATTCTGTCATTGAGATGTATCTCTCTGTAGCTATATAAAAATGTGTGTCTCACACACACACCTATATAACTTATTTAAGTGTGTAGTAAATTCTCACTTAACATTGTTGATAGGTTCTTGGAAACTGAGGGAAGCAACATATTAAGAAAACTAATTTTACCAGAGTTTAATTGATAACCAGAGTTTAAAAGATAACGAGTTATGTTTGAATGGCATATAGCAACATTATTTCATTTAACAATGCAGTTTTTAAGAACCTAATTTGAACATTAAGTGAGGACTTACTGTACATCTGTGTTTGTGTGACATGGATTTTTCTGATAAATAAAAATTATGTAACTTTATATTTAATGTGTACAATGTAATGATTTGATATGCATCTACATTGTGAAACAATATAGTCAAGTTCATGAAGAAATCTATTACTTCACCTAGATAACCATTTTGTTTGGTAGTAAGAACACTTAAGGCCTACTGTTGTAGCAAATTTAAAGCATACATTATAGTATTAACTATGAATACAATGCTATTTTGGTAATCTAATGCTAATATACATTAGGTTTCTCAGATTTACTCAACTTATAACTAAAAATTTGTGCTCTTGAACAACATCTCATATTCCCACCCTAGGCACTAACAACTACCATTCTGCTCTCTGCTTCTATGAGTTTACGCTTTTAGATTTCCTATCTAACTGAGAAAATTTAGTTTCTTTGTCTTTCCGTGTTTGGCTTATTTCATTTAGCATAATGCCCTCCAGGTCTATCCATGTTGTAAATGGCTAGATTTCCTTCTCTTTTATGGTTGAATAGTGTCCTGTGTATGTGTGTGTATATATATATGTATATACATGTATGTATATATATGTATACACACACACACACACCGCCCCCCCCATATATTGGCTACTGTAAACGGTACTACAATAAACATGGAGGGGAAGATAGTTCTTTGAGGTACTAATTTTATTTCCTTTGGTAGTATGCCCAGAAGTGGTATTGCTGGATTATATGATACTTCTAGTTTTATTCTTTTTTTTTTTTTTTGAGATGGAGTTTCACTCTTGTTGCCCAGGCTGGAGTGCAGTGGCACGCTGTTGGCTCACCACAGCCTCTGGGTCCTGGGTTCAAGCAATTCTCCTGCCTCAGCCTCCGAAGTAGCTGGAATTACAGGCATGTACCACCATGCCTGGCTAATTTTGTATTTTTAATAGAGACGGAGTTTCTCCACGTTGGTCAGGCTAGTCTCGAACTCCCGACCTCAGGTGATCCACCCGTCTCAGCCTCCCAAAGTGCTGGGATTACAGGAGTGAGACACCACGCCCGGCCAAGTTTTTTTTTTTTTTTTTTGAGACTGAGTCTCTCTCTGTCGCCCAGGCTGGAGTACAGTGGCAGGATCTCGGCTCACTGCAAGCTCCGCCTCCTGGGTTCACGCCATTCTCCTGCCTCAGCCTCCCGAGTAGCTGGGACTACAGGCGCCTTCCACCACACCCAGCTAATTTTTTGTATTTTTAGTAGAGACAGGGTTTCGCTGTGTTAGCCAGGATGGTCTTGGTCTCCTGATCTCATGATCCGCCTGCCTCGGCCTCCCAAAGTGCTGGGATTACAGGCGTGAGCCAAGGAGCCCGGCCGCGCCCAGCCTAGTTTTATTCTTTACTGTATTTTTGTAAGTTTATCAATTTGCATCTCACCACCAGCATACAAGATTTCCCTTGTATGTATTTCTTCTTTGGGAAAAAAAAAAAATCTAACCTTTTGCCTATTTTCGAATGGGTTATTCATTATTATTGTTTTGCTTTTTTGCTTTGAATTGCAGAAGTTTGTTACACATTTTGGATATTAACTTTTTTTTTTTTTTGGAGACAGAATTTCTGTCGCCCGAGCTGAAGTGCAGTGGCACGATCTTTGCTCACTGCAACCTCTGTCTCTCGGGTTCAAGCGATTCTCCTGCCTCAGCCTCCCGAGTAGCTGGGATTACAGGCACGTGCCACCATGCCCAGCTAATTTTTTGTATTTTTAGTAGAGACGAGGTTTCACTGTGTTAGCCAAGATGGTCTCGATCTCCTGATCTCATGATCTGCCTGCCTCGGCCTCCCAAAGTGCTGAGATTACAGGCCTGAGCCACCACACCCAGCTGGATATTAACTTATCAGATATGGCTTGCAAATGCTTTTCTATTTTGTAGGGTTTTTAAAAATTTTGTTTTTATTTTTTCCTTTGATGTGCAGAGGCTGTTTACTTTGATGCAGTCTCACTTGTTTATATTTTATTTTGTTGCTGTGCTGTTGATGTCATTTCAAAAAAAGTTATTGCCGAGACCAATATCAACAAGGTTTTTCCATATGTTTTCTTCATGAGTTTTAAGATTTCATGTCTTAATTTCAGTCTTTGTTTTGAAGTCTGAAATTAGAAAGCATGATGCCTGCCAGACAAGGTGGCTCACACCTGTAATCCCAGCACCTTGGGAGGCCGAGGTGGGCGGATCACTTGAGATCAGGAGTTCAAGACTAGCCTGGCCAATATGGTGAAACCCTGTCTCTACTAAAAATATACAAAAACTAGCTAGGGGTGGTAGTGGGCGCTTGTAATCCCAGCTACTCGGGAAGCTGAGGCAGGAGAATCACTTGAACCCAAGAGGCAGAGGTTTCAGTGAGCCTAGATCACTGAACCTAGATTGTGCCACTGCACTCCAGCCTGGGTGACAGAGCTGGACTCCATCTCAAAAAAAAAAAAAAAACAAGTATGATGCCCCCAGCTTTGTTCTTTCTCAAGATTGATTGCTCAGGTTATTAAAAGTCGTTTAAGGTTACACCTAAATTTTACAATTGTGTTTTCTATTAGTGTGAAAAATGCCAATAAAATTTTGATAGGGATCACATTGAATCTATAGATCACTTTGGATAATATTCTTTGACAATATTAGTTATCCTAATGGAATATGTTTCCATTTATTTGTTTCTACTTCACTTTCTGTCATTGATATCTTATTGTATTTAGTGTATAATACTATATGTTTTTTATGTCATTTGGTTAAATTTATTTTGATTAACTTTCTTATTTTTATACTATTGCAAATGGAAATGGTTTCTATTTTTGGAAAGTTTGTTTTTACTCTATGGAAATGCAAGAAATATTTGTATGTGGTGCCAGGTGCAGTGGCTCATTTCTGTGATCCCAGCACTTTCAGAGCCCAAGGCAGTTGTATCATGTGAGTACAGGAGTTTGAGATAAGCCTGGGCAATAGAGTGAGGCCCTGTCTCAAAAAAAAAAAAATCCCAACAAGCATCTATATGTTGATTATGTATCCTGATACTTTAATGAATGCATTTATTAGTTCAATCAATTTTTCTTATTTTACTCTAGGGTTTTATGTATATGCATGATGATATTATCCACAAACAGTAACTTTTTTATTTCTTTTCCACTCTGGAGAGCTTTATTCTCCTTTTCCTTGTCTAATTGTTTTGATACAAACTTCCAGTCACATGTTAAGATAGAAGCTGTGGCCCTGGAGGCAGGCCTGCAAGTCTTGTCCCCGGCTGTGGTCTCTGAAGCAGCCCTGTGTCTGCATTTGACAAATTTCACAGTTTGTATAAACTATTTTTGGCAGGTAAAGATCTCCTTTTGTTGAGTCCCAGGCTGATGAGATTACCTCTGGGGTTGCAGAGAAGAAGGGTTGTAGCTGGGTCACAAGGGTGCTGCTGGGTCTGCTGTGGGGTCTGCCTTTGATGATTGTATTACCAGAGATTTGGACAGTCATGGATTATTTCTGGGCCCTGGAGAGATTAGATTTCCTTGAGGATATTAATCTATATGGCAGGCAGTAGACTAGGGTTTTGAAGTTTGTCTGCATATGATGGGCCAAATACCAGGTGTATGAATGGGTTTGGCTTCTACTGACAACCTGGGAACAGTTTCCACACTTTTCTCTTTGGGTCCCTGATTGTGTACAACTGGCCATGGACTGTGACTGTGAGGGCTAGAACTGAGTCACAGGGCTCAGGAGCACAGCTGAGGCCAGGATATACAGGCCTGCCTCCAGGGCCATGGCTGGGTGTGTATCTCCCTGCAGGTCTCTTGATGGGAAGGACCACGTCTGGACTGTAGCTGAGATTGAATTTGAGAGAGGTTACAGAACTGCTTCAGAATCCTCAGTAAGACCAAGCTCAGTGTGCCATTTCCTTGTCTGTAGCCATGTCTATGGGCTCTTGAGTTGGCCATCTGAGTGAGGGCCTGCTTATTCTAAATAACCCTCGATCTCTGGCTCCACTGAGGTTTCACAACCCTAACCATAGGCAAGCACCTTTCTACTTCTGCTTTCTATGTGCTTACTACTTAAAATATTGTATAAAAATGGAATCATGCATTGTCACTTTGTTAGCGTCTTATTTCACTAAAATAATGGCCTCAGGATTTATCCTTATTGTAGCATCTGACAAGACATTTTCATTTGAAGCTAAAGAATATTTCATTGCGTGTATAAGCCACATCTTTTAAAATCTTTCATTCATTGAAGGATGTTTGAATTTTTTCACTTTTTCACTTTTGTAAATTATACGGTTTGGATCTATGTCCCCATTCAAATCTCATGTCAAATGTAATCCCTATTGTTGGAGGTGGGGCCTTGAGGGAGATGATTGGATCGTAGGGTTGGCTTTTCATGAATAGTTTAGTACCAGCCCCTTTGGTACTGTCTTTGCCATAGTGAGTGAGTTCTCCCGAGATCTTATTTTTTATTTATTTATTTTTTGAGATGGAGTCTCGCTCTGTGGCTCAGGCTGGAGTGCAGTGGCATGATCTCGGCTCACCGCAAGCTCCACCTCACGGGTTCATGCCATTCTCCTGCCTCAACCTCCAGAGTAGCTGGGATTACAGGTGCTTGCCACCATGCCCGGCTAATTTTTTGTACTTTTTTTTTTTTTTAGTAGAGACGGGGTTTCACCATGTTAGCCAGGATGGTTTGGATCTCCTGACCTCATGATCCGTCCACCTCAGCCTCCCAAAGTGCTGGGATTACAGGCGTGAGCCACCGCGCCCGGCCTGAGATCTTATTTTTTAAAAGCATGTGGCACCTCCCCTCTCACTCTTGTCTTGCTCCTGTTCCCACTGTGTGAGATGACTCACTCTCCCTTTGCTTTGTGCCGTGACTGGAAGCTTTCTGAGGCCTCCCCAAAAGTAGAAGCTGCTGTGCTTCCTGTACAGCCTTCAGAACTATGAGCCAGTTAAACCTTTTTTTTTTTTTTTGAGACAGAGTCTCGCTCTGCCACTCAGGCTGGAGTACAGTGGCGCGATCTCGGCTCACTGCAATGTCCGCCTCCCAGGTTCAACTTATTCTCCTGCCTCAGCCTCCCGAGTAGCTGGGACTACAGGTGCCTGCCACCAAGCCTGGCTAATTTTTTTAATTTTTAGTAGGGGCGGGGTTTTACCATGTTAGCCAGGTGGTCTCCTGACCTCATGATCCGCCCCTCGGCCTCCAAAAGTGCTGAGATTACAGGCGTGAGCAACCATGCCTGGCCGGAGAAACATTTATACTTCCATATACTTGTTGAAGTATAAAATGTAAGTGCCTTACAATTTTCTTTCCTCCTAAAACATAAGCACTGAGTTTGAGGCATTTTCCTGGATTTTTCAACCACTGAGTTCTTTTTATATAAAACTAAGTGAATAACCTTGACTGGGAATCCGAGACCTAAGCCTGTTGACTGCAGGGTAAGGTCAATCTTGATTCTGCCAAAGCAGGTCATCAATAGCCCCGTAATGTGTTGCTGGTGAACCTTTCTTTCAGGTGTCTCAGCCTGCTCAAATTAGACAGGGAAGGAGCCCTGGAAAGCTGGGTATCCACAGGCAGAGGCAGTGAGGGTTTGGATGAGAGGAGGTTGTGATATCCTCTGAGAGGGTGTAATTGTTATTGTCATGGGGCTGTTTCTACATATTGTCAAGTAAAATAAATTTTGATGTAGGTAAGAAGTGAGTTTATTCTAAGGAGTATTGCAGTGGGGAAAGCATCAAGCATAAGACCTGAAGTCATCTCCAAAATGAGGCAGAAAAAGGCTATTTTTCATACAGAGGAGCAAACAAGATTAGAAACAAGGTAGGAGGGCCAGGCATGGTGGCTCACGCCTGTAATCCCAGCACTTTGGGAGGCCGAGACGGGCATATCAGGAGGTCAAGAGATGGAGACAATCCTGGCCAACATGGTGAAACCCCATCTCTACTAAAAATACAAAAAATTAGCCGGGCGTGGTGGTGGGCACCTGTAGTCCCAGCTACTCAGAAGGCTGAGGCAGGAGAATCACTTGAACCCGGGAGGCGGAGGCTGCAGTGAGCCAAGACTATACCACTGCGCTCCAGCCTGGTGACAGAGCGAGACTCCGTCTCAAAAAAAAAGAGGAAGGTGGGAGAGGGAGAAGGCAGAATGGAGAATGGCAAAATCAGATTCAGGATTGGAGAATGTTTCACCCTGAAGTCAGCCTGTTCTTGGGAGGGGCATCAAGAGGGGTTGTATGCTAGCTCAGACTGAAGGTGGAGCAGAGTCCAGGGGCCTGGGGGAATGTAGAGTTTGTGAATTTGTGATATCTAAGAGGGAGCATCTTCAAAATCATAGTGAAAAGGGTATTTCTTTGCAATAAGCGTTTCTTGCGGATCACAAAGGATTGGAGAGACCTTAGTCATAGCTATTTACCAAGATTCACTACCCACCTCATCTTTTCCCCCACTTTCCTTTGTCCTATACATTTTTTCCCTTTGGCTTTTACTGAGCTGTATTCAATATAATAACCTGGAAAACATATAAATCGTTTTTGCTAAGTTCTGTGAGTAGTTTTATCAAATTATTAAATTTGAGGGAGGGAGTTAGGGAAGCCCATGATTTATAGTCAGTTGCTCAGAAGTGTAGGTGGGCCCCTGGAGTTTGTGACTGGCATGTGCAGCGGAAGCAGTGTTGTGGAACTGGGTCTGAACTTGTGGGGTCTGTGCTGACCCTGGGTGTTGTCAGAATTGAGTTGTTGGGCACCCAGTTTGTGTTGGAGGATTGGTTGGTGTTCAGCAAACTCCATATATTTGGTGTTGGAATAAAGATAATCAGGCTGGATGTGGTGGCTCACGCCTGTAATCCTAGCACTTTGGAAGGACGAGGAGTGCAGATGGCTTGAGGTCAGGAATTCAGCACCAGCCTGGGCAACCTGGTGAAATCCCACCTCTACCAAAAATACAGAAAGTTAGCCAGGCATGGTGGCACGAACTTGTATTCCCAGCTACTTGGGGGACTGAGTCTGGAGGATTGCTTGAACCCTCAGAGGTCAAGGCTGCTGTGACCTGAGATCATGCCAGTGCACTCCAGCCTGAGTGACAAAGTGAGACCCTGTCTAAAAAAAAAAAAAATCACAGCAGACTTGGTCAGAAGGAGATGGTGGGTCTGTTGAAGAATGGAGAGTTTATTAATTTATTATTATTATTATTATTTTTTTTTTTTTGGAGACAGAGTCTCACTCTCGTCCAGGCTGGAGTGCAGTGGCGAGATCTCGGCTCACTGCAACCTCCACCTCCTGAATTCAAGTGATTTTCCTGCCTCAGCCTCTCAAGTAGCTGGGACTACAGGTGTGTGCCACCATGCCTGGCTAATTTTTTGTATTTTTAGTAGAGACGAGGTTTCACCATGTTGGCCAGGCTAGTCTGGAACTCCTGACCTCAGGTGATCCCTCCACCTTGGCCTCCCAAAATGCTAGGATTACAAGCATGAGCCACCACTCCCCGCTGAGAGTTTTACTTCTTTTGCACACAAGTTGTCACAGTTAGGTGTAATGTGATTCTACGTCTCCTCCATAGGGGACTGAGGACTTAAAGGGAAGGACTTCTGAGGGCAGACTCTTCTCTCCACCTGCTGCTACAATGTGATTTCTGCTCATTCACACACATGCACGCTAAGCAATGGTATGGCCGTGCTTCTCTCATGACAAAGCTTCACTCAGGAATTGTGCTGAGAGCACCTCTGCTTCTAGGGTTTTCCACTAATAGGCTACATAAGTGCCCAGAAGACTCATGGGCTCTTTCTACCTGCCAGATCTTGAATCTGCACCAGTAACCTGTTTTCTCCAGTAGAATAGGCTTCTGGATCACCTGACCATCTCATCTCCCTGTATGCACACATTTATAAGTCAGAGGTGCCCTGCCTGGGTGAATATCTAGAGCACTAACCAGTCCTTTTACCAACTGTGCACTGATCCTCACCCATGGTTCTTGATAGCACCTTTTCTTATTCTGCATTTTCCCCCCACAGACCCTCTCTCATGTGAACACAGCATGCCCAAGGTCACCCTGCAGGTGCCTAAGTCCAGGGCCTGCTGGAAATCAGGTTTCTATGAGTTCAAGGCAAAGTTTTTGGGTGTGGTTATTGTAAATGTAAATGCAAAATAGAAATAAGAGGCTTAATCCTCACATTGGAAAATAAAGAGTATTTACTCTCCTCCCTTTTCTTAAAACCTTTGATTTAGAAAACTTTTATATGTAAATTCTTTCTGTGCCTTTTATCTTTTTTGTTGTCTTTTAATTCTCTAATTTGTTTCTGGTCTGATTTTTGTTATTTTGTTTATTATGCTAACATTGGGATTATTTAGTTATTTTTCAAGTTTTTGAGGATTAAAGTTGGTTTATTTGAGATTTTTAAAATATAAAATATATTACTATAAAATTCCCAGAACTGCTTTTGTTACATTCATTTTTATATATTATGATTCTATTTTCATTTTTCTCAAATACTTTATGATTTCCTTTTACCTTCTTTGACCCATTGGTTGTTCAGAAGCATGTTGTTTAATATCCATTTATTTGTAAGTTTTAAAATTTCCTTCCGGTGTTGATTTCTAGTTTTATAAAATTGTGATTTAAAAACTTGATATGATTTCAGTCTGTTTAAAAATGAAAAGACTTGTTTATTTTTGTTGTGGGCCAGATTTATGACAGGTCTTGGAGAGTGTTCCATGTGTGTTTGAGAAGAATATAAATTATACTGTTACTATCATATTTGTTTTTTTCTCCAGTTTAGTTAACATATGTTTATATATTTGTGTGCTCCAATATTGGATACATAAATATTTTTAATCGTTATATTCTTTTGACAAATTAGCCTCATCACTATATAATGAAGTTTTTTTAATGACGAATTTTTTTCTTTATTTTATTTTATTTATTTATTTATTTATTTTTTGAGACAGTCTCACTCCGTCACCCAGGCTGGAGTGCAGTGGTGCAATCTTGGTTCACCACAACCTCGGTTCACCACAACCTCTGCCTCCCAGGTTCAAGCAATTCACCTGCCTCAGCCTCCCTAGTAGCTGGGATTACAGGTGCCCACCATCACGTCTGGCTAATTTTTGTATTTTTAGTAGAGACAGGGTTTCACCATGTTGGCCAGGCTGGTCTCGAACTCCTGATTGCAGGTGATTCTGCTGCCTGGGCCTCCCAAAGTGTTGGGATTACAGGTATGAGCCATCGTGCCCAGCTATGACAGATTTTTTTCTAGATGTCTATTTAGTCTCATATAAATATAGGCATTCCTACACTTTTTAAGTTATTATTGGCATGGAATATTCTTTTCATTTTTGAATCGTTAACCTATGTATTTCCTTAAATCTACAGTAAGTCTCTAGTTTGCAGCATATTGTTGATTTTTAAAATCGATTCAGACATTCTGTGAATGTTTTAGATTGTTTTTTGCTTAATAACAATATTCTAGGGTTGGTAATTTATAAAGAATAGAAGTTTACTTAGCTCACAATCCTGGATGCTGAGATGTCCGAGAGCATGTCATTCCCACCTCATGAGAATCACATTTCCACATCACAACATGACCAAAGTCTTGAGGATGATGGAAGGTGTACACCAGAGCTCACTTTTGTAATAGACCCACTCTCATGATGACTAACGCACTCTTAGAATTATAATACTAGGCTGGGCACAGTGGCTTACACCTGTAATCCCGGCACTTTGGGAGGCTGAGGCGGGTGGATCACAGGTCACGAGTTTGAGACCAGCCTGGCCAAGATAGTGAAACCCCCATCTCTACTAAAATGACAAAAACTAGCCGGGTGCGGTGGCGGCTGCCTGTAATCCCAGCTACTCAGGAGGCTGAGGCAGGAGAATCTCTTGAACCTGGGAGGCAGAGGTTGCAGTGAGCCGAGATCATGCCACCGCACTCCAGCCTGGGTGACACAGCAAGGCTCCGTCTCAAAAAAAAAAAAAAAAGAATAATACTATTAATCCTTTCATAAAAGTAGAGCCCTCATGACCTAATAACTTCTTAAAGGCCTCACTTCTTATTTGTTTGTTTGTTTTTTGAGACAGAGTCTTGTTCTGTCACCCAGGCTGGAGTACAGTGGAGTACAGTGATCTCAGCTCACTGCAACCTTCACCTCCCAGATTCAAGCGATTCTCCTGCCTCAGCCTCCCCAGTAGCTTGGACTACAGGCGCGTGCCACCACACCCGGTTAATTGTCTGTATTTTTTGTAGAGTTGGGGTTTCACTGTGTTTCAATCTCTTGACCTCGTGATCCTCCCGCCTCAGCCTCCCAAAGTGCTGGAATTAGAGGTGTGAGCCACCGCACCCGACCAAGGCCTCACTTAATTTTATCACAATGGCAGTTAAATTTTAACACGAATTTTGAGGGGACACTAAAACCATAGCAGTGTGTTTTTATTGCATAGCTAAATCTTTCTATATTTAAATGAATTACCGATTGATAAGAACTTATTACTGCCATTTTATTCATTGTTTACTGACCATTTAGTGGTTTCTGTTTTTTAATTCCTTCATGCTGTCATCTTTTGTGTTTTCTTGAATTTTTGTTTTGTTTTTGTTGCCTTCTTTTTCTTGTATGTGCATCTACTAGTTTTTTTTTTGTAATTTCCAAGAGACTTACATGAAACCTCTCATTTTAAAATTTTGCCTTCAATTTAACCTTTTGTTTTGTACAGATAGGGTCTTACTTTGTTACTCAGGCTATAGTTCAGTGGTGCATTCACAGTTGAGTGCAGCCTCAACCTTTGTGGGCTCAAGCAATCCTCCCATCTCAGCCTCTTGAGTAGCTGGAACTACAAGCACATGCCACCATATTCAGCTAATTTTGTCAGTGCTTTTTGTAGAGACGGGGTTTTGCCATGTTGCTCAGGCTGGTCTTGAACTCCTGACCTCAAGCACTTGATTTGACCTCCCAATGTACTAGGATTACAGGCATGAGCCATCAGGCCCAGTCATTTCTTTTTTTAAAAGATTGAATAGCTTTCTGAGATCTTTATTTTATTTATGTATTTATTTTAGAGACAGCGTCCTGCTATATTGACCCAGGAGGTGGAGGTTGCAGTGAGCCGAGATGTCACCACTGCACTCCAGCCTGAGTGATAGAGTGAGACTCTGTCTCAAAAAAAAAAAAAAAAGAATCTCTCTTTGTCTTTGAATTCTGGCAGTTTAATTATAATGTGTCCTGAGCAATTTTTATGAGGTTCTTGCTATAGAGATTTTAAGCTTCATAAAACTGAATGTCTATTTTCCTTCCAAGATTGGGAAAATTTAAGACATTATACCTTTACACAATTAAAAAAATTTTTTTTTCTCTGTCTCCTGAACCTCTTAAGAGATGTACATTCCTACAGATAATTATGCAGTGTGGGACCCAAATGCTTCAGTCACTCTTTCTTTTTTCTTTTTTCTTTTTTTTTTTTTTTTTGAGACAGAGTCTCACTCTGTTGCCCAGGCTGGAGTGCAGTGGCACGATCTTGGCTCACTGCAGCTTGCGCCTCCCGGATTCAAGCAATTCTCTACCTTAGTCTCCTGAGTAGCTGGGACTATAGGCGCGCGCCACCACGCCCGACTAATTTTTTCTTTTTTTCTTTTTGTATTTGTAGTAGAGACAGGATTTCGCCATGTTGGCCAGGATGGTCTCGATTTCCTGACTTCGTGATTCGCCCGCCTCAGCCTCCCGAAGTGCTGGGATTACAGGCATGAGCCACCATGCCTGGCCTCATTCTTTAAGTTTTAATTAGGAACTTTCAAATGACTTACTTTTAAGTTTGCTTATTTTTTTTTCCTGTAGAACTGAGTCTTCTGTTAAAGCTTGTTGTTAAATTTTTTAGTTCTATTGTGTACTCCAGCATATGTATTTGGTTCTTTTTTAAGTTTCTCGTTCTTTTTTTTTTTTTTTTTTTTAAAGATGGAGTTTCGCTCTTGTCACCCAGACTGGAGTGCAATGGCACGATCTTGGCTGACTGCAACCTCTACCTCCCGAGTTCAAGTGATTCTCCTGCCTCCGCCTCCCAAGTAGCTGGGATTAGTCATGAGCCACCACACCTGGCTAATTTTTATATTTTTAGTAGAGATGGGGTTTCACCATGTTGGCCAGGCTGGTCTCGAACTCCTGACCTCAAGTGATCCGCCTGCCTCAGCCTCCTGAAGTGCTGGGATTACAGGTGTGAGCCATTGTGCCCAGCTCTCCTTCTTTTTTATAACTCATTTTGTTCATGCATTGTTGCAAAAAAAAATTAGTAATCTGTGTACTTTTGCATTTTATTTTTCTTTTGTTGTTTTTTTGTTTGATTGTTTGAGATGGAGTCTTGTTCTGTTGCCAAGCTGGAGTTCAGTGGTTCAGTCTCGGCTCACTGCAACCTCCGCCTCCCGGGTTCAAGCAATTCTCCTGTCTCAGCCTCCCAAGTAGCTAAGATTACAGGAATGTGCCACCACACCTGGCTAATTTTTGTATTTTTAGTAGAGACGGTTTCACCATGTTGGCCAGGATGGTCACGATCTCCTGACCTTGTGATCCATCCGCCTCGGCCTCCCAAAGTGCTGGGATTACAGGTGTGAGCCTCCTCGCCTGGACTCTTATTGAGATTTTTTAAGATAATTACTTTGAATTCTCTGTTAGACATTTTCTAGATCTGTGTTTTATTGTTAGTTGTTCCTGGAGCATTTTTAGTTTCTTTTTGTGCTGTTAGGTTTGCCTGATCCTTCATAATCTGTGAAGCCTTGTTTTGATGTTCTTGCATCTGAAGGAGTAAATACTTCTTTCAGTCATTACAGACTAGTTTAGGGAGGTAAATATCTTCTATTGGTTTTCTGGGCTGATGAGATTTTCACTAGGATCACAGTCAACTGCATTGGATCCTGGTCACGTAACTACTACTGGGTCTACAGTGAAGTTAATGCTTGGCAGACCTGTTATTTAAGCATCAGACAGTTGAGGATTCCATTTTCTGAGGAGACTGAACTTTCTTTAAGATCTTGATCAATAAGACTGGTGCTGAGAAAAAAAAAACCCAGTTAATATCTGCAAATGGAGATGCTGATACAATAAATATGAGTAGGTGTGGCTCCTGCTGTTTGGCTCTTGCGAGATGTTTGGAAATGCTCTAACCTAGTCATTGGACAGGTTTCTAGATGACCGTTACTGAGCGTTGATCACAGCTGAGAGGGTGTGAAACTAATTCATAGGGCTGCTTCAGGATACACAGCTGAGACCAAAGTCTTCAGGTTTGTTCTGGGTTCATGACATTTCTCCCTCCAGATTTCTAGGTGGGCAGGACTTCTCCCTGCCTCTAGCTGCCAGGGACTGGAGCTTGGTTATAGGACTGCTTCACAATTCACGGTGGGAATAAAGTCAGCCAGCATGCCTACAGGGACACATGTAGCTGTGCTTTTGGGCAGGTCACAGGTCAGGAAAAACTCCTCCTGGATTTTGGTTGCATGGACTTGGAGCCAAGTTGTAGTGCCACGTCAAGATCCACCATCAAATAAATATTGGCAAGCCTACATCCAGGGGCAGAGATGGATATTTCTGTCTGTGGGTCCCTGTGTGAGTAGGATTTCTTCCACATCATGACTGACATGTGCAAGGGGTGCAGTTTGGGGTAATTCAGAGATCACAGACAGAAGCAACATCTAAAGGCCTTTCACCTGAGACACAGGACATTATGAATCCTCCTAAGTGTCTTGGCAGATGGTGCTAGTGGCATAAACAAAACCAAATGATAGCTATGTTTACAATGAGAATTAATTACATTTCATTCTGTATTGTGGGCAAGCATGCCACTCAAGCAAGGGCACACCCTCTCAATACAGCCCTCCTCAGTCTTCGGTTCGCAGTCTTACACATGGATTCCAAAGTTGCCGTAAAGGTTGTTTTGTCAGGGCTTAACTGCTGCATTTTTGTTACTGTAGAAAGTGTGGGTAGGGAGCCTCCTATTCTGCCATCTTGCTATGCCATATGTTCCGATATGTTCTATGTCAAATTTATCTGATTACAGATTCAGAATTTCTGAAATAAAGTACTCAGATTTACACATTGTGTAATAAGTAAATGTATTGCAATGCTTCATTCTCATTAGAGCATTTTATTAATTATTGAAATGCATTTGCTTTTATTGCGGCGCATGGCATGTCAAAGATTCAAAATGCCAGCTCTTCATAAGTCACAGTTGAAAACTAGTTATTTAAAGGATTGTTTTTATGATACGTCTGTATTATATTCAATATTTTATAGGTCAGAATTTTCTCTTGTTTTCAACTGTATTTTACTGGGGAGTCTCTTTTCATGTAGGTTCTCCTTGATCATTTACTTTTTTGTGTGTTTTTAATCTTCATATTTGTATGGTAATTTTCAACTTTGTACCTTTTATGACCATGTATTGTTTAATTCCAATAAAAATCATTGGAGCAAGTTAAAAAAATATACATAAATATATATGTGACATTTCTGTTGCCTATAAAAGTTATCTATGTGGTATTTGCCTGCAAAAATCACTTTGGGCAAATTTTAAAAAATATATAAATGCGAATTTTCTATTGCCTATAAAAGTTTTCTATATGGTATTTGCCTGTATAAATATTGACCTACTTTGTTTATAAATTACTCATTTTCTTGGGTAGTCATCAGTATTTCCTTGTGTAGATGAGCAGTCAAAGAAACTGTAAATTTACCATCTATTTATTGTTTGATTATATATTATTCTGTGAGAGAAGCACTTGTTATTTGAAGGTGATTTTTGAAAAATGTAACCGTTTTAGGTAGATGTAAATATTTAATTGTGATGAAAAACATAAAATTGCCATCTTAAACATTTTCAAGTACAGTCTAGTGGAGCTAAGTACATTTACATTATTTTGCAATGGATCTTTAGATTAATTTTATCTTACGAAAGTAAAATGTAATAATAAATAAACTGCCCTTTTCCTCTCTTCAGCTCTTGGAAAACACCATTTTACTTACTGTTTCTATACTTTTGGCTGATTTTTATATTTGTATCACTATAATTATATAATGTCTCTTTTTGACTATTTTTTTTAACGGAATGATCTCAGGCTTTGTTTTTGTAAGATGTGTCAGAATATCTTTCTGTTTTTTTTTTTTTTTAAGTTCTAGGGTACATGTGCATAACGTGCAGGTTTGTTACATATGTATACATGTGCCATGTTGGTGTGCTGCACCCATTAACTTGTCATTTACATTAGGTATATCTCCTAATGTTATCCCTCTCCCCGCCCAACCCCACGACAGGCCCCGGTGTGTGACGTTCCCCACCCTGTGTTTGAGTGTTCTCATTGTTCAATTCCCACCTGTGAGTGAGAACATGCGGTGTTTGGTTTTCTGTCTTTGTGATAGTTTGCTCAGAATGATGGTTTCCATCTTCATCCATGTCCCTACAAAGGACAAGAACTCATCCTTTTTTATGGCTGCATAGTATTCCATGGTGTATATGTGCCACGTTTTCTTAATCCAGTCTATCATTGATGGACATTTGCGTTGGTTCCAAGTCTTTGCTATTGTGAATAGTGCCGCAGTAAACATACATGTGCATGTGTCTTTATAGCAGCATGATTTATAGTCCTTTGGGTATATACCCATTAATAGGATGGCTGGGTCAAATGGTATTTCTAGTTCTAAATCCTTGAGGAATTGCCACACTGTCTTCCACAATGGTTGAACTAGTTTACAGTCCCATCAACAGTGTAAAAGTGTTCCTATTTCTCCACATCCTCTCCAGCACCTGTTGTTTCCTGACTTTTTAATGATTGCCATTCTAACTGGTGTGAGATGGTATCTCATTGTAGTTTTGATTTGCATTTCTCTGATGGCCAGTGATGATGAGCATTTTTTCATGTGTCTTTTGGTTGCCTAAATGTCTTCTTTTGAGAAGTGTCTGTTCATATCCTTTGCCCACTTTTTGATAGGGTTGTTTGATTTCTTCTTGTAAATTTGTTTGAATTCTTTGTAGATTCTGGTTATTAGCCCTTTGTTGGATGGGTAGATTGTAAAAATTTTCTCCCATTCTGTAGGTTGCCTGTTCACTCTGATGGTAGTTTCTTTTGCTGTGCAGAAGCTCTTTTGTTTAATTAGATTCCATTTGTCAATTTTGGCTTTTCTTGCCATTGCTTTTGGTGTTTTAGTCATGAAGTACTTGCCCATGCCTGTGTCCTAAATGGTATTGCCTAGGTTTTCTTCTAGGGTTTTTATGGTTATAGGTCTAACATTTAAGTCTTTAATCCATCTTGAATTAATTTTTGTATAAGGCGTAAGGAAGGGATCCAATTTCAGCTTTTACATATGGCTAGCCAGTTTTCCCAGCACCATTTATTAAATAGGGAGTCCTTCCCCCATTTCTTGTTTTTGTCACATTTGTCAAAGATCAGATGGTTGTAGATGTGTGGTATTATTTCTGAGGGCTCTGTTCTGTTCCATTGGTCTATATCTCTGTTTTGGTACCAGTACCATGCTGTTTTGGTTACTGTAGCCTTGTAGCATGATTTGAAGTCAGGTAGCGTGATGCCTCCAGCTTTGTTCTTTTGGCTTAGGATTGTCTTGGCAATGCAGGCTCTTTTTTGGTTCCATATGAACTTTAAAGTAGTTTTTTCCAGTTCTGTGAAGAAAGTCATTGGTAGCTTGATGAGGATGGCATTGAATCTATAAATTACCTTGGGCAGTATGGCCATTTTCATGATATTGATTCTTCCTATCCATGAGCATGGAATGTTGTTCCATTTGTTTGCGTCCTCTTTTATTTCATTGAGCAGTGGTTTGTAGTTCTCCTTGAAGAGGTCCTTCACATCCCTTGTAAGTTGGATTCCTATGTATTTTATTGTCTTTGAAGCAATTGTGAATAGGAGTTCACTCATGATTTGGCTCTCTGTCTGTTACTGGTGTTATAGGAATGCTCGTGATTTTTGCACATTGATTTTGTGTCCTGAGACTTTGCTGAAGTTGCTTATCAGCTTGAGATTTTGGGCTGAGACGATGGGGTTTTCTAAATACACAATCATGTCATCTGCAAACAGGGACAATTTGACTTCCTCTTTTCCTAATTGAATACCCTTTATTTCTTTTCTCCTGCATGATTGCCCTGGCCAGAACTTCCAACACTATGTTGAATAGGAGTGGTGAGAGAAGGCATCCCTGTCTTGTGCCAGTTTTCAAAGGGAATGCTTCCTGCCCGGGCGCAGTGGGTTACGCCTGTAATCCTAGCACTTTGGGAGGCCAAGGCGGGCAGATCATGAGGTCAGGAGATGGAGACCATCCTGGCTAACACCGTGAAACCTCGTCTGTACTAAAAAAATGGAAACAACTAGCCGGGTGTGGTGGCAGGCACCTGGAGTCCCAGCTACGCGGGAGGCTGAGGCAGGAGAATGGCATGAACCCGGGAGGCGGAGCTTGCAGTGAGCCAAGATCGTGCCACTGTACTCCAGCCTGCACGACACAGTGAGACTCTGTCTCCAAAAAAAAAAAAAGGCGGGGGGGAATGCTTCTAGTTTTTGCCCATTTAGTATGATATTGGCTGTGGGTTTGTCATAAATAGCTCTTATTATTTTGAGATACGTTCCATCAATACCTAGTTTATTGAGAGTTTTTAGCTTGAAGGGCTGTTGAATTTTGCCGAAGGCCTTTTCTGCATCTATTGAGACAATCATGTGGTTTTTGTTGATGGTTCTGTTTATGTGATGGATTACGTTTATTGATTTGTGTATGTTGAACCAGCCTTGCATCCCTGGGATGAAGCCGAGTTGATCATGGTAGATGAGCTTTTTGAAGTGCTGCTGGATTTGGTTTGCCAGTATTTTATTGAGGATTTTCACATCGATGTTCCTCAGGGATATTGGTCTAAAATTCTCTTTTTTTGTTGTGTCTCTGTGAGGCTTTGGTATCAGAATGATGCTGGCCTCATAAAATGAGTTAGGGAGGAGTCCCTCTTTTTCTATTGATTGAAATAGTTTCAGAAGGAATGATACCAGCTCTTCTTTGTACCTCTGGTAGAATTCGGCTGTGAATTCATCTGGTCCTGGACTTTTTTTGGTTGGTAGGCTATTAATTATTGCCTCAATTTCAGAGCCTGTTATTGGTCTATTCAGAGATTCTGTTTCTTCCTGCTTTAGTCTTGGGAGGGTGTATGTGTCCAGGAATTTATCCATTTCTTCTAGATTTTCTACTTTATTTGCATAGAGGTATTTATAATATTCTCTGATGGTAGTTTCTATTTCTGTGGGATCGGTGGTTATATCCCCTTTATCATTTCTTGTTGCATCTATTTGATTCTTCTCTCTTTTCTTCTTTATTAGTCTTTATTACTCTTGCTAGAGTCCACTCCAGACTCTCTTTGCCTGGGTATCACCAGCAGAGACTGCAGAGCGGCAAATATTGCTGCCTGATCCTTCCTCTGGAAGCTTTGTCCCAGAGGGTCACCTGCCTGTATGAGGTGTCAGTCGACTCCTACTGGGAGATGTCTCCCAGTTAGGCTACATAGGGGTCAGGGACCCACTTGAGGAGGCAGTCTGCCCATTCTCAGATCTCAAACACCATGC